>NC_000017.11:79639671-79940081 GCF_000001405.40 Homo sapiens | reverse complement strand
GAGGTTCCTTGGCGTTGTTTAAGGTCAACTCCACCAAATACAGCAACCAGCTGGGGCTTGAATGGGTCGATGTGTGCGTGTGTCCCTGCGTGCATGCATGCATGCACACGTGCGTGCGTGTTTGTGTTTGCAAGATCCTCTGACAATGATCTGCTTTGTCCCAGGGACGTGGTAGTGTATTAGCTGACCAACCAAGACAAGGACACCTGGAAATAGTTAGACTCTTCCACTTCCCTTCAGGACCTGTGAACTCAGATATGTAAGTCAGCTTCTCAGGTGGTCGGACGTGAGAGCGACCACAGTGAAGGAGCCAGCACTCAGGGCTCTCTGCCTTCTATGTGGGAATGAGGTCTTCCCAACAGACTCTCCCTCTTCCAAAAGATTGTGTATCAGTTGCTCCTTCTGGGATTTAGAGATGGACAGAAAAGGGTGTGCGATCTATGCTGTGAGAACTCCCAGCCAGCTTAGAAGTGTCGAGCCATTTGCACAGAAAGCCACTCCTTGAGCGAGGAGACCAAATCCCTCCTGAAATCCTCCATCGCGTCCTTCTGGGGAGAAAAACCCTTGATGTGCTGAGAACCATCATGGGGACCAGGATAGAAGGCTTCTTCCCACTCAAAGCTTTTCTCCCTGGAGGGTGGGCACTGCTGGGCCATGCCACTTCAAAGCAGTGTTCCTCAGCAGGAAAGCGGAGGTCACCACTTACCGGCCTCCTCCACCTTCTCGGCTTCTCTTTTCTCCATGAACCCAGGTCGTCCAGCAGGTACTTCCAAGTTCCCAGGTCTGTCTGCCTAAGAGCCTTTTGAGGAGACCGTCCTGGAGCCCCATCAGTGCCCAGATCCTGGGGTACCGACCATTGCTGTCTAGCAGTGGGGGATCCTGTGGTGGGAATGGGGTGGGCTTCTCATCCATGTTGCTTCTGGGAAGAGAGGGTTGCCTTTCTGGGCTAGGGAGGTGGCTGGAGCTTCTGCCCTGACCCTCCGCTAGAAACCAGTTATATCCATTGCCACAGCAATACTGTGTAACAAATCCGCCAACACTCGGTGGCCTGCAACAGTCAGCACTGATCTAGGGCAGGAGTCAGCAGTCTGGGCAGGGTGATTCTTCTGGTCTAGGCTGGGCTTGTTTGTTTAGGGCCAGTGGGTTGTTAAGTCCCAGGGGATGCTCATGGTGCAGAGGTCGGACCTGGCCCTGCTCTGTGGTCTCTTGCATCCCTCCTGCAGGCCAGCCATGGCACAGCCAAAGGCACGGAGGGAGAGACAGCAAGTGCCTTTCCAAGCCTTGGTGGACACCACACCTGCAGCTCTCCCCTTGGCCACAGCAAGTCACGTGGCTGGGCTCAGCATTAAGGGGTGGGGGACAGGCCTGCCACTTTATTGTCCGCTCTGCACAGTCGGGTGGCAGTAGGCTGAGAATTTGGAGGGCTAAACAACTGGGACTCTGGAGAGTCTGTGTCCTAATAATGCCTGCTTTGGAGCACTCCTTCCCCACCCGCCTGCTCCAGGGGAATAGCGTCCCTGGTCCTAGCATTTCACTAGATACCTCGTGCCTTTGAACCGCTGTGTTTGGGAGGGAGGAAGAGGATAGACAGGTCCAGGGCTCCCCTCACTTGGGAAGGTCCTAGTAGAAGGCATTCCTTCTGAGTCTCCTGGCCCTACAGCTTCTCACCCCTGCTGCTCCCCAAGACCTGACCCGGACCAATCAGCTGCATCTCTGCACCAAGTGCCACCCCCACCGTGCACTGCTCGCACCTCACGCTCCCCATGGGCTGGCCCGGACCCCAGTGAGGTCTGCACCTCTCGGACCAGCCAGGACCTCGGAAGCCATGAGCTGGGTGTTCAGGGCTTGGCGGAGGAGACGCTGCTCCGCGGGGGATGGAGAAGCCCCGCCCCTCCACAACTCCCTTAATCTGGATGCAATTAGAGGAAACCAGCCAAAAACCCCGCGGCAGCTGTTGCCCCGGGATTATTCCCAGCCAGCGAGAGGCATTAGGGCGATAATTCAGTCATTAGACTTCTAGCCTTCCCACCGCCAGAACGTGCAAATAGGGGATAATCAGCCCTGCACGGCCATCCTCAGCAATGCTGCTTATTTAACCCATTTTTTAAAATGACACTTAATGTTATTGGCTGGCGTACGTGTGTGCGCATACTTAAAAGTTGATGCGTGGTGCAGCTCTGCTGCTAATGTCTGCTGACAGCGTCGCCCGATGTTGCTCAGGGCCTCTGGGAAGAGGGGACACCTTTGATGTGGGCGTGCTGGCACCCAAGAGGCAACGTGGTCAGGCTCGATGCTTGCCAGCCCTGGAAGGTCCCGCCAGGGTTGGGGGGTCGGGTGAGCACTCAGAGATCTGGGGAGGAAGCGAGGAGCCTGGTGTCCTCACCAGGTGCAGAGGGGAAATGCGTACTGCTCCAGAAGGTTCTGACTCAAGTCTCGGCCCTGAGGACTCAGAACTCACAAGTCATGGATCAAGTACAGAGGGAGGGAGGGCCCCAGCCCACCCCTGCGGGGGAGGAGGAGGGTCTGAAGGTGGGAGGGCAGCTCCATGAGCAGCCACTGTTCCTGACCAGCCGAAGTGCCAGGCAGGGGGAGGTTTCCATGTCCAGGAGGGAGAGGACCTCCACCCTCTGACCTTTCAGTTTTCCATAGCAGCCCAGTGTGAAGCTCGGCGGGGGTGGGCAGGGCATCAGGACAAGATGAAGATGCTGGCTCTGGAATGAGGACTCCCCTTGGGCTAAGGGGTAGTGGCTGGCAGAGGTTGCCCAGCTCTTTTGGAGGCCACAGGGAATAGAGGTGGGGTGGTGCTTCCGTTCCTGTGAGGCCCGCCCCCCTGAGCCCCCTCGTCTGCTTCTTGTTTGGCAGAAATAGATGTGGGGCACAGCCCCTAGATGATGGGAATCTGCCCAAGCTGTGCCCTCTGGGGAATGAAATCTTGCTCCTCGTGCAGCTTCCCCTTTCCCTTGCGGGGTGGGGGCTGGGGGTGCCAAGGCTCCACCCTTGGAGGGGGTTGCTGGGGGTGCCAAGGCTCCACCCTTTGCTCGCTGGGCAGAGGGAAGGAAGCACCTCCCTGTATGCTCTGCAGGGGCCCCTGCAGGCCACTTTGCCTCAGAGGAAGGAGGAGAGGTCCCCTGGGAAAATGCGCACACACACACACACACACACACACACACACGCACATGCACACACGCACGCATGCACACACACACACACATATGTGCAGGGGTGCAGCCTAAGTCAGTGGAGCCAGGACTGGCTGCGCAGCTGGGCCTGCCCCATTCTTGGAGTCCCCAGGGAATGAGCCTCAGGATCCACTTCGTCCCTTGTTTCTAAGCCAGGCTGCACGGCCGTTCCTGGGTGTGAAAGCATTCTGTCCTGTCTCCAGTCAGAGGGAACCGCCCCCAAACTAGAAAGCTAATTTCCCCCGAAGGTTCATGAAGCCAGAGGCATGCCCTTGGGGGTTGGTCGGGAGAAGGGTGAGAGGCAGTGCTGTGGAAGGGGCCTGGCCCCTGCTGCCTGCGATTCTCCCCGGGTATGTGGCCTTCTGCCTCCTTCAGCCTCAGTTTCCTCACCTGTAACATGAGAATAATGATGCCTGCCTGCCCAGGCCACCTCCTGGGAGTGCATTGGGGACTCTAAGTGTAAAACTGTCATGAGGATGGTTTATGAAGTCCCAGGGACCACACCTGCCACTCAGGGAAGAGACCGCTGACCTCAGCCATCAGCCGTGTGCATCGTGAGGGGCAGCGAGCTCAGGACGGAGAGCTCTCCCTTGGTTCGGAGTCAGCACACCTGCACTCCCACACGCCCACCCAGCTGTGTGTCCTCCGCCGAGGGCGAGCCTCTCTGTGACTCTTCTGTAAAATGCACCCCATTCTGCCCACTCCTGCCACGAGACCCATCCTCTGCGATCCCGCCAGGCATGTGTGTGTGAATGCATGTGCAAAGCTCTCCATCAGAAGGGTGGTGTGGGCCCTGCAGGTCCTACCCCTCGGCCTTGAAGCTCCCTCGGGCTGCGGACTCTGCCTCCTGGGTCTGAGCATTAGAACCAGGAGAGGGGTGTCCCTGGGCAGAGCCAGGGGTGCAAACAGCCTGCAGCCATCTGGCCTTTTAAGTATAGTGTGTCGCATTTCCGGGTAGGAAGGTAGCATTTCAAGTTCAAAGAGAGGTCAAGTCATGCAACCATCTTTCCTCCAGCACTTTTGGGGTAAGGAGGACAGTTTTTGTTATGGTTTAGGGGAAATTTTCATGAAATTTCCACCATTACCAATAGATTACTGATGTCCATGGCAAGTGATCTGTTCTTGGTATTTTGTTTTGTTTTGTTTTGGTTTTTAAATGTAATCACCCATTGGTCAGGCCCAGGACTGGTCACCATGAGCTCTGCTAGCCACGGCCCCAACGATGCTTCCGGCTCTCATGGATTCCACAGCAAATAAAACTGTACTGACAACAGATGCACGCTGTACAGTGCCTCTGGAAGGTGCGGTGGGACTTGCTGGGTCAAAGCACGGCAGGCTCTGTGCTGGGCAAACAGGGCCCCGTGGCAGCCCAAGGGCAGCCTGCAGACGCCAGTGTGCCCGGCTTCTCCCATGTTCTGAGATGGGGGAGGGGAAGGTGTAAAAGAGAGCTGGATGGGGGCTGTGGGGACTGAGGGTCCTGGGAGGCTGGCCAGGGGCTCAGCAAGCGCCCACTTTGGGAGGCCTTGCCCTCTGGGCTGTGGTTGGACAGCACTAGGCCTGCAGGCTGGGCTGCCAGGAGGAAGAGCAGCTCCGGACCTCAGGCCCCCCCAGCAGGCGGCGATGGAGGGTGATGGGAGAATTGACGAGTGCTCGCGGGGTCTCACTCGGGAAAGGGCCGGTTAACTCTGAGCAACTGGGAGCCTCGCTCCCACCCCAGTGCCTGGAAACACAAACAGTATTTTATTGAGCCTTGGCTGCCGGGGCTCTGGTTTCAGGAAAAGCCTCAGTCCTGCATTTGTGAATTTTTAAGGAGGCAAACAAGGTGAATTTGACCTTCCTAGGAGTGGGAGTTAGGGAAAATTCAGGCTGCCCTACCAAGCCCTTGGAACCGTGCAGCAGGGGTCAGGGGAGGGATGGGCAAAGGCGGTTTGGCCCATGGAGCAGGTCTCCTGGTCCTCCCGGAGCACGGGGGGCGGGGAGCTCCAGCTCTTCATCAAGCGCCCTTTGGGGTTTCCAACTGTTTTCTGTTGTTCTCTGTGTGTCTTTTCCCCTTTTGCCTGGGGGCGGGGGCTGGAGGGGAACATACCTCTTATCTACATCACTCGGGTCTCATGTCTGAAGGGCCTGTCTCACCTGCCACCTACCTGGCCTTGGCCTCGACATCTGAGCGCCTCATCACCTCCTCTCCACATGCCCAGGGGTGCCCCTCCCAAGGCTGGCTGGGCAGGTCCCACGGACTAGGCCCCAGGAGGAGCAGTGGGCTTCCCCCAGGAAAGAGCAGAGCCAGCACTGCCTGCCTAGGGAGGGCACCCACTACCAGGCATGGCTGGTGGCTCCGTTTAAAGAAATCTTTGTCCATGTGGGAGTGGGAGGTGCTTCCCCATCCTGCCTGGAAGCCACGTCCTGGCTCTTACCGTGGACTCTGCAACAGCCGTGGTGGCCACATGAAGATGGAGGAACCTGGTGGCTCAGGGGCCCCTGATGTCACCGCCTCCAAGGCAACGGGACTGGGCAGGGCAGCTCCTCAGGAAGGATGATCCCACCTGCACGGGTCAGCCCTGCAGGGGGACAAGGCCCACCACAACCCCACCTCAGGCCACCAACTGGACCTGTCCTGCCAAGAAGGTCCCTTCCAATTTGTCCGGCAGCTGGTTCCCTGGATACAGCCCAGACGCAGCATCATCCTCATGTTCACCTCTGCTGTGCCCTACTTCCCCCGTAAATGACAACTGTGTAGTCACCCACGCCGGGCAAGAGAACATAGGTGCCACCTGGCGGGCCACACTTTTCAGGGGCCGTGCCTCGGGCAGGCCCGGCTCTCTGTTGTCCCGCAGCCCTCAGGGCTGGCGGTGGCTGCTCAGTGCCTAGGGAGTGCCCTTGCCACACAGCTGGGCAGCGAGCATGACTCAGCGTTTACACTCAACCAGCCGCACAGGCTCCAGAGGGGAAGTTCTCTGGGGTCCTTCTATGAGAGAGCATCCTGTCTGCAGCCCTGTTCTGGCTCCTTCCACATCATTCATGCATTCATCCCACGAGGACTATGGTACCGTGGGCTCGCTCTAGGGAAGCAAGGCAGGAGCGCACTGGGGCTACTTGGATTCCCGGGGCAGACACATATGTACCCTGCACACCCTCAAATGAGCAAAGCCACCCCACTGGCCCCTGGGTGAGGCCATGTGGACCCCCACACCTTTGGGGCCGGCTGGGCAAACCTTGAACCCCCAATTTCTGCGTGGCCTTTGGCTGCCCTCCTTCTCCAAGGCGTGACTCTTACTCCAGAGACTCAGGCGAGCACGTGTCCCTTACCTTATTTTCTCTCAATCAAACTGAAACCCATTGTGATCCCCCATAGTCCAGTGCGGTCTCTGTTATTATTACGGGTGTCTCCCTTCCTCCCCGTGCCCAGGACAGGCCATGAGCCAGAGATACAAGGGGCCCCAGGCAAGATGCAGGGCTCTCTGCTCCTGGCTCTTTATCGTCGTCGGGACACCCTTTGTCCAAACTCAAGGAATCCCGGGAGGTCTGGCTTTGCCGCTTTGGCTGGGACTCAGGTACCTGGGCATACCTGCATCTGTGCCCCCTCTTCGTCCCAGTGAGACGGACCCTCAGTATCCCCCCCAACATAGAACAGGAAGGTCTCAAGCCAGCCCCCTCCTCCAGTTCAATCACCCTCCCTCACATCCACCCAGAGAAGTCCAGACCTGTGGCCACTTCCATGCCCTCTCCAGACCAGGAGACACCTGCTGCTGACCTCGTGGAAAACTTAGATTTTGACATTCTGATGCTTCGGAAGTGGTGGCTCCTCCTCCTTCACCCCTCCGCCACCTGTGGGCCTCCTCTCTGCATCTCAAGAGAACAACCAGATCTTTGGGCTCCTGGGGTGTGTGCCATGCAATTTAGACGAAGTGCTTTGAAAATATGCCATTCAGTCTCTGACTAGGAAAATAAGTCTGACCTGATAGGTCCGATGTCATCAGCTCTTCAACATGAGACAAAAGAGGGGATTTTATGTTTTGAGTCATTAGAATGATATAATAATTTTCTGAATTGACATCTGGATGTTGAAATTAGGATGGTGCAAAAGGGGTCCAGGGCCTCAGGCTGGGCGCAGCAGCCAGCTCCCAATGACGCAGAAGCTGCTTCAAAACCCCCTCAACAAAGAGGGGCACATGCAAGTCACCAAAGTGGGAAGCCTTCACCAAGGCCACACCCAAAGTCTACTGATTGTCTGTCCAAAGTTCGTTGATTCCTGGCCATGAACAAGCACAATAGAAAAAGACACAGGGTCCTAGTGGCTACAAGTCAATGTGAATTGGCACATGGTCTAGCAGTTTTAAAATCTGACAGTAGAGTATGGCAATGGGCAAGGGCCAAGAAGTCCTGAGATGGGAGGTCAGCGCTCTAACTGGGCTCAGTGGAGGTCTGTGACCAGTGTCTGGACACTAGCTACAGGGGACCGGGCAGAGGATTCTGGGCAGAAGGAAAATGTCTAAAAGTACTTTGGGAGGGTAAAGGACAGGGGCCTTATTTAAAATAAAGACTGAAGGATAATAAGTGTCACCCAGGTTTGTGGATTATTGGAGGGGGCACCATCTAGCCATTCTCCACTTTTCCAGTGTGGAGAACCTGGGCAAAGGCGCCAGTGGTCACATGAGGTGCTGCCACGGGGCGGGCTCTGGGAGACCCACTCTAGACCGCTGACCTCTTGGTGCCATCCATTCTGCCTCCTAGAACTCTGGGGTTCTGAGTGCGTGCTCTTGGTGGGGGCCTTCCTCTTTGTTGGGAGAGCCGCTGCTGAAGGGGCCTCTCCCTCTGGCCCAGGATGTAGAGGACACGTGAGGACTACACAAGTGCAGGGGTGGGTGCGGGGGTGGGTGCGGCTTTCCAGCCCTCGCCTTCACTGCACTGGAAGCCTGCTTTCTGGTGTGACCTTTGGGTTCCCTCTCTGCAAGCAAACAACCAGCTCAGACAAAACCAACCATGACCACATCTCAGGTGGGTGGCACCTGGGTCACCCTCCCACCACAGCCCCTGGAGCAGTTTCCAGGTACCTGGCCTCCACTGTCTATTCCACTCACCTCCTGCTGATGTGGACAACTTTAGAAATAAAGTACCAGGGACCCCAGACCACTAGGCAAGAGCCCAGGTGCCCCCTGGGAAATGCCACCACCCACCCCAAGAGCAGGGTGGGGTCTAGCTCCTGAAACAGTCTCCTCTGGGCAAGTGCTGCCTTTCTTCAAAGTCCAGGCGCCCTCTTGGTTGTTGGATAAATCCCCAGGTTCTGCCCCATGATTCATGTAGACGGGAGTTTCCCCCGGTTCTCTGTCTTTCTGCCTGGCTGGGCCACAGATGAGTGCCCCAACCCGGCAGACAAACAGAATTGGACTTTTAGGGTCAGAGGCAGCCAGCCTGAGATGGAGTAGGGTGGGGGCTGGGGAGGGTGTTGGGACCCCGGGAAGGGGATGAGGACATTCCAGGGGAGGTGAACTGTTTGTTTCCCTGGAGGGTTAGACAAAGAACCGAGCTCTTGCAGATTTTGCCGGAAATGCAACTAGAGCTATTGATAGGGTTGAGGATGGGGTCTTTCAGGGTGGGTGAGTCCCTGGAGCTGACTAAAGATTAGTGTTAGTGCAGGTCAGATGAGGAGCTGCCCCCACAGGTGTCGCTCCAGGTGCCCACAGCAGGGACAAACCCCCGCCGACCCCCTGCCCCACGGGAGCTGGTTGCAGCTTCCCCTCCGCCTCCCCCACCCCACCTCTCTCTGTCCCTTCCCCCGTGCAGTGGCCTCAGGGTGGCCACCCACCTGCTCCCAGGGGACGTGAGAGTGTTAGCAAAAGCACCATGCCCTTCCCCTCCACCCTCTGGAGCCTTCAGGGCAGCCCCAAAGCGGTCCCAGTGTCTCTGAAGGGGCTGGGGACCCGGAGTCTGAAATTCAGCTGATGGGTCACCAAACTGGCCTGGCCTCTGAGCCTCTGCACCGATCCTCTCACCCCATCAGGTACCTGAAGCTGATCCAGGACACCAAGGTCTGTTTGTGTGGGGGGGCTGCCAGCTCCCCAGAATCTGGCCCACGATGGTTTTGATTAGAGGAAACACCCCACCAGAAAGCATCCCAGAGATACCTAGAGACCCCCTGTGGCTTCCCCAAAGTGTCCCCTCCCCTCCCCACGACCTGAGAGGCTGCCATGCCCACGGCACGGGCCCCCTGGGGTGCTGTCCTTTCTAGAAAGCAGGTTCCAAAGGTGGGGTTCGGGCCTACTTGGCACAGGGAGGCTTAGACAGAAAGCGGGACTCCCCTCTGCCACGGCCCCCCAGACCCCGGCCGGCTCCTCGCGAGGCTGGACCCGCCTCCCCACCCCCTCCTTCGTGCGGTCCTGATGAAGGCGCCGCGTTTTCCGAGACGCAGAACTGCTGTGGGGTGTCTGCAGAGCCCGGGCTTCTCACCGGGAACTGCTCTCCTGGGACGGAGGGCGGCGGAGGCCTCCCGGAGCCCCCGGCCCACCTGAGGCCTTGGGGGCGGGGTCCGTGCGCCGCGAACCCCACCGAGCCGGGCAGGAGGAGGCGCATTTGGGCACAAAGGGACCTCGCGTCCTCAAAATAATCCTCGCCGCTAATTCCCATTCCAGCAGGAAGAGGCCGGCGCCGCTCACATCCACCCCATTTTCCGCGGAAGGGGCTTTGTTGCTTTTCTTTTGATTTCACCCCAGCGGGCGCGCGATCCCGCCCGGCACACGCCTGGCCTCCGAGCCGCTGCGTGCGGTTCTGCCCAAGTCGGGGAAGGAGGGGCGCGCAGAACGGGAGAGGGCTGGAGACGGGCACAGAAGGAGAGGAGAGGAGAAGAGAGGAGGGGAGAGGAGGGGAGAGGAGGGGAGGGGAGGAGAGGAGAGGGGAGGGGAGGAGAGGAGAGGGGAGGGGAGGGGAGGGGAGGGGAGAGGAGAGGGGAGGGGAGGGGAGGGGCGGGGTGCGAGAAGGGGCAGCAGCCCCCGGGCCCAGTCATCCAGCCACGTCAGGTGTGCGTCGGGTAAAGGTAGTAACCTGGTGGCGGTGACGAGGAGGCTGGAGAACGTGCAAGAGGAGGCCGAGCCTCAGAGTCCCAAAAGTCGGAGGAAACTCCCCACCTCCTGGAGCCTCCCACTTGCTGTAATTCCCTGCAGTGACCCACCCCACCCCAACCAGGGCAGCGAAGGACCCACCGGGCCCTGGCCCCAGGCCCCTCTGAGCCTTCCACCCACCCTGCCCAAGCCCTCACCCAGCCCAGCCCTAGAGCCCGCCTGTAGCCGGGACACCGCACCACTCCCTCCACCCTCACCCTCAGCCGCCAGCCCCTGTCTGTCCCTGTCCAGCCCACCCTCTCTCTATAAAACCTGAGCAAAGGCAGGAGACCCTCCCGCCTCAGAAGAGCAGCAGCACCCCGGGCTCCCTGCAGCTCTCTACGGGGCGGGGGTGCAGGAAGCCACAGCGGTGACCACCAGGGCCAGGGCCCAGCAGGCTGGGAGCTGCTGGCGGAGTGGGACAGAGTCCTCACCAACCGAACCGAAGTGCAGTCTGTCTGCCTGATGGATCCCTTGTCATGGGGACCCACAGGCTTGCAGGGCCTGTTTTTCTTGAAAAGAAGGTTTATTTGGGTCACTCTTAGGAGTTCATGCTGCTCTTTGGCCTTCGGCAGCTTGGCTCGGCCAAGCTGGAGCAGGAGGAGAGAGACCAGAAGACAGGCAGCCTGCGGGCAGGCTCAGATCCTGGGCTCCGTGCTCCCACAGTCTGACTCCAGCCCCTCGCCCAGACCCTGGCCCCAGCTCCCAGTGGAGGGACTGCCCGTCAGGGTGGGTTACTCGGCTCTTCCTTCTTGTGTGGGGTAAAGGGACCTCCCTGTCCAGTGCCACGCCCCTCCCAGGTGGCTGCAGGAGAAACCCCCCAGGGGCAGATCATCAGATGGCCCGCCTGTGTGAATAGGCCTCCTTGGGGAAACTCCGGAAGAATTGTTAAATATTTCAAGGTGGGAAGGGGACGTCAAGGTCATCAAGGCCCACTCCAGGTGGGGCATGACCCTCCCTGCTTTGGGCTGCCTTTTCTTTCTCCAGGGCGTGAGGAGCAGGCCATGTGGTCTAGACTCACTGTGTAGCCTTGGACGTCATGTCTGCCCCCTCTGGGCCTCAAGACGTGCCACCTCCATCCATGGTGGGGGAGGCTGGTGGGGGTCCCCAGCCAGACCGTTGGGTTTGGCCCTTGCCTTGGGAGGTGAGGGTGGGAGGCTAGGGGAGTGCTGAGCTCTGGGCTGTGTCCTGCTTAGCTCCCTCCTTTCCTGGAGAACGGTAGGAGCACACATTGAGCACCTGTTGCATACTAAATAGGAAGAGGATTTTTTTTTAAGAGGGAGCAGGCTGGGGAAGGGGATACTTGTTCTTGTCCCTGTGGATGGGTAGGAGCGGAAGCTGTCACAGACAGATTAGGGCCACAAGGGCCAACTTCCCAGCACCTGCCCCTTCCTCCCCTCCCACTCCCACTTCCCCATTTCACCCCCACTTCACTTCTCCCACATCTTACTCCATCCCCTACCTCATTCCCCATCCCACGCCCCCTACTTGGCTGCCCCCACACAGGACCACCTCCCAGGGCCTCCCACCCCACTTTTATGTTCTTGAAACCACAGACATGGAACCTTCATGCACCTGTAAGCTTAGAACTTGGCTGACTTTCCAAAGTGCTGAGCCACAAGAGGCCTCACACCTTTCCTGGAAGAGGAGCCAGCCCCAGGCCAGGCCTGGCAGCCTCTGGGCCAGGACAGCCTCTTCCACGACCCCGCCTAACCCTGCCTGCCAGACCTGCCCGCCACACCATCGGGAAAGTGTCTCCCTCCCCCTCGTCTCATGGCCACTCCTAGATCGCAGCACCCCTGGGGGTCAATGCACAGGGAGCTGTCACCACATGGCCAGGCCAGGGGTGTCCCTTCCTCTTGTCCTCAATGGTGTATGTGAAGAATAGTGCAAGGAGGGTCCCTGCGGGGCTGGCTCTGGCCCCAAGGCCTTGCATGGGCTGCTATGGCAAAGGCCCATCCCCACATACCGTGAGATGTTCCTCACTGGGGGCTTTGGATCAAGGGCACCCCATGGTACCAGGAGAGGCCCGTTCAATATGAGGAGAAAGGCCTGGGCTTGAACCCTGAACTCCTGGTTCCAGCACGTCCTGTGACCTCCCTGAACTTAGTGTCAGACGCTAGGATCCTGGTTATCCCTGCCAGAAACTTTGAGGGCTCCAGTGAAAGGAAGTTGGTCTCTCCCCCACATTAGTGCACCCACAGCCCTCAGTTTCCGGGCCATGTGCTCAGAGAGACACCCGCTCCTGCACCCCAGCATCTCTGTGCACACCTAGCACGTCCCTCCCCATCACGACCCTCCCCACATCCGCCACGCAGTGCCCCGTGATGCCCGCCCCCACCCGGGAGCCCGCACCGAGCCCGGCCCCAGCTGGCAGCCGCCTCGCGGTGTTTGCTGGATGATAAATGAATAAACGGGGGCCTCCTGGATGCTCAGCAAATATTGCCTGAATGAAGGAACGTCGCACGAATACAGACACACGAGAGAACACAGACCATAAAAGTGGCCGTGACCAGTGCTGATGGGCTGATAAGCGATCTCGGCGCATGGAGGCACTCCACAGGTCACCATGGTGGGCCCGGGGGGGCGGGAGAAGTTTCTGCTCACAGCCGGATTTGAGAAGGCCCTGGTCGCTCTATGGCAACCTCTGCCTGTGCACCATGGGCCCTTTAGTTCTGTTCGAGGCCCCTCTTTTGCTGTGTGACCTTGGACAAGTCACTTAGCTTCTCTAAGCCTCACTTTGCTCACCTGTGAAATGTGGACAGTAACTGTGCCCACCTCCAGTGCCCATTTCAGGAACCAGAGGCAAAGCATGAAGGGCCAAGCACAGAAAGCACTTCCCGTGGGCCCGCCTGTTGGAGACCCTCACGCGTCAGCGCCCGGAAATGACACTGGGAGCTCAAGGCCAGTGGTGGCCCTTCCAGCAAACCGGACACCCCAGGGGACGTCTGGGCAGTGGGGAGTGGCCTAAGCAGATGAAAAACCTGGGGCCCACAGCTTGGAGTTCAGGTCCTAGCCATCGGCCCCCATCTCTGTGCCGCCGTATCCCTGCCCGGGCAAGGGGAGGACAGTCATGCCATCTGTGCGGGGTGGACAGGCAGCGTCTGTGGGAGAACCAGCATCACTAAAGCAGACAATGTGGGAGGCCCTCACCCGGGAGTCCCTCGGGGAAGGGCAGCTGCTTCAGGAAGGAGGCCGGAGGGTCCCCTCAGTGCAGGAAGCCAGCTCAGCCGCCCCAGGCCCAGATGGGGAGGGGGCGAGGTGGGGGATATGGAGCCGGGCCCCCTTGCAAGGAGCCCTGTGCAGATGCATGCAAGGACAGGGGCTGGCCAGCCCCAAAGCCCAGCTGTGTGGCCTGGGGCTGCTCTGGAGGGGCTGCTAGCTTAGCTATCTCGGGGCCTTGAACTTTCTATTCTGTTTTGCAATCAGTTCAGAAGGCGGCATTGCTAGATTCCCTTCTTATCACAGAGAAACTTCTAGCACAACAATAGCTGATTGTACTGCTCTCTGGGGTGCGGCTGCATTCCTGGACACCCCCCACGTTTTTTTTTTTTTTTCGTGGTATCTTTGGAACTATAATGGATCTCATTGTGATTGGTCTGTTCAGGGGACAGTGTGGCCCTTGAATTTAGAAGCGTGAAAGGGTAGTGGGGGCTGGGGAGAGGGTGGCAAAGGAGAGTGGGGGTGGGAGGGAACCCAGAGACAACCCGTGAGACAGCCAAGGGACATCTCAGAGCATCTCGGCGGCGTCCTGTTGCATAACGCACCTGGAAACTGCATCCCCTGGACTGGCTGGGTTTGAAAATATGTAGTTATTTGTCAAACCACCAATGTTTATTTTCATTCAGTTATTAAGAAATAAAAAGGGGTAGATAATTTTCACTCCCTGCCTGTGCCTGTCCGGCAGGACTCGGCAGCAGGTCGATCCGGCGCAGACTCATCTGAGTGCGACGTAGCGGCAGCCAGTCACATCGTGTCCTCCGGAGGCCGCCTGCTGCTGCGCGGAGCCAGCGTCCAGGACCTGGGGCCGGGGGACCAGAGCTGGGACAGGCCCAGCCCCTGGGCGGCATAGCTATGTGGCCCCGGGAACACTGGCTCTCCAAGGCACAAGGTCTGTGAGTGTGTCAGGTGGGGAGCCCAACCTGCTGGGGGAACCCCCAGCCCCACAAGTAGGTGCCGGCCACTGGCAGGAGGCCCTACACTAGGCCTCACAGTCCTGCCTCTGGCCCAACAGCCTGGGCCCCAGGAGAGTGCTGCTCTGGGTGCCACCTGCCGCCACGGTCCCCTCAGCCCCTGGGGACTTCCTGCCCCACCCGGGCTCCTGAGAAAACCCTGGGAGGGATTTCTTAGAATGTTCAGCAGTTGCTGCCCAGCCCAGGACTTGGCAGGAGCCCCAGTGTCCGGAAGAGGGAGCAGATCAAGTTCCGAGGCCGGGAAGCCAGGCGTGCTGGCAGGGAGGCTGCGGGCCAGCGTGGTGCCTGCTGGGTGTGGATGCTGGTACTGCTACTTCATGGGGAACGTCCGGTGGGCCTCCTGCCACCCTGCCCCTTGGTGCCCCTGTCTGTAAAGTGGCACCTCCCAGGCCCAACCCTTTCTTCACTGGCTGGCCAGGGTTCAATGGGAGCAGGTTTCGTTGGCATGTAGCACCGTGCCTGAGACAGAGAGATGGCTCACAAATGGTCGTCACTGTTGTTAAAGAAATAAATATGCTTAGAGAAAATGGCGTTTACTCTCTTCCAGGCGTTTTCACCGGCTGCGTCCCATTCAGTCTTCCCAGCATGATCCCAGCTCGGAGAAGGTAAGGGGCCTGGTCAAGTGTCCTGGCAGGGGCTGAACCCAGATGCATGGCTGGCTCGAGGGGCCATGTGCCACAGAGGCTCACCTGTCTGAGGCTTTATTTCTGCTCTGAAACCCCTTCTTATCAGGGGCAGGGGCACCCCAAGGCCCACAAGACAAAACACAGACATCAGAAGAGAACCCTGCCCCAGTGTCATCTTTCCAGGTGGCAGGGGCCTCCGAGGGCTTGGGCTCTGGGTGGGCTCGGACTTGGAGAGCAAGAGGGGCAGCCAGGGAGGGGCCCACATTGGGGACATTCAGAGGCCACTGAGTAGGGGGTCTGGGAAACAGGGGACAAGGCTTGCTCTTCCACAGGCAGGGCAGGCAACCTTGCACTCTGTGGAGGCCCTGCTGGACTCGCTCTGAGACAGAACTCCCTGTCACTGTCCCGTGCAAGAAGGCCTGGAGGGGGCGCTGCAGAGCAGGTGCAGGGTCCACCAGACGCCTTTGGAGGCCCTGCAGAAAGGCCAAGGGTTCTGAGATCTCAACTCAGAACGAGAGGGCTTTCCTTTTCCACCAGTCTTGGGTGCCAGAGAGGTGGGGAGCCCAGGCCAAGGGACGGCCAAGGGCTGAGGAAGCACCCAGGATCCCAAGAGAAGCTGGCAATACATGCATGCACGTCTCATCCTGACTCCTGGGAGAGATAAGAGCACCTGTCCCCCGGTGTTGTGGACAGAGCCCGTGAGCCACCGGGCAGAGCCATGCATGATGAGGCTGTGGCCTGGCCAAGAACAGCCTGTGTCCCAGACACCAAAGAAGACATGGTGTTTGAGAGGTGGAGACTTTGGAGCTGGTGGGGACAGCCAGGAATGTTTCCTGGGAGAGGTGACGGACGCTCCTGCTGGGCAGAGGATGTCTCGACGTCTCTCCTGCTAGCACACAGACCGCATTAGGAGAACAGCTGAAGACGGCCTGTGGGGACACCCAGACTCTTGCCAAACAGGTGGCAGAAAAACCTAAGCTGGTTTTTTTTCCAAATAATTTATTTTTTATTTTTTATTTTTGAGGCGGAGTCTTGCTCTGTCACCTAGGCAGGAGTACAATGGCACGATCTAGGCCCACTGCAATCTCTGCCTCCCGGATTCAAGCGATTATCCTGCCTCAGCCTCCTGAGTAGCTGGGATTACAGGCATGCGCCACCACACCCAGCTAATTTTTTTGTATTTTTAGTAGAGACGGGGTTTCACCATTTTGGTCAGGCTGGTCTCAAACTCCTGACCTCAGATGATCCACCCATCTCGGCCTCCAAAAGTGTTGGGATAACAGGTGTGAGCCACCGTGCCCAGCCTCAAATAATGTATGGAAGGGAAGTTCATATAACATAAAATCAACCAGTTTAAGGTGTACCATTCGGCGGCATTTAGTACCCTCACAAGGTGGCACAGCCATCATCTGCAGTCGCAGAACATGCTGGTCACCCCAGGAGGAAACGCCCGCTCATTCAGCAGTTCCTCTTCACCCCCTAGCCACTGGCACACGGATCTGCATTCTGTGTCTATGGATTTGCCTATTCTGGATATATCATATCCTAAGGTGTTTTAAAAAGAGGATTAAAGGGCCGGGCACGGTGGCTCATGCCTGTAATCCCAGCACTTTGGGAGGTAGAGGTGGGCAGATCACCTGAGGTCAGGAGTCCGAGACCAGCCTGACCAACATGGGGAAACCCCATCTCTACTAAAAATACAAAAAATTAGCCAGGCGTGGTGACACACAACTGTAATCCCAGCTTCTTGGGAGGCTGAGACACAAGAATGGGTTGAACCCGAGAGGCAGAGGTTACAGTGAGCTGAGATCGTGTCACTGCACTCCAGCCTGTGCGACAGAGCTACACTCCATCTCATAAAAAAATTAAATAAAAATAAAAAGAGGATTATAGAGCCAAAGCGGGTAATTGGGTTCCAGTCCCCAGCCCACGTTTCCAGCTGTGTGGCTTGTGCACAACACTGCATCCGCCCGTCTCAGTTTCGTCATCTGTAAAATGGACATAAGAATGTCCACAGTGGGGTCGTCATGGGGGTACAGGGCTCATCCAGGCAGAGCACTGAGTGCGGTGTTCCAAGGCCGTGGTGCACTGTAGCTGTTGGTGACACGGGTGTCAAGTATCAGGTGTCAGGGTGGTGTGGGACATGGACAGCCAGGGGCCTGGGAGAGCAAAGGCTGGAACGGTAGACCTGGCTCTCCACGGAGCACGGCTCATGCACGGAACCTCGAACAGGCCACAGAATCCTTCCAAGTCTACGTCTGCCCCTTCCTACCTCCGTGACATTGGGCTTCAGTTTCCCCATCTGTGGAATGGCAATGTAGACCTCACAGTGCTGGAGGGACTGAGCCTGGCATCGTGGCGGGCAGAGTGGGGGGGGGCGGGCGACGCCCAGGGAGGGGTAGGGCTGTGGTGGGGACCAGTGAGGCCTTGAGGGCAAATTCCTGGAAGGCATAACGGCTGGCCGATGCCAAGGCCACAGTGATGGGGAGTTGAGGGGAAGAGAGGGGTGGGCCTGGGAGCAGGCAGGCAGCCCCGGCTCTGCTTGTAAGCAAGTGGCTGAAGGCCTCCTGTGCTGGCTCCCCTGGCAGGCGATCCATCAGCTCAGCTCTTACTGTCCGGAGCCGGCGAGGGCCCATAAATGCGCCCGACCCCACCCCCGCTGCAAGTCACCCAGGTTTTATGTTGTAAGAACACCGTGGGGCGTCTCAAACACACCACTAATGACAGGCATCATGAAGCAATAAAAGTGATGGGGCTGGTGGGAGGGGCTGGCGGGAAGGGCGGGGGGCTGCTGGAGCCCGGCTCCCCTGGCAGCGGCAGGAGCTCTCCGAGAATTGATTAGTCTTGGACGTGCTGACCTTTTTGTTCTTGAAAAATTGCTTTTGAGCAGCTGAGGCAATAAAAGTGAATTGATTCAGAGAGAACGAGGATGAGATTTGCGTTGGGCAAGGAGCAGTGCATAAACGCCAGTGATGTCAGCACAGCCGCCCCCAGCCCCAACTCCTGGGCTACAGGAGGGCAAGCCCCGGAGAAGCCGGGCAGGGTGGGTGCTGCGGGGAGGGCCGGCGGGACAGTGGGGCGGGCAGGGCCTCCTCAGAGGTTTCAGCGGAGAATTGAAACCGATAGCGAAAAGGGGAGGGCAGAGGGACGGAGATGAAATAAAACAAAGTGAGAGCGTAGGGAGAGGAAGAAGCCGAGAGAAATAAACACCCTGCAAGAGAAGCAAGGGGGACTTAGGCTAGACCTCGGGACCGCAAAAGGGAGGAGCTGGAGGGGACCTGGGGCAGGAGTGAGAATCACATAAGCACTCACAGGCACGACAGCCACACTCATCCTCACAAAGCCTTGTTTGTGCCCATTTTACAGAGTGAGAAAGCCGAGGCCCAGAGAGGTCAAGGAACCTGCTCAAGGTCACGCAGCTGGGACGTGGTCAAGCCCCACTGAGTCCCTCTGAAGCCAGGCTGGGGCCTCCAGTGAGTGGGGAAAGCCTAGAGGGGGTGCCGCAGAGCACGCACAGGATCCACCAGACGCCCTCGGAGGCCCTGCGGAAAGGCCAAGGGTTCTGAGAGCTCAACTCGGACCTTGGCAGGTGGGGAGCTCAGGCTGGGTCACCGTTGGCATTGAGAAGGCACTGGGGCAAGGGGATGTCCCCCGGGTTCCAGGTTAGAAGCCACAGAGAAGCATCACAGCCAAGGTTTCCGGGTGCGGAACGGTGGCGCTGGGACTCAGCCACCCTGGCCAAATGCCCCCACTCCTATGCGCCCCCCTCTCAGCACCTAAGCCCGTTTCCTCACCAGAGCCCTTGGGAAACCGCAGAAGCCCAGGTGTGTAAAGGCAAAGGGGAAATGCTCGCCTGCCCCAGAGCCAGCCGGGAAGTCCTTGCTGGAGCTGCTCTCCGGCGCTGGGGTACCTGGGCGGCCACATGCTGCCACCCAGGAAGGCAGGAGACCCAGACGCCTCCCCAGGATGCTGGCAAGCCCCTTCCCTTCTGAGAAAACAGAGGTGGCAAGGCCTCCCCGGCCTTCTCTGGGGGCTGGGCGTGTGTAAAAGCTCACCTGTGTTTGCAGGTGCCTCAGGTGGGCTGCTGAACTGGAGCCTGCCCCAGTCCCAGGAGAGAAGCTAAGCCATGTTTCACACCTGCAGCTGCCCAAACCCACTTTCTACCAGGATCCTGGCACAGGCTGCTTGGCCAAGTTCATCGGCCCCACTGCTGGGTTTGGTGCTAGTTAAGATGGGGACGCCTGTAACTTTTTGGTTGGAATGCATGGCCCTGAGTGGTGACTAAACCCCAAATCAGGCTGGCGTCAAGGGTGGCTAATGTCTCCCTAAAATGCAGGCACTGCATGGGGGGACCCCTAGTCACAATGACTGCCAGCAGCTCCTAGCTTGGGCTCTGTAGGCGACCAGCTCCCAGGGTCCAGGAAGAGGCATGTCCAGCTGCTGCCCTTAGCCCCCAGCCGACCCCAGAGGGACCAGCCCAGAGTTGGATGTCACTTTGAACATCCTGGATCCCACCTGAAATGACCCTGCCACCCACCACCCACAGGCACTGTGTTTTGCTGAGCTGAGCACAGCCTCTGGTTTGTGCCTCAACAGATGCCTCACACCTGCAGGCCCTCTCTCCTCACCCAGCCCCCGGAGAAGGCCTTGCTGCCTCTATTGTCCCAGAAGGGAAGGGGCTTGCCAGGATCCTGGGGAGCAGCCTGGGTCTCCTGCCTTCCTGGGTGGCAGCACATGGCTGCCCAGGTGCCCCAGTGCCGGAGAGCAGCTCCAGCAAGGACTTCCCGGCTGGCTCTGGGGTGGGTGAGCGCTTTCCATTTGCTGCCTGCACCCCTCCCCTGCCCGCTGCAGGAGGGGCTTCGCTGAGCCGCGGGGCACCCCCGCCCCACTCGGGGCTCCCCGGGGCGCAGGGGCCTGGGGCGTGCGGGTTGCCAAGCGACCGGCTGTTGCCAGTGGAGACGTTTGCGCAAAGGCCCCCCTGGGGCATCCCCAACCCAGACGGCCTCGTGGGGCAGGGGTGGCGAGGAGGGTGGGCTTGGGCCCCCGTGCTGCTCTGGGAAGCTCCTTCCCCCACCTCACCCACCCCCGTGAGTCCCCTCACACCTGTCCATGCCCCTCGGACCCTCGATGGTCCTCACGTGCCCTTTCTACTCTAGGGGCCCAGGAGGACGACAGGACAACCCCCAGGCTCCTCCCTGCCTCGGTGACCCTCCCCACCCCACCCCACCAACGTCTGAGCAAGACTTGCTGGAGCCAATGCAGGAGAGAAAGCTGCTGTTGCTACCGCCAGCCCAGCTCAGCTCCAACCTTCCTGGCTGTTGGCCTGCGAGGGCCCCGGGAGGATAGAAAGGGACATATTTCAAGGGAGAAGGGACGTTTCCTTACAGGGAAACAAGCTGAGTGGTCCGTAACATACCTGAGGCGTTATTGCGAGGGACAGGCAGAGCTGGACTGGGGACCCAGGCTGCTTGACATCCGGTGAGGGCCGCTCCTCCCTCTGCCCACTCGGTGACTAGCTTGCTGGGTAGCACCGGGCAAGGCTGTCTCCCTCTCTGACTGCTCACTCCCAGCTGTAGAGAGAGGTGGTTCCTGGATCACGGAGCAGTGCCTGCCTAGGGTGCAGGCCTGGGCTCGGCACAGGGCCGAGAAGCTGCTGCTCTGCCCCGCCTCCGGGAGAGGTCCTGGCACTGCCAGCCCATGAATAAGGCCTGGCAGGGCGCCGGGCGAGGGTGTGCAGAGGTCAGCGGGGAGGGCCGAGTGGCAGCGTTCTTGGGACTGGCTGCCAGCTGCAGCTGGACCTGTTTGCCTGGGCTGGGCTGTCTCACTTCCCCTGGAGCGGAGAGAACACTGGGGAGGAAGATCAGGCGTGGGCAGTGCTTCAGGGGCCCTTGAACTCCAGGATGGCCAGCTCCTGCCACAGGGGACCCAGCCAGCCGTGGCCAGAAGCCAGGGAGCCACATGCTGGAGCCGAGGACAGGCTGTCGTGAGATCAGTTCCAGCCCCTAGCCCCCTTTCCCTGCAGGCCTGGCCTGGGGGGCTAGCACAGGCTGCCAGGGGAGGTCTCTTGCCCTGTGTGACAGGGGGTCCCAGCCTGTGGCCTGCAGCCATCGACACCACAACAAGATCCTTGCTGGGGTGTTCTGCAAAACCTCAGGAACCCTGTGCCCACAAACACTGCGTGAAAGTCACCAAGTAACCCTTCTGTGATTATTCATTCATCTGAGGTTTGCTCAGCAACTTTCAGTCATCTCAATCCTGTTGCGATGAAATGCAAAGTCCTCTGACAGCGTTGTGGGATTGGGAGTAAGTGTTGCCTTTAGCAGGTACCAAAAGTGCTACTGTTATCTCAAGCAGGTGTGTGACTTTCTATGACTTTAAAAGGGACCCTCCCAACTTCTGGGAAGCCAGCCCCCTCTGATCTAGCCAATGTACCCACCACTACCCATATTTGCCTCTCTCCCTGGCACCCAAGACTGGTGGAAGAGGAAAGCCCTCTTGTAGAGACAGCCCCACTTGTCCTGATGGAGGCCATGGCTCATCCCCTCACCACATGGCCTCACTGGGCTGGACCCTGGTGCATGGCTTGGGAAGGGAGGGGCAGCTCAGGACCTGAGACAGCACAGGCCGACCACCCCGTAAGGATGGGAAGGAAGTCAGGAGTCCATGCAGTGGCACAGGCCAGGGAGGGTGGACGTTGGGAGGGGGAATGGAGGCTTGGCCTGTGCTGAAGGAGAGGGGTGGAGGCGGGCATTGGGGTGGACCATGCTCTAGTGGGGAGGTCTGGCCAGAGCAAGCAGGTAGATGCAGTCACGGGGAGTCCAGTGAGGCGGACAGCCCTTCGCCCTCATCCGGTGCTCAGTGGTGGGGTGCAGTGCGAGCTTCCACCTTCATCTGTCCCCCACACACCACCACAGCCACAGACCACATTGCCCTGCCCTGGATGCAGGAGGACACCTGCACCTCACAAGCCAGCTTGGACAAAACCAAACTAGAAAAACGAAATGCCAGGGTCACTACTGTGCCTTCCACCGAGGAGGTGACGCGATGTGTGGATGGCGGCTTGCCTCTGTGTCTGTGCAGGGTGGGTGTGTTTGTGTGTACACCATCCACAGGCAGGTGCTCGGTGTGCAGTACATGCACACACACACACATGCACACACGCACACACATGCACACACACGCACACACAGACATGTACACACACATGCACACACATATGCGCACACACACACGTACACACACAGAGGACAACATTTGGGTCAATGTCTTGCTGGGGTCTATTGGTAACACACTAAGCACTTTGCAAGGGAAGGAACTTTCCAGGGACCCTGAGCAGTGTCCAGTGGAGAGGCTGTCATCTCTGCCCCACAGCCGGAAGTGGCACCTCCCCACCCTTGTGCACAAGAGGCAAATGGACACAGGCTCCCTGAGGCCCCACACTTCCCACAGACACCCCCCTTCCCTCACAGTCCTGGGTAGCTGGCATTTTGGGCCAATCCACAGTGGCTTTAGTGGTTGACCATGGCTGAGAATATTTTGGGAACTGCCTTTTAGAATCCGTTGACAAGACACACAGACGCTGCTGTCCCGGTACTTTGCAGCCTTATCCAGGTTCACGTTGGTTTTCTCTGGATTGGGCAGTAACTCCTCCTTCCCAGGGGATGGTCATCTTTGTGACCCCACCCGGGTGGCTCTTTCCGACCATCCTCTCCATCATGGGAGAATCATGGTTTCCCACCAGAAAGGCCACCCTGGTCACATGTGCTGGGATCTGGGAGAGGAGTTCCTGATGCAACCCTGGTGTCGGCGGGGCCACGGCACCACACAGGAAGGCCAAGCCAGCTGGAGAGGCCACAGTCCTGAGGTGTGTGTCACCCCGATGTTTGTGGAGCCCCTTACAGCCAATGCTGGCAGTGCTGGGAACGCCCATGTGGAAAAAGGAGATGAGTTCCTGTCCTTGGGGAAGAGCTCATGGCTGTGTTCTTCTTGGGGAGCACCGTGGCCGGGGAGAGGAATACAAATTCTCTCTCACCTTTTATAACCCCTCCTTCAGGCCTTACGGTGAGGACCCATCCAAAGCAGAACCATGCCCAAAACAAGATACCAACAAGGAAGCATGGTGTAAGCACAGCTCACCGACAGCCGTTTCATATGGGGCTTCAGAACACCCAAGAGAGCTTTGTGTGACTCCATTGACTTGAGGTGTCCAGAATGGGCCAATCCATAGAGATAGGAAGCCGATTTGTGGTTTGCCCAGGGGCGGCGGCAGGAGGGGAATGGGAGGCAATGTCTCATGGGTGCAGGCTTTCTTTGAGGGTAGATGAAAGTGCTCCAGAATTAGATTATAGTGATGCTTGCACAACTAGAAATTTACTAAAAACTATTTAACTGTATACTTTCAATGGGAGAATTTATGGTATGTTAATTATATGTCAATAGAGCTGTTAAATATTTGAAGTATCATGGGGAAATGGCGCTGAAGGTATTCATCGGTATGTACTTTCTGATTTCATTGTTTAAAAAAATATGTGCTCATATATAGTAGAAAGACTAGAAGGAAACACATCGAACGTTAACGGTGGCTTTGTCTGAGTAAAGGAACAAGAGAATGTTTTATTCTGCACGTGCAAACAGCCAGGGGGCAGGATCCGTCTAAAGTTGGGGTGATGCTGCCATCCTACAGCCCAGCCTCTGGACCAGCCCCTCCCTGCCCAAGGTGACCTGTGACTCAGCTGCAGCGGCATCCAGCGGCCAGGGGTCAGCCCCTCCCTGGGAAGGGAATGCTGTGGGCCTGCAGGGCGGGCAGGTGAGGCCACAGCGGGCGTGGCTGGCAGGTGAGACCTGCGGGCCCCTCTGGCTGTGAGCTCCAGCCGGCTCCCCTCAAAGCAAGCAGGCAGGAACCGCTGTAATTACCGCACAGGCAGGCGGGCGGGCGGGCAGCACCCCTCCCTCATTCCCGAGGAGAGGTCACCCCAGTGCCCTGGCCTGTCCCAGTGGCATCGTCCAGCAGCACAGTCGCCAGGCTGCGCTTGACCCTCCAGGAGGGGCCAGGAAGTGGAGCTGGCCCAAGAGGGAGGCGGTCAGGGGACTGAGGCTGGGGCCTGGCCTGACCCTCGCTCTGAGCCCCCTACAAAACCACAGCCCCTGAGCCATGATGTTGCCCGTCTTGCGCCTTCTCATCTGTCCTCACCTGGCTTTCCACCTCCACCCCCAGCTATACCCAGAGCCTTCCAAATGGCTTTGAGGCCCTCCTCCACCTGCCCCTCGACCCTCCAGCCCCTGGCCCCACCTCCTCCTCCTGCGTCCCTCTGCTCCCTCACTAGCTTCCTGCTGCTTTGCAAGCCCCCGGACCCACCTTCCACCTGTGGCTTCATGCTGCCACCCTCTCCCTGACACTCGGTTCCTCCAGACATGCTCATGCCTGGCCCTGCCGCCCCACCCAGCTTTTCCCCAAGGTCATTTGCACGGCAGCCTCCTCTGACCACCCACCCAAGCAGGTGCACACACATGTGCTCACACACATGGACACGCACCTGCAGTCCTGCTCTCCCAGCCCCTCCTTGTGCTGCCTCTCCCCAGCTCTGCTCTGTCCACTGTGTTTTGCCACCTGGTCGTTTTGCTGGCTGCCCAGCTCTGCTGTTAGGACAGAAGCGCACGAGACAGGGAGTCCTACCTACCTGTTCCCAGTTGTGACCCGGAGCTTTGCAAAGGAGCTGGCTCAATAAACGTATGGTGGATGAATGAATGAGTGAATGAATGAATGAATTAGTGAATGGATGAATGAATGAGTGAATGAATGAATGAAGTGGGGCAGTGGTCCTGCCTAGTACTCCGGACTGCACACAGCCTTGTAAGGGAAAGTTCCTGGGGAGTGGGGTCATTGCTGCAGGCACTGCCTGAGTCACTTGGTTATTCCTGGCCACAGAGGACATCCGAGGCTGGAGTGGGGCTGAGCTAGGGGGGCCTGAGACTGGGGCGGCCACCTGACCACACAGCGGGTTGGGGGGGCTTGGGGAGGCCATCGTGGGTGAGTTCAGCCCTGGTGGGAGCAAAGAAGGGGTGTCCAGGCCCCAGGTGGCAGGTTTTCAGAAGGCAGGTGGGGTGGGCCAGGGGTCTGGGGTCAGGCCTCCTGGACACAGCGCTTGGGGACAGGAGGCCGAGGTCAGCCTGGCTGCTCTGGGAGCTCCCTGGCCCTCAATCAAGGGAGTCAGTCTCTAAATTGGGAGCTGAGTCCTGCTGATGGGGATGCAAAGGCGGATGTCTCTGTCTGCTCAGCCCCCGTGCAGCTGGCCGGGGAGCCCTTCCTCAGGCCCCAACTGCGCAGGCGACAGGTATGTGACCATGAATAAATAGCCACAATTATCCCTCCCCTTCCGTTACCCTGCTGCAGGCTGGTGGAAGGGAGGAAGGGCAGCCTGGCGGCCCCTGCTGCCTCCAGAACCCAGGGGAGCCCTGGGGATCACAGGTGCAGCCAGCAGCGGGCACTGGCCGGGGAGGGCCAGGTCGATGGTAGGCTCACAGTATGGACCGGCTATGGGCTCACCTCAACATAGAGAAGTCACTGGAGGTAGTGACAGACACCAGAGACCAGGGTCTAAATCCCAGCTCTGCCCCTTTCCAGCTGTGTGACCTCAGGCAAGTTGCCACACCTCTCTGGGCCTTGGTCACCTCCACTGCCAGAGAGGGTGAAAAATACTGATCTCTCAGGGTCAGGGCAAGGCACAGCCAAACAAAGAACAGATGCAAAATGCAGGGGGTGGCAGGGGATGGCAGGGGGTGGCAGGGGATGGCAGAGGGTGGCAGGGGTGGCAGGCATTGGCAGGGGGTGGCAGGGGATAGCAGGGGCAGAGTCTGTGCTGAATATGTGACCGCTGCGGCTGTGCTTCTGCTCCTTACTCTTGTCAAAACCATCATCATTCTTACCACCCATTGTAGTATCTCCAACCGCAACACGGGATCGGTCCCCAGGGCCCACCCCTCGGTTGCTGAGCCTCCTCGCCGAGTCTATACACGCATCCCTGATGACCCAGGATATGTTAAGCTCCTTCTCATGGAGCTGAAGGATTTTGCCCCCAAACCTTTGTCCACTTTGCAAAAGCTCCCAGCCCCCTCCCTGCCTCCTTCCCAAACGTATCCACTTGCTCTGCAGCCACAACTGCCCCCTCCCCCTGCTTGGACAGCCCCCGGAGGATGGAGGATGCTCTCAGTCCCCAGGGTGGGCTTCCCAGTCAGCTCCCTCAGGCCCTTGGTCCCTGCAGAAAGATCCCCAGTCTCCAGCATCAGATAGGCCAGCCTGAGCCGAGCAGCCTCCGAGCCAAGGAACAGGCTGGTACTCCAGTTTCCCCAGACCTCGGCTTCCCCTCCTGCAAAATGGGATGACAACGCTGGCCTAGTGAGAGCGATGAGGGAGTGTGTCCCAGGGCCACCGGCAGAGCCTGCCCAGCAGCCTGCACTCTGATCTTGGGGGGCACACTGACAACACCTGCGGCCCCTGCTGGGTCCTGGGGGGCACAGGGAAGCCCCGTAGGGGCTGGTTCTCCACAAACTCCCCCACCTTCAGGGCTTTTTCCAACACAAGGCGAAGGGGCCACCCAGCATAAGGGTGGCCACCCTGAGCCCTGGCCCCACAGGGAGTCAGGAGCCAGGAGGTCTGTCCTGACCTCCTCTTGCACCCTGAGAGATACGTGGCAAAAACTCAAACATGGATGTGGCTCCCGTCCCTCCTGCCACACATCCTTTGGCAAATCTGATGAAGAATCTGCAGCCTCTCCATGAACACTGGCCTCCTCGTTGGGTCCCCAGTCAGGTTCCACACAGGAGGCCTGGCCGGGGTTAGGGTGAGTGAGGCTGTGAGCCAGGGTGGGCGTGGTTATGGGGTGGCATGAGCATGGCCAAGGGGCAGGGTGGGCGTGGCCACAGGTCAAGGATGGGTGTCCTGTCTGGTCAGGGGGTCAGCACACTGACTTGCTTGGACAAACCAAGGCCTGCAAGAACCAGGGAGTTTCAGAAACAGAAAGATCCACCTAAGGGCCCGTGGTGGTGGACACCAGATCCCGCTTCCAGAATAAAGGGCTGATTATCAGAAATCAAGTGGCCCTCGGCCATGGGCCCAGCTAAGGGCACACCCCTCTGAGGGCAGGGGCTTCCAAGGACCATTGAGGCTAATATGAAGGCCCAGCCCTCTTTCCCCAACTCGGGGTAGTGCTGGGGGCCTCCTGTCTACAGAGCTCCTGCAAGATGGATGCAGTTCCTCAGGACTGACTGCGTGGCCGCTGCCTCTGCCCTCTGCTGGGTCCTGCCTCCTGATGCTGTTCTCCGCACAGGAATCCAGAACTGATTACCCCCCCAACCAGGAGTCTCCCTGTGAGTCTGCTGCCCAGGGCACCCCCAACCCTGCAAGCAAACGACAGGACTTCACAAAGGTCCACCCCACTCACCCTCAATCCTGAGAACAGATCCAGACACCTGCCTCAGTTTCCCCAACAGCATATTCAGCCTCCAGGATGTCTGTACTGGGTTGCCTGGTGGTCCCGACAAATTCCTGTCCACCCAGAACCTCAGGAAAGGAGTTAATAAGGTCTTTGCAGAGGTAATTAGTTAAGGATCTTGAGACATGGCCATCCTGGATTTCAGGTGGACCCTAAACCTCATCAGTGGTGACCTTGTAAGAGGAGGGGAGGACACAGAGACTGCCACACACAGGGAGAGGAGAGAGGCAGAGACTGGAGTCATGCACCTACAAGTCGAGGCATACCAAGGGTTGCCTGCAGCCCGGAGAAGACAGGAGAGAGGCCCAGAACAGACTCTCCCTCCGAGCCGCAGGAGCCTGCCCTGCTGGGCCCTGGACCTGGGGCTCCTGCCCCCAGAGCTGCGAGACAGTAGATTTCCATTGCTGAGGCTGCCTCATTTGTGGTAGTTTGTTAGGGCAACCGCAGGAAACTAATGCAATTTCAGAGGCAAAATCATCTAAAGACATAAAGATGTAGTCTGTCCTGCACAAGCCTGTTTGCCACCTTTTCCCCAAGACATAGCATTTGGTGCGGAACTGTCTCTGAAGCACCAGGATGGGGCGGGGCAGGGCGGAGGCCCGAGGCGGAGGGTGAAAGGCCTCTGTGCCATGACATGGCTGGGTTTTTTCATTAATTCATGTGTTTTTGTTTTTACAGTCCCCTAAACCCTCTGGGGTGGATTTTATCCTGAAAGTGCTTTGGAGTCTCAGGCAGGAGAGAAAAGAGAAGGAATTTGAGTTATAGAAAGAATTCTCTTGCAACCGTGGCCGAGTGTTTGTGGGAGGAAAGCTGGGAGGATGAGGGCCACACGTTGGAGGGTGTCTAACCGTCTGTGTTAGCACTGGACAGCCACTCCCCGAAGGACCCTCAGTCCCAGCCAAGCCAGCTCGGTGGGTCAGCCTGGCTGGTCTGGAGGCCTTTACGGTACATCAGGTAGAGAGACAGAGGCTGGCAAAGGACGGAGCAGACTCTGGGAATGTTTGGGGACAATCAACAGATCTTGGAGGAGTCAAGACTGCAGGAGGAAAACATTCATTTTGGCCACGTAGAGACTGAAGTTCCAGCGGGACACCTGGATTTCAGGACAGGCCTGGGAACTGCCATCACAGAAATAATAACGCAATGGAATTCTAAGAAACATGAACGGCCAAGGCAGCCCATGAAGTCCTTCCTGACTTGTGTCACTTCCCTGTATCAGGCAAGCACTCACGCTGACGTGATGGCATAGAAGGACAGGGAAAGGCGGGACCCGCTCCGGCTCTTTTCCTCTCAGCCCTTCCTTACTCATAGCCAGCCCCTGCCAAAGGCTGCTACCAAGACTGGAGTTGAAACCAGGGGCCGCAGGGCCGGGGCACTGAGGGCCCTCACCCACGCGGGCAAACGCCCCGAGCCTTGGGTAGTGGGCAATGCAGGGAGAGGTGATGAGAACTCAGCCATTGCCCAGCACCACGGGCAGACCAGGGAGAGCCGCTCTGCCTTGGGGTTTCAAGAGCTTATTTTCTGATACATGAATCAAATGAGAGTGAAACGAAAATGTGGCAGGGCAGTATGAAAAGGGGGAAAGAATAACCTGTCCGTGGAAAAACCTGACACCTCCCGCTCAGCCAGGTGATCCGGGCCCACATCACAGCCGCATGGTGGGTGAGAGCTCGGACCCTTCACGTGGTGGGGTGAGAAGCGCACTTCACCTCCGTGCTTCTGGCCCCGGAGAAAAACCGAGACACATCCCAATAGAGGGACGGTCTGTAAAACCCCTGACCAGGCTGGGCGCAGTGGCTCACGCCTGTAATCCCAGCACTTTGGGAGGCCAAGGCGGGCGGATCACTTGAAGTCAGAAGTTCGAGACCAGCCTGGCCAATATGGTGAAACCGTGTCCCTACTAAAATACAAAAAAAAAAAAAAAATGTTGGGCATGGTGATGCACACCTGTAGTCCCAGCTACTCGGGAGGCTGAGGTAAGGAGAATCGCTTGAACTTAGGAGGTGAAAGTTGCTGTGAGCTGAGATTGCACCATTGTACTCCAGCCTGGGTGACAGAGCAAAACTCCGTCTCAAAAACAAACAAACAAAAAACACAAGGAAAGTCCGAGTACTGTCACAGCCAAGAGGAGCCTGGAGACCCGAACACTGCATGTCATGTGAGATCCTGGAAAAGAAAAAGGATAATAGGTAAAAACCAGGGCAATGTGGAGAAAGTGTGGACTTTAACATCAATGCTGGTTCTTTAATTGTGACAAATTTCCCACATGAATGAAAGGTATTAATGGGAGGGGAAATGGTGTCAGGTAATGAGAACTCTGTACAGTCTGCAACACTTGTCTGCAGGTCGAAAACCATTCTAACATGAAAAGTTTACTGTTTCTTTTTTAAAGCAACGGAACATCATTCAAAGAATACAGATAGTTTACAAGAGAAGAAATACAAATGAATCAACAAACGTGATAAAATCCTCAATCTTAGTGATGATTTAATACAAATAAAAACAGCAATGAGGCATTTTTGCCAAGATGCAAAGATCTAAAACTCTGATAATATCACATGTCGGAGGAGGCATGCGGAAACAGGTGTGCACTGTGGCAGGTGAAGAAATAAATTGGTAAGGTGTTGTTATCTCTTATAATATACAATCTTCATACACTGTGAGCCAGCAACTCCACTTCCAGAAACTTCACCCATAGAAATATTGGGACAGAAACATTTACTCAAGTGCACGAAGATATTTGAAGCAGTATTGTTTTGTAAGGGGGAAAAATTGAGGAAAAGGGAGTCTATGAAAAGAAAATTGGCTAAATAAATTTTGATACATTGAATGAAATGTTATACATTCTCTTAAAAGCACTAAGTATATTTTTAAGGAATATGTAAGGCATATTCTTGCATAGTATGATTTTTGAGCTATGTTATTAAGTTAAAAAAAGGAAGTTGTAAAACATTTCAATAGTGTGTATACACATAGGTGTACGTGTGTATAAACAGGGCTGATGTTGCAGGAACACAACGGCTGTGGTCACACAGGGCCCCGAGCCCAGAAGGACCTGTGCTTGGCTTAATGCCCTGCCACTGCCAGCTCAAAATTCTTAATAATTTTATCTTTGTTGGGTGCAATGGCTCATGCCTGTAATCCCAGCACTTTGGGAGGCTGAGATGGGGGGGGGTCACTTAAGCCCAGGAGTTCAAGACCAGCCTGGGCAACACAGTGAGACCCCCATCTTTACAAAAAATAAAAAATATTAGCCAGGCACAATGGCATGTGCCTGTAGTTCCGGCTATTCAGAAGACTGAGAAGGGAGAATGGCTTGAGCCTGGATTTTTGTTTGTTTGTTTGTTTTGTTTTGTTTTGAGACAGAGTCTTGATCTGTCGCCCAGGCTGAAGTGCAGTGGTGCGATCTCCGCTCACGGCAAGCTCCGCCTCCCTGGTTCACGCCATTCTTCTGCCTCAGCCTCCCGAGTGGCTGGGACGATAGGCGCCCACCACCAAGCTTGGCTAATTTTTTTGTATTTTTTTTTAGTAGAGACGGGGTTTCACCGTGTTAGCCAGGATGGTCTCGATCTCCTGATCTCGTGATCCGCCCGCCTTGGCCTCCCAAAGTGCTGGGAGAGCCTGGGAGTTTTTGTTGTTGTTGTTGTTGGTTTTTTTTGAGACAAGAGTTTCACTCTGTCATCCAGGCTGGAGTGCAGTGGTGCAATCTCGGCTTACTGCAATCTCTGCCTTTCGGGTTCAAGCAATTCTCCTGCCTCAGCCTCCCGAGTAGCTGGAATTATAGATGCCTGCCACCATGCCCGGCTAATTTTTTTTTTTTTGTATTTTTAGTGGAGACGGGGTTTCGCCATGTAGGCCAGGCTGATCTCAAACTCCTGACCTCAGGTGATCCATCCACCTTGACCTCCCAAAGTGCTGGGATCACAGGCATGAGTCACTGCGCCCAGCCAAGCCTGGGAATTTGAGGCTGCACTCCAGCCTGGGCGACAGAGCAAGACCCTGTCTCGACATAATAACATAATAATAATAATGATGATGATTATTTTATCTTTGAGCTTGTGTTTTGCAACTGAGGTCTCTGGGGTGGTGGAGCGCACGTGTGGGCAGAGACTCACAGGACGTGCCCTACTGCCATATCACATTGGCAAAGCCCCATGAGCACAGTGTCCCAGCAGACCCACGCCCGTGGGTGTTCAGTGAGACTCAGTGAGCAAGGTGAACATATCATGTCTGCAGCTGAGGACGAGGGGACCCAGGTGGTTCCAAATGCCCACGCTTTCTGTTCCAACCAGAACTTGCTTCAATCACAGAAATAATAACGCAATGGAATTCTAAGAAACATGAACGGCCAAGGCAGCCCATGAAGTCCTTCCTGACTTGTGTCATTTCCCTGTATCAGCCAAGCACTCACGCTGACGTGATGGCATAGAAGGACAGGGAAAGGCGGGGCCCACTCCGGCTCTTTTCCTCTCAGCCCTTCCTTACTCAGCAGGAGGCTGGAGGCGGGGAGTGTTGGGAGAATGTGCATCTCAAGAAGTGAAATACACGCAGCTGAGTCTGGTTTGTGGGGCGTCTCCACTCCGCTGCTAAACACGAAGTACGTGTCCATGAACAAGCTACGCAACGGGGGTTGTGAGGTTTCAGCGATTCCACATGAGTTAAATGCTTTTGTATTTGCCATTAAAACTGTCATTGCACCTTATAAAGGCCAGTAGTGAAATATGCATGTAATAATTTAAAGTTTTAATTTTTCTTTACTTAGAGTGGCCTAAATTAGCAAATAAAAGCACTGTAAATAGAGAGAGACTCTGCAGAGGGAAGAAAAGGGAAGGCCTCCTATTTCAGTGCCTTTAATGGCTCTTTTTCCTGTTTGGAGAAAAGGGTTATCTACATTGAGCAAAGCAAAAATCCCAGACCAACCGTGGCAGATGGCAGAGGAAGAGACCAAAGGCTGAGAGACGTGGCGGGGCTGGAGTGGCGTTCCACGTGAAGGCTGGACACTGCACTCAGCACCTGTGTTCCATGGGAGACTCAAGCAACGAGGGACATGGGGAGGGGAGACACACTGGAAAGCCCGTCTGTGGGCAGGACTGCCTGTAGGAGGTGCTGGTACAGCACAGGCTCCCAGACACCAGTGGGGATGGTAGACCCCCAGGACAACCTTACAAATTCCCATAAAAAAGCAACAAGGGCAGATTGGCAGTGCAGTGAGGGTGCTGACCCAGAGAGAGCTCTGAGGGTGGTTAATAGAACGCAATGTCCCAGCCGGGTGCGGTGGCTCACGCCTGTCATCCCAGCACTTTGGGAGGCCGAGGTGGGCGGATCATCTGATGTCAGGAGTTCGAGACCAGCCTGGCCAACAAGGTGAAGCCCTATCTTTACTAAAAATACAAAATTAGCCAGGTGTGGTGGTGCACGCCTCTAATCCCAGTTACTCAGGAGGCTGAAGCAGGAGAATCGCTTGAACCTGGGAGGCAGAGGTTGCAGTGAACCGAGAACTCACCACTGCACTCCAGCCTGAGTGACAGAACGAGACTCTGTCTCAAAAAAAAAAAAAAAAAAAAAAAGAGAAAGAAAGAAATTAAAAAAGGAAAGAGAACACAGTGTCTGGCCAGGCGCGGTGGCTCATGCCTGTAATCCCAGCATTTTGAGGGGCCAAGGTGGGTACGTCACGAGGTCAGGAGTTCAAGACCAGCCTGGTCAAGATGATGAAACCCCGTCTCTACTAAAAATACAAAAATTAGCTGGGCATGGTGGCAGGTGCCTGTAATCCCAGCTACCCAGGAGGCTGAGGCAGGGAATTGCTTGAACCTGGGAGGCGGGGGTTGCAGTGAGCTGAGCTGGGTGACAGAGCAATGGGAGAATGGCTAGAGTCTGGGAGTTTTTGTTGTTGTTGTTGTTTTTGAGATGGAGTTTCAAACAAAACAAAATAAACAAACAAAAAAGAACACAGTGTCCCAAGGGGTGTGATAGGCAGCCAGGAAGGGGGCTGCTTCACTTATACAGCTTCAAGGAGCCAAGCGTGGACAAAGGAGATGGAGGGCAGATGCTTATCAAAGTCATGGTCCCCAGCCCAGTTTTCAGACCTATGGCAATTCTCAGATCCAAAACGCATCGGCTAAGGAGAGGCTAGGTTCCATGTGTAACCCCATGAACAGTGTGTATGGTCATGACTCCCCCATCCTTCTGCAGGGACCTGGGCCGCTGACTTAGGTTACCACACATAGAGAAAGGGGACCATTCACACAATGTCTGAGTTGATACTTGGGGACTCAAAGTGTAAGCGTGGTCTTTCTGTTAGAGTGTGAGGGCCAAGTGATAAATATCACCCTGCCCCAGTGGCTCGCAGCAGGTTCACTGGCACCAGGGACCCATCCAGTGGTCATTTCCTGGTCCCTGAATGTAAAGTTGGTGTGGACATAACCTCTGCCCTCGTCCGTTCATCCCAGTAAGAGCTGTCAAAACGAGGAAGGCAGGTGGAAGCCTTTGTCACTGCACCCCTGGTGGGCAGCGTTAGTCCGTGCAGGGCGCTGGAGCAAAATACCATAAACTGGGTGGTGTAGAAACAACAGAAGTCTATGACTCACACTTCTGGTGGCTGGAAATCCAATATCAAGGCTCCAGCAGATTCAAGGTCTGCTGAGGGCTCAGTACCTGCTTGATAGATGACAGATTCTCACTGTCTGCATGGAGGCGGAGGATGAATGAGAACCCTTCAGTCTGTTTTATGAGGGCACTCATCCCTTCCAAAGGCCCCACCTCTTAACACCATCACCTTGGGAGTTAGGATTTCAACACATGAATTGGGGAGGGGGGGGACAAAAATATTCGGAGCATAGCAGCAGAATATTGGCCCTCCAAAGAAGTCCCCACTTGAATCCCCAGAACCTGTGGCTATGTCACCTTACATGGCAAAGGGGAATGAAGGTTGCCGTTGGAATTAAGGTTGCTAACCAGCTGAGTTTGAGATGGAGACATTGTTTTGGATTACTTGGGTGGGCCTAATGTAATCACAGGGTCTTTAGACTTGAAAAAAGGAAGCAGAAGAGTAAGAGGGAAGTGTGACCATGGAAGAAGTCGGAGCGATGTCGTGCGAGGAGGACTCAGCCTAGTGTTGCTGGCTCGGAGGATGGAGGAAGGGGTCATGAGCCATGCAGGAGGCTTCGAGAAGGGAGAAAAGGCAAGAAAACAGAGTCTTCCCTACAGCCTCCGGGAAAGAACATAGCCCTGCTGATACCTTGATTTTATCTCCGTGAAACTCGTTTTGGGCTTCCGAGCTTCAGAACTGTAAGATAATAAATCTATGTTGTTTGAAGCCAATGTTGTTTCAAGTGTATGGTGCCATGTTACAGCAGCAATAGACGTCTAATACACCACCACCCCCTAGCTAAGACTGTGCATACACAAAGTGTTGCATCCTTGGGGGAGCCGCGGAGATTGCGCCACTCTCAGAGACCTCAAGGTTGCAGGACGTGCAGTCCTCCTGCACACCCAGACATTGTGTGAATGGTCCCCTTTCTCCATGGATGGTGACCTAAGTGGCCACAGGTCCCTGGGGAAGAACTGGGGGAGTCATAACCGTACACACTGTTCATGGGGTTGCATATGGAACCTAGCCTCTCCCTAGCCAATGAGTTTTGGATCTGAGAATTGTCATAGGTCTGAAAACTGGGCAGAGGACCATGACATTGATAACTGACTAGACTCTCTCAAAAGCACAGATAAATCCTGGAGGCTAACAGTAGACTGCAAACCCAACTAAGTGGTAGCCCCAATGGCAGCTGTTCTTCCAGATGTGACATCTCGGCTAACGCAGAATGACATGGCCACAGGTCCATGATTGGCAGCCATTGACCCGGCAAGTGCGTTCTTTTCCACCCTGATCACAAAGGAGGCCAGAAGCAGGCTGCATTCACATGGAATGGACAACAGTAAATGTTTACTGTGTTGCCCCAGGGCTCTGTTAACTCTCCTTCCATCTGTCATAATACAGACCTAAGGGACCTGGACTTCCAGGAGAATACCATGGAAGTCCACTATACCGATGCTATCACATTAATGAGATAAGATGGGCAAGAAGCGGCTAGTACTTTGGAAACCTTGTAAGACACCTGCACTCTAGGGACAGGAGATAAAGCCTATCAGGGACCGGGTGCGGTGGCTCATGCCTGTAACACATTGGGAGGCCAAGGTGGGCGGATCACCTGAGGTCAGGAGTTCGAGGTCAGCCTAGCCAACATGGCAAAACCCTGTCTCTACTAAATATACAAAATTTAGCTGGGTGTGGTGGCATGGGCCTGTAATTCCAGCTACTCGGGAGGCTGAGGCAGGAGAATCGCTTGAACCCGGGAGGCAGAGGTTGCAGTGAGCCGAGATTGCGCCACTGCACTCCAGCCTGGGTGACAGAGTGTGACTTCATCTCAAAAAAAAAGGCCTACAAGGTTTGTATGGGTCCGGATGTCTAAGGCATGCTGAGACATTAAAAGTAGACAAATACCCGCTCCCACCGTGGAGGGCTGCTTGGAGATTACTTGGACTCTGGAGGCAGCATGTTCTGTACTTGGGAATCCATGAAAGGCAGCCAGCTTTGAGAGAACCCACAGGTGGAAGGGGCTCTGCAGTGGGGACAGCTGTGCCACCCAGGCCACATGGCTCTGCAGACCCGATGGTTCTAGAGCTTGTGCAGGAAAAAAGATGCCATGCATTGCTGATGACAAGCCCCAACTGGAGAAAGGCCATGCCATTTGCAGCAGAGAATTATACATAGTTTGAAAAACAGCTCCGGGGCCCTGCTGGAGATGGAATGTTTGGCTATCAACCATCAACAGGCACGCAACTAGAATTGCCTGTCATGAGCTGGGTCTTTTCAGACCTGCCAAGCCAGAAGGTCAGGTAGACCCAGCAGGATCCACTGTGAGATAGAAATTGTCCATCAAGGCCGGGCGCGGTGGCTCACGCCTGTAATCCCAGCACTTTGGGAGGCCGAGGCGGGTGGATCACCCGAGGTCAGGAGTTTGAGACCAGCCTGGCCAACATGATGAAACCCTGTCTCTAGTAAAAAAAAATACAAAAATTAGCTGGCTGGTGTGGCGGGTGCCTGTAATCCCAGCTACTCAGGAGGCTGAGACAGGAGAATCACTTGAACCCGGGAGGCAGAGGTTACAGTGAGCAGAGATCATGCCATTGCACTACATCCTAGGTGACAAGAGCAAAACTCAAAAGAAAAGAAAGAAAGAAAAGAAAGAAAGAAAGAAAAAGGAAAGAGAGAGGGAGGGAGGGAGGGAAAGAAAGAGAGAGAGGGAGGGAGGAAAGAAAGAAAGGAAGGAAGGAAGGAAGGAAGGAAGGAAGAAAGAAAGAAAGGAAAGAGAGGGAGGGAGGGAAGAAAGAGAGAGGGAGGGAGGAAAGAAAGAAAGAAAGAGAGAGAAAGAGAAAGAAAGAAAGGAAAGAGAGAGGGAGGGAGGGAGGGAAAGAAAGAGAGGGAGGGAGGGAAAGAGGGAGGGAGTAAGGAAAGAAAGAAAGAGAAAGAGAGAAAGAGAAAGGAAAGAAAGAAAGAAAGAAAGAAAGAAAGAAAGAAAGAAAGAAAGAAAGAAAAGAAAGAAAGAAAGAAAATTGTCCATCAAGATCGAGAATGAGCATGACTAGAGGCAGAAGCAAGCTACCCTTGCTACCCTCAAGAGTCTGGGAGGTGGAAAGTGAAAATCCCCACATTGGACCAAGGGACCTATTGATGGCCAAAGGGCTGTTGGAGTAGACCAGGGGTCCCCTGACTCTGTCACACGCTGCACCACCCAGAAGCCACTAGTCTCATAGTGTGATGCAACAGCGTTTTGAAGGCATGGCTAAGATGATGCAAGGATGTGACCTCAGCCTCCTAGATGCAGAATACACCTGAAATCAACAACCATTCTAGGGGCGTGTCCCCAGTAGGCAGAATGCATTGATCCAGGAAGCAGGGGGTGGAAGGAGGAATGTCTCCATTTACTGTCACTCCAGTGGTCTCCCTGGGGGAATTTCTGCCTTCCAACCTCACAACTCTAGGTTTGGTGAGTCTGCAAGACCCGATTCCCAGAGCGGTACCCTTCCAGCAGGATTTGCATCATGGGTCCCATTACACTTGGCACTACGGCTGCTGGCTGAGCACTTCGGGCTTCTGTGCCAAGGAGCCAGCAAGCAAGAAAAGGAGTCACCATCTTGGCAGGGGCAGCTGACCGTGGTCCGTGGGGAGAAAGGGCTGCTGTTCCCTAGCAGGGAAGGGGAGAATGGGAGGGGTGAATCCAGCAAAGCATCTCTTCTCACTCCCATGCCCAGTTTTTACAGCAAATGCATGAAGACAGCAGCCATAGCTTGAGAGGACGTGGTGACCTGGGGCTCATAGCCTTGGCATTCGAGTCTGGGTCCCCCCACCAGGTAAACCACCTAGCCAGCACAGGTACTCACTGAAGGTAAAGGGGCTCTTGGGTGGAGAGTGGAGGGGAAGATGACATCACCTCTGGGTGCCACCTGCAGTGGCGGGAGCTTGAATCTGAACCATGCACTCCCCTCTGTGAGTTTCCCCAGGAATAGAGACGAGAGTGGGCTGAATGGTGACCCCCTAAAAAGATAAGCCGAAGGCCTAGCCCCAGGAACCTGTGACTGTGACTTTATTTAGGAAAAGGGTCTTTGCAGGTGTAATTAAATTAAGGATTTCGAGATGAGATTGTCCTACATGACGAAGTGGGTCCTAAATGCAATGACAAGTATCTCTGTAACACAAAGAAGAGATGGCACAGACACAGAGGCGAAGACCCTGTGACGGCAGAGGCAGAGATTAGAGGGACGAAGTCCCAGACCCGGAGCCCCAGAAGCTGGAAAAGGTGGGGAAGGATCCTCCCCTAGAGCCTCTGGAGGGACGCTGCCCTGCTGACACCTTGATTTCAGCCGTCAGGCCTCCAGAACTGTGAAGAATACATCTCTTTCCTTTTATGCCAAGTTTGTGGTAATTTGTTGCAGCAGCTCTGGGAAGCGAATACAGGGACCAACCAGAGTCCTGGAGGTGTTGCTTCGGATGGGATGGAGTGAGCTTGCCACACGGAAGTGCATGCTGCTGGGGCGAGGGGCAGGGGTGTGGACGCTGTGCTGTGCTGCCCACTGTCCCTCCTCAGGACCTGGGTGCTTATCCTCAGCTGCAGGAGGGTTGCCCCTGGCTGAGTCCCTCCCCAGGCACTGCCTCCCTTAAGGCTGCACTCCTCCAGGGCTGGCTGATGTGATGGGGCAAAGGCCAGGGCCTCTGGCCTCAATCAGGCCTCTCTGTGGGGCCGCCCCAGCTCCAGAGCTCCCTGTTGGGAGCAGAGGCTGCTCTTCCCACTGCACTGTGGCCCAACTTTGCCCTCTGCCCAATCTTTTTTTCTTTTTCTTCTCTTAGGAAGGGTCTTGCTCTGCCACCCATGCTGGAGTGCAGTGGCGCGATCTCGGCTCACTGCAACCTCTGGCTCCTGGGTTCAAGCATTCCTCCCACCTCAGCCTCCTGAGTAGCTGGGACCACAGGCACGCACCACCACTCGTAGCTAATTTTTGTATTTTTTTAAAGATGGGGTTTCACTATGTTGCCCAGGCTGGTCTCGAACTTCTGAACTCTAGCGATCCACCCACCTCAGCTTCCCAAAGTGCTGGGATTACAGGTGTAAGGCACTGTACCCGACCTTCCTCTGTCCAATCTTGCCTACCTCGGCCTCCACAGGTGTCATTCCCAAGAGCACCCCACTAAACCCATGGTGCACAGGCCTTAGAGTCTCAGAGTCTGATGCCCAGGAACTGACCCATGAGGGATCTCAACCCAGAGAGGAAAAGATGATGATGTAATAAATGGTGATGGAACGGCCCAGACATCATCAAAAAAAAAAAAAAAGCTGAATCCAAACCTTGCACCTGACACCAAATAAACTCCAGATGGCTCAAAAATCTAAGAACCTACAGAGAGCTCCAAGAAAGCATGGAGGAATTTTTAAACGATCTTTCCAAATCTTACTCCAAAACCAGGTGCTGTAAAAGAAAGAATAATACATTTGATTGTAATTACTGTATTATTTTTTTAATATTCAGAGCAAAATTCACCATAACCCAATTCAGAAAAAAAAAAATTAAAAACTGAGAAAAAGATTTGCAATCTATCACACAGGATCATTTTCTTTAAAAAGTGGAATTACAAATCAGTTCTAAAAATCAATAACTCAATAGAAAAATGGTCAAATGATATCACCAGGTCAAAGACAAGGAAGTACATATGGTTCTTGAACACATTAAAATAGCTCAACTTCACTTTTTAAAATCGAAGTGAAATGGACTTAACAAAATCGATCATTTTACAGTGAACAATTCAGTGACGTTAAGTTAAGTACCTTCAAGTTGTTGTGAAACCATCACCTCTATCTTGTTCCAAAATATTTTCATCACCCCAAAAGGAAATTTTGTATAAATAGAATCATACAAAATGTAGGCTTTTGTGTCTGGTTTCTTTCACACAGTTATGTTTTCTGCGTTTCAGCCATGCTGTGGCATGTATCCGAATTTCATTCCTTTTTATAGCTGAATAATATTCCATTGTGTGGACAGACCACAGTTTATTCATTTATCCATTGATGGCATTGGGTTGTCCTCACCTTTTAGCCATTGTGAATAATGCTGCTATGAATGTGTGTGTATCTGTCAGAGTTCCTGTTTTCAGTGCTTTAGGGAATATACCTAGGAGCGGAATTGCTGGGCCGTCTGGTAATTCTATGTTTAACTTTTTGAGGAAATGCCAAACCAGTTTCCACAGCAGCTGCACCATTTCACATTCCCACCAGCAATGTATACAGGCTCCAATTTCTCCACATCCCTTGCCAACCCTTGTTATTCTCTCTTTTTAAAAAATAATAGCCATCCTAGTGGGCGTGAGGTAGTGTCTCATAGAGGTTTTGATTTGCATTTCACCAATGATTGTGACGCGGGACATCTTTTCATGTTTCTTGGCCCTTTGTGTACCTTCTGTGGAGAATATCTATTCAAGTCGTTTGCCCGTTTGTTAATTGAGTTGTCTTTTTGTAGTCAAATCTAATAGTTCCTTACAAATTCTGGATACTAGATACTTATCAGATACATGATGATATGGGTTGGCTCTGTGTCCCCACCCAAATCTCATCTCAAATTGTAATCCCCACCTGTCGAGGGAGGGACCTGGTGCGAGGTGACTGGATCATAAGAGTGGTTTCCCTCATGCTGTTCTCATGATAGTGAGTGAGTTTTCACAAGATCTAATGGTTTAAAAGTGGTTGACACTTCCCCTTGGATCTCTCTCTCCTGCCACCATGTAAGACAAGCCTCGCTTCCCCTTTGCCTTCCACCATGATTGTAAGTTTCCTGAGGCCTCCCCAGCCAAGCAGAACTGTGAGTCAATTAAACTTCTTGTCTTTATAAATTACCCAGTCTTAGGTAGTTCTTTATAACAGTGTGAAAATGGACTAATACATATGATTTGCAAATATTTTCTCCCGTCCTGTGGGTGGTCTTTTCACATTCTTGATAATGTTCTTTGATTCACAAAAGTTTTCATTTTGATAAAGTCCAAGTTATCCATTTCTTTCTTTTGCCGTTCACACTTTTGGTGTGTCATCAACTCTGCTTAATAAGGCAAATAAAAATTAAAACTATTCTGAAATACAAATTTTCAGTTATTTATTTGGTAAGGATCAGAAACTTTGATTACACACTTCATTGGTGGGTAAACACGTTTCTCATGCATGTAAATTAGTACAACTTCTGTTTTAAAATATTTTTAGAGACAGGGTCTCTGTCAATGTAGTGGCATAACCATAACTCACTGCAGCCTCGACTTCCTGGGCTCAAGCGATCCTCCCACCTCAGCCTCTAGAGTAGCTGGGACTATAAGCATGTGCCACCATGCCTGGCTAATTTTAATTTTTTTTTTTTGTAGAGACAGGGTTTCACCATGTTGCCCAGGCTGGTCTCTAATTCCTGGGCTCAAGCAATCCTCCCACCTTGGCCTCCCAAAGTGCTGGGATTATAGGCGTGAGCCACCACACCCAGCCTAACTTCGTTTTTTTTGTTTTGTGTTTGTTGTTGTTGTTTGTTTGTTTTGAGACCGCGTCTCACTCTGTCGCCCAGGCAGGAGTGCAGTGGTGTGATCTCAGCTCACTGCCACCTCTGCCTCCTAGGTTCAAGCAATTTTCGTGCTTCAGCCTCCCGGGTAGCTGGGACTACAGGCACCTGCCACCACGCCCAGCCAATTTTTGTATTTTTAGTAGAGACGGGGTTTCACCATGTTGCCCAGGCTGCTCTGGAACTCCTGAGCTCAGGTGATCTGCCCACCTTGGCCTCCCAAAGTGCTGGGATTACAGGCTTGAGCCACCGTATCCAGCCTAACTTCTTTAAATTGTCTCTTTGATTCAGCAATTCCAGGTCTAGGAATTTTTCCTAGATGCGCCGGCACACTGAGAAATTGTGTACCTGCAGCTGGTGTGCACTTACAGACACTGCCACGTCATTTGTGTTATCAAAAGTAGGAAACCACCTAAAGGCTCATCAGTGGTAGTACAGTTTAATAAATTGTGACATCTCCCTACAATGGACGATTTGGGAGCTGTCAGAGAAATGAGGACGCCCTTTCTATTCTGAGATGGAGCAATGCTTAAGGACACAAGGTGAAGCAGCCAGGTACAGAGGTTTGCGTGCCCTGGTTTGTGTAAGCAGGGCAAGGGGAAAGTAAACAAATCCACACACTCATTGCGCATTCATGGGATATCTGTGAACAGGGACAGAAGAGAGAGTACTGGCTGCTCCTGGAGAAGCCCCAAGGTGGTGAGGGACAGACAGGTTTGGCTTCATGAGCATGACACCTGCAAAGCCACAAAGCCTGGCTCCAAAGGGCCCCGTACACGGTTTAATGCTCTCCTGTCACTGTCTTGAAATTCCTGATTTTTTTTCTAATTTTTTATTGTGTTAAAATATGCATAACTTAAAATGTACTATTTTAACCATTTTTAAGTGTGCAGTTCAGTGGCATTAAGTACATTCACATGGTTGTGCAACCTTCACCCCCATACATCTCCAGAATTTTTTTTTTTTTTTGAGACAGAGTTTTGCTCTTATGACCAAGGCTGGAGTGCAATGGTACAATCTTGGCTCACTGCAACCTCCACCTCCCGGGTTCAAGCCATTCTCCTGCCTCAGCCTCCCGAGTAACTGGGATGACAGGCACCTGCCACCACGCCCTGCTAATTTTGTATTTTTAGCAGAGATGGGGTTTCACCATGTTGCCCAGGCGGGTCTTGAACTCCTGACCTCAGGTGGTCCACCTGCCTGGCCTCCTAAAGTGCTGGGATTACAGGCGTGAGTCACCGTGCCTGGCCCAGAACTCTTTTAATCTTTCCAAAACTGAAAATCTGTCCCCATGAAACACTGACTTCTCATTCTCCCTATCCCCAGCCCCTGGCACCCTCCCTTCTACTTTCTGTCCCAATGAGCTTGATTATTCTAGGTACTTCTAAAAAGTATTGTACAGTATTTCCTTTGTGTCTGGCTTATTTCACTTAGCATGTGAATGTCCGTGAGGTTCATCCATGTTGTGGCATTTGTCAGGTTTTCCTTCCTCTTTGAGGCCGAATCATATTCCATTGTCTGGATAAGAGCATTTGTTAATCCATCCATCTGTCCATGGACACTTGCCTTGTTTCCATGTTTTAGCTACTGCGAATAGTGCTATGTACGTGGGTGTACAAACATCTCTTTAAGACTCTGCTTTTGGCTAGAGTGGCCCTAATCCCAGCACTTTGGGAAGCTGAGGCATACAGATTGCTTGAGTCCAGGAGTTTGAGACCAGCCTGGGCAACATGGTGAAACCCTATCTCTACAAAATATACAAAAAAAATTAGCCAGGCATGGTGGCGCACACCTGTGGTCCCAGCTGCTTGGGAGGCTGAGCTGGGAGGATCACCTGAGCCCAGGAGGTCAAGGCTGGAAAGAGCTATGATAGCACCACTGCACTCCAGCCTGGGTGACAGAGTGAGACCCTATCTCAAAAAAAAAAAAAAAAAAAAAAAGCAGAGCAAAGTGGATCACACCTGTAATCCCAGTACTTTGGGAGGCCAAGGTGGGAGGATCACTTGAGGTCAGGAGTGTGAGACCAGCCTGGGCATCATGGTGAAACCCTGTCTTTATTAAAATACAAAAAATTAGCCAGGCATGGTAGTTAGTGCCTATAGTCCCAGCTACTTGGGATAGTCCCAGCTACTTGGGAGGCTGAGGCATGAGAATTGCTTGAACGTGGGAGGCAGAGGTTGTAGTGAGCATTACCCCACTGCACTCCAGCCTGGGCAACAGAGTGAGACCTTGTCTCAAAAAAAAAAAAAAAAGACTCTGCTTTTAATTCTTCTGAATATTGTCTTAGTCCATTTGCGCTGCTATAACAAAATACCTTAGAGTAGGTAATTTATAAAGAACATACATTTATTTCCTGTAGTTTTGGAGGCTGAGAAGCACAAGATCAAGCCCTGGCATTGGTGTCTGGTGAGGACTGCTGTCTGCCTGTTGCTATCTGCCTTTAAGATGGTGTCTGTTGCTGAGTCCTCACTTGGTGGAAGGTGGAAGGGCAAGACAGCACTGCCTTCAACCTCCAGACCCTTTATAATGATGCTAATCCCATTCACGAAGGATCTTCCCTCACGACTTAATCACCTCCCAAAAGCCACACTTCTTAATATTGGTGCATTGGGGTTTGAGTTTCAACATAAATTTTGGGAGGGACACCATCATTCACGTCATAGCAAGTATTCCCAGAAGTGGAGCTGCTGGATCATATGGTAATTCTATCTTTAATTTTTTGAGGAACCACCATCGTGTTTTCCACAGTGGCTGCACCATTTTACTATTCCCACCAACAGTGCGAGAGAGTTCCATCTTCTCCATGTCCTCACCATCCGACACTTGTAATATTTTCTGTTGTCGTTTTGTTTTAATAGTAGTCATTTTAACAGGTTTGAGGTGGTATCTAATTGTAGTTTTTTGTTTTTGTTTTTATTTGAGACAGGCTCTCATTCTGTCACCCAGGCTGGTGTGCAGTGGTACGATCACTGCTCACTGCAACCTTGAGTAGCTGGGACTGCAAGTATGTGCCACCATACCTGGCTAATTTTTAAAAACTTTTTGTAGAGATGGAGTCTCACCATGTTGCCCAGGCTGATCTCAAACTCCTGAAGTCAAGAGATCCTCCTGCCTCGGCCTCCCAAAGTGCTGGGATTACAGGGGTGAGCCACCATGCTTGGCCCTGATTGTAGTTTTGATTTGCATTTTCCTAATGACTCTTAATGACTTTTTAACAAAGGGCCCATGTTTTCATTTTGCACGGGCCGTGGCAGCCCCAGCACAGGGATGGAAAGATGACTTCAAACCTTTGGCATATTTTCAGTTTTGAAGCAAGTGATTGTGTGACCTATTCTAAAGCAATTTCAATTTGAATGGAAGGAAGAAAGAGGGAGGAAGGGAGGGAATATCTTCTAAAAAACAATGACAACAAAGTCAGGCCCAGGTTAGGTGCCCCTCACAAGGGTGCACCCCACCTCAAGACTCACATCCTATACTCCATCTGCTACCCTGTGGGTCTCTCCAGAGCCCTCCAGCATGGGTCAGGGCCAGGACTGTGTCTTTCACTGATATCTGTGGAAGCAGCAGATAAATTAAAGATCGACCATCACAAAGATCAATCTCAACATTGAACCTATGAACCATGAAGAATCAAGGTATCTGAAATAAGCCCCACCAGAGTTCCCCAAGGAGCATTCAGACTGACATCCTTGACTCTTCCTCCTTGGGAAGCCCATCATCTGTGTTGGGGGTGGAAGAGTAAGAGGATTCAAGGGTTCAAGGGTGGGAAGGCGGTCTATAGTATTGAGACTAGAATGAACATGGAGATGGGGGCTGCAGGCTCCCAGGCAACTCTGGGTTGACACTGGCAGGCAAAATGTCAGGAATGGGATGAGACCCTGCCCACTCCCTCCTCTCTTCCCAATCCCAGAATGATAATGAGAGTGATGGTGGTGATGATGATGGCCATGATGATGATTTTGATGAGGGTGATGCTGCTGATGAGGATGAGGAAGAGGAGAGGAAGGCTCATGGTGGTGATGATGATGACAACAACAATGATGATGATGGAGGTGCTGGTGAGGAGGGGGATGCCCACAACAACAGCGATGAAAAGGAAGGTGGTAGTGGTGATGGTGATGATGATAATGATGGTGATGATGATGATGATGGCGACGATGATGATAATGATGGTGATGATGATGGTGATGATGATGATGATGGTGATGATGATGATGATGATGGTGATGATGATGATGATGGTGATGATGATAATGGTGATGATGATGGTGGTGATGATGATGGTGATGATGATGATGATGGTGATGATGATGATGATGATGATGATGATGGTGATGATGATGATGATGATGATGATGATGATGATGATGATGATGATGATGATGATGATGATGATGATGATGATGATGATGATGATGATGATGATGATGATGATGATGATGATGATGATGATGATGATGATGATGATGATGATGATGATGATGATGATGATGATGATGATGATGATGATGATGATGATGATGATGATGATGATGATGATGATGATGATGATGATGATGATGATGATGATCATGATGGTGATGATGATGATGATGGTGATGATGATGATGGTGATGATGATGATGATGGTGATGGTGATGATGGTGATGATGATGATGATGATGGTGATGATGATGATGATGAAGGTGGTGATGATGATGACGACTATTTACTGAGTGCCTGTGCTGTGCTGCCAGCTGGGTGTTTCATGCTCTTCAAGCTCTCTGTCACTTCGTTAATCCAGCCCCTTCTACCCAACCCCACCCTGGGCTCTGCATCACTGTGCCCAGGAAGATCGATAGGCCAGCCTTGCAGAGGGTCCCCCAGACCTCTCCCACTCCAGTCACCTCCCTGCCGGGATTGACAAACTAAGGGCTGGAGGAGCCACATTCCTCTCCTGATTCCTGGAACCAAGCAGGCTGTGGAGCACAGGGAGGAAGGAGGCTAACAAGGGCTGTCTTTGCCCCCGGGGCAGTTGTGAGGATGAGACAGAAGGAAGTCTGCAAGCACACTTTGTGAACTGTAGCACCTATGGCAGACATGGGGGCACATGTACCTGGGACGTGGGGCCACGCTGACATTTGTCAAGCTTCTGCTGAATGCCAGGATCCGTGCCAAGCACCCTCCATGCATCAGCTCACGTCACCTCCCACCAAACTGATTTTATCCTCCCCATTTTTCCACTAAGAGAACTGAAGTCTAGAGGCACCACTGGCCACTTCATTCTGCACACCCTGCCCCCACTGCTGCTGGCCTGAAAGGAGGCTTCCAGGCGACAGCTGTAGACACTTGCCTGCACCATGGTCTCCGGGGATCTTGCCTGCAGGGAGATGGCCTAAAAATACATGGGGTTGAGGAGAAGGGGAGGCCTCCCAGCCTCCAGGGGAGGTCAAGAGGCCAGAAAAAGAGATCCATACCCCAGCCTATCCAGGCTGCCTGGAACTGTTTGGACAAAGTGCTGGGGGTTGGGGAGAGGTTTGAGTGGGCTCAGCCCACTCCCCCAAACACACACTCACACACATGCACACACTGTCTCATGCCTATGTTCAAGCACACATGCACCACCCTGCACCTACGCACACTGTCTTATGCACCGCCCTGCACCTGCAAACACTCTCTCATGCACCGCCCTGCACCTGCAAACACTCATGCACCGCCCTGCACTTGCCACACCTCTTGGTTTGCTGCCAGTAGGAGCCTTAGGCGGTGGCTCAGAAACCTCTGTCTGTCCTCCACTCAGGTATCCCTCTGTTGTGTGATCTACAGAAAGACACCCTCTGTTTCTGCTCATCATCTGTCCTGGGGGAGGAGCCATGATGGCCTAGCTTGTCTAGAGTTACAGAACGCAGGCCAGAGCTACGGGAAACTTCTGTGGTCTGATCCAGTCTGTTCATTTACGACGGAGAGGATGAGGTCCGGAATGGACAGAGAACCATTCGGGGTCATGCTCATGGGGTGGGAGAAAGGGGAGAATTTGCTCTCCCAGTGCCAGTCTGGCCAAGGTCTCCTTAGCCCCTCGTCCACCAGCGGGACCCTCTGAGGGCTGGGGCGCCAAGGAGCCCCACAGGGCTTGGTTGAGACCCTTAGGAAAGTCTCTAGCTCTCCTGGTCACAAATGCTTCTAGAACATGCCATGTTTCATCCTGAGGTCTCAAGAGCTGAGGCAACCTGTCCAGTGACATGGCTGATAGAGCAGGGCTCCCTCACACCCCTGTGGGCCCTCCACGGGTCCCTGCCTGGTGCTGGGCATCTTTACGGCTGTTTCCGAGCCACATTTGCTCCAGGAAAGCAGGGACCAGTCCTGTCCTGGGGTCCCCAGACTCAAAGCCAGGCTGAGAACAAACTGCCAACCAGCTTTCAAGCAATGAAGGAATAAAGGCCAGGGGGCCACATCCCCGTGGGGGCTTGGAGGGGAGGTGGGGTGGGATCTGCTGGCCCTGAACTGCCCACCAGCAGCCTGGCAGCCACTGCTGTCCTGTCCCCGGGAGCCAGGTACGACCCAGTCATGAGCTGTTTCCACACCTGTCAAGTTGAGTGTGAGATTTGGTCCTTGGGTGATGGGCTGCAGAGAAATGGTTGCTGCGTGTGTGAAAGCTGATATTTGGTGCAGTTCAGGACTTTTACATTTCACACGTACACGAAGTTCCGAATGCCACGTGATTCTGCTTCGCGTGAAAGTTGGTGTATGCGCTTAAGGACGCGTGGGGTATTCAGGAGGAAGAGGTCTGGTGAAATGAGGCGTTCCAGGCTTGCAGGAAAGCTTGGGTGAGATGGGGAGTGGATGAGGCTTCCAGGGAAGCCCAAGTCCCTGAGTGTGGGCTCGCGCCTGTCTCACTGGTTAGCTTGTTGACAGTCACTCCAGCCCTGCAAGACAGAGGTCTGGGTGCTGGGGTCCCTCCCTCGGCTCACCCCTTGCTGATCCAGAATAAGATTTCCAGATGGGATCCGACCTCCTATCCCATAGCTCCTCTTGCTTAGAGCTGTCCAGGGCCTCCCGAGGCCTTCATGATAAAATCTAAACATTTGCACTGGCGGTCAAGCTCCTTCCTGGGAGGGTCCCTTCCTGTCCCTCTAATCACTGCCCCTACTCTCCCACCTCACCCAAGCTTTATGACTGCCAGAATCACCCTCCTTCCATCAGCCCCTTTCCTCCTGACTATCTGCTTTGCATTCTTAAGACTTGGCCCCCAGAACCTCCTCCTCCAGGGAGCCTTCCCTGACCTCCCTCCCCGCCCCAGAGTTAGGTTTTCCCCTTGTGCTGGCCCAGGTCCCCATACCTCCTCTAACCTGGCCCCCATAATCTCCCTGACTAAGATCCCTGCCCAGAGTCGTGCTGGCGAGGGATTAATGAACCTGGACCTCATCCAAGGTTCTTTACCCTTGGGCAGGGAGCCCTGGCATGGGGTCACAGAGTGAGGACGCCAGGCTCTGTCTTGACTCCCTCTGAGCCTGGAGCGGGAGCTCTGCCTCCCTGAGCCCCCTTTCCTCTTCCATCCCACGGGGACTTGCACTTGGCCAGTCCCGCAAACAAAGTGAGGTCAGGACATGACTCTCCCTTGAGCAGCGCTGTGCAGTTTGCTTTCCTGTTAGCTATGGGCAAGGGAATCTTGACAGGGACGGGACCCAGGAATGCTGATGCAGAGCTGTGCTTTGCATCCCAGCATCCGCTGGCAAGGGTGTCCACTTTCTTACAGAACAGTCCTCTGGGTTTCGGCAGGGAGAGAGAGGAGCAGCTTCTGGGCCAGCTGTGATGGAGTGGGGGACAGGCCAGGTCTAAGGAAGTCTGGCCCCCACAGATCCTTCCTGGAAAGTTCCTTAGGATATGCTCAGCAGGGAGCACCAAGAAGCAACAGGGCTTCTTCCAACAGCTACCACAGAACGTCCGTAGACCCATCAAGTCCCCTTGCGGGTATAGACCCTAAGGGGACCCAAACGAATACACGTACACATGTGTTCACAGCAGCATTATCCACGATCGGAAAGGGTGGAAGCCACGCGTGTCCATCCATGGATGAACAGACAAAATGTGGTCTATCCGTGCAGGGGACAGCATTCAGCTACAAAAAGGAGCACGATGCTGATGCGTGCACAGCAGGGATGAACGCGGAAGACGCTGTGCTGACAGAAGCCAGACGCGGAAGGCACGTGCCTGTGTGATTCCAGTTCCATGAAACGCCCGGAACAGGCACTCCCTAGGGACAGGAAACAGGCTCACCACTGCCAGGAGCTTGGGGGAGCAGGGAGACGGGGAGTGACTGCTTAGAGGGTGCGTGGTTTCCATTTCCATGGGTTGTTCTGGAACTAAATAGAGATAGGGGGCCGGGCGCGGTGGCTCACGCCTGTAATCCCAGCACTTGGGAGGCTGAGGCAGGCGGATCACCTGAGGTCAGGAGTTCGAGACCAGCCTGGACAGCATGGGGAAACCCTGTCTCTACTAAAAATACAAAACATTAGCCAGGCATGTGGCGCATGCCTGTAATCCCAGCTACTCGGGAGGCTGAGGCAGGAGAATCGCTTGAACTCGGGAGGCGGAGGTTACAGTGAGCTGAGATGACGCCACTGCACTCGAGCCTGGGCAACAGAGTGAGACTCTATCTCAAAAAATCAAAACAATGACAACAACAAAAATAGAGATAGGGGTTTTACAACATTGTGAATGTCTAAACGCCACTGTCGTACACTTTCAGGTGGTGAACTTTACGTTGTGTGAATTTCACCTCAATTTAGAAGAAGGAATAGCAGTGCTGGTAGAAGCGGTATTGGTGGCACTGTGGTATCAGTAGTACCCATAGTAACAGTGGTAGCAGTAGCTCTGGCGGTGATGCTGGTGGTAGCAGCGGCAGTCGCACTCGTAGGAACAGTGGTAGCAGCAGTAGCAGCAATGGGGCATGGGAATCTGGCTCTGCCTCAGGAAGGGCATGAAAGGAACCTGTCCCTGGACACACGCTGAGCAGCAGCTCCAAGCCACCTCCAGGCTAGAGCAGGGGCAGGGGCTCCCAAACGGCCGGGACTTCTCCCACAAAGGAGTTGTTTCAGTCAGAGTTCTCCAGGAAGACAGAACCCACAGCGGGGAGACAGAGGGGTGAGAAGGGAGTTTGGAAGGGAATTGGCTCACTCAATTATGGAGGCTAAGTCCCATGACAGGCCGCCTGCAAGCTGGAGACCCAGGGAGCCCGGGCTGTGACTCACTCCTGGTCCAAAGGCCTCAGAGCCAGGGAAGCCGCTGGCATCACTCTCAGTTTGAGGCCAAAGGCCTGAGAACCCAGGAGGCCATGCGTGCGAGTCCTGGAGTTCAAAAGCCAGAGAGCCTGGAGTCCTGGCGTCCAGGACAGAAGTGAGCTGGCTTCGGGAGAGAGCCGGAATTCATTCTTTCTCTGCCTTCTTGTTCCATTTGGGACCCCGGCCACTGGGTGTGCCCACGCACATGGAGGGTGGGTCTTCACCATTTGGTCTCCCAACCCTCACAGCAATCTCCCCCCGGAAACGCCCTCACAGACACAGCTGGGGCATCCCAATATTCTAACCAAAGGCCAGACCCCAGGGTTTCCCTTTCAGCGGAAGAGGGACAGGCTCGAGCTCACTGAAGCTTCATCCAGTCAAACTGACAGCGGACTCAGCCCCACGGCATCTCAGAGGAGTTTCGCTATCACGGTGAAGTCAGAAGGGCCCGGGATGTGACAGAGGCAGATGGTGCAAACAGAGAGAGAGGGCAAGCTGAGACCCAGAGAAAACCCACAGCCATGACCACGGTGCCACTCAGCTGTGCCTGAATCTTCATGGGCCGTGTCATAGTCACATAACCACCATCAATCTCCCACTTTTAGGACCAGCCTGTGAAAAAGGCCCGAAGGATAGCTGGTCACAGAGGAGCCTCCAGCCCCAGTCTCCGCAGCAGGCTAGAGAAGCAGAGATGCAGAGGGCGAGAGTGGGGCGGAGGGAAGCCCCGAGGGGCGGGGCAGGGACCCTCATATCCTCACAACCCAGAGGAGAGTCAGCTGAGAGACGCTGGGACAGTGTCTTCTGTGGCTTCTGAGATGGGGTTGTAGCAAAGTTTCGTGAAGCAAGCGGCAGCTAAAAGTCCTGGGCCGCCCAGCTGGGTGCGGTGGTTCACGCCTGCAATCCCAGCACTTTGGGAGGCCGAGGTGGGCGGATCACTCGAGCTCAGCCTGGGCAACCAAGTGCGCACTTGAGACCAGCCTGGGCAACCAAGTGCGACCCCACCTCTACAAAAAAGAAAAACATTAACCAGGCAGGGTGGTGTGCACCTGTGGTCCCAGCTACTTGGGAGGCTGAGGCAGGAGGACAATTTGAACCCCAGCAGTAGAGGCTGTAGTGAGCTGTGATTGCGCCACTGCACTCCACCCCGGGCAACAGAGTGACACCCTGTTTCGGGAAAAAAAAAAAAGTTAAAAAAAATAAAATAAATAAATAAAAGTAATGGTCCTCCTGTATTGGAAGGAGCAGGATGGGACTGGGTTTGCTGCTCCGCCATCACAGCAGGAAGAGATAACGGGTCCACATGGATGCAGAGATAAGAGATGAGTGGTGATCGCACTCAGTCCCATGGCACTAAATAGCATCTTCCTGTCATCAGCTCTTTAGGTCACACCTCTAGCCCAAACCATGCTCCCAACTCCAGTGGACCGCATCCAATTAAAATGGACGATATCCCAGCTAGACCATCGAGGGGGCCACCCACCTCCGCACCCCGCAGACTGGACATCTGACCTCCCTCCGCAGCTGCCCCACCCTAATTTTTGTCAACTCCGTCCTTCCAGTTGCTCCAGCAAATAAAACTTGGAGTGTCTTTGATTCTCTCTTTTTCTCTTCACATCCAATCTATCAACAAGTGCTGTCGCCTCTACCCTCAGTATTGCTCCATGATTCAGAACCCACCCTTCTTAGTCCCCTCCATTGGTCCCAGGCAGCTGCCATCTCTCGCCTGGATTAATGCACTGGCCTCCTAACCAGCGTCCCTACTTCTGCCCGAGAACCATCCTCAATAGAGAAGCCAGAGCGGTCCTGTAAAAGCCCAAGTCAGCACATGCCACTTCTCTGCTCAGAATCTAGCAAGCACTCCTCATTTTTCTCTGATAAAAAAACAAAACACAAAACAAAACAAAAAAACTGAAGTCCTTACAATTGCCTCCAAGACCCTAAGTGATGGGGCGCCTCTCCTCATTCCTCCTCATCATCTCTGACTCCAGGGTCCCCTCCAGCCCCCCAGCCTCCTCTCCTCATTCCTCCTCATCTCTGACTCCAGGGTCCCCTCCAGCCCCCCAGCCTCCTCTCCTCATTCCTCCTCATCTCTGACTCCAGGGTCCCCTCCAGCCCACCAGCCTCCTTGCTATTCCTGAACACAGCAGACACACTCCTGCCTTGGGGCCTCTGCCTGGAACACCCGCTCCTGTCCCCCCACACCTCCATGTAGCTAGCCCCTCCTCTCCTGTAAGCCTTGGCTTAAACGTCTCCTCAGCTCAGTGTTCCCTGGCCAGCCTACTTTAGCTCGTACCCCTCTTCCTGGCACTCCTGATTCTCCCCTTACCCTGTGCTATTTTTTTTCCAAAGTGCTTCCTGCATTCTCAGGTGCACCCCACTCACGGGTTTATGGTGTTTATCAGTTGTTGTCCATCTGCCCCTGCGGGAATTATGTTTGCTCCAGGATGAGGTCAGTCCCCTATATCAGCTCCCAGAGGGGAGGGATCTTTGCCTGTTTTGTTTCTGGAGTTTCACAAGGGCCTGGGACAGTGCCTGACACACAGGAGGCCCTGGGTCAATATCCATCAAATGGGGGGTTGCATGCGTTTGCCATCTGAAGATGTGGAGGCAATGGCCAGAACTAAGTCCACAAAGAGCTAAGGGCCCTGAAGAGCAGCTGTCTCTGGAGAACAGGTTCAGAAGAGGGAAAAGGAAGCCAAGGAAGCTATTGCACTATTTTAGAAAATCTGTATGCACGCATTACCTTGATTTTGTTTATTTTATTTATTTTTTTTTTTGAGATAAAGTCTCACTCTGTTGCCCAGGCTGGAGTGCAGTGACACGATCTCCACTCACTGCAAACTCTGCATCCTGGGTTCAAGCAATTCTCCTGCCTCAGCCTCCTGAATAGCTGGGATTACAGGTGCGCGCCACCACACCTGGTTAATTTTGTATTTTTAGTAGAGATGGGGTTTCACGATGTTAGCCAGGCTGGTCTAGAACTCCTGACCTCAGGTGATCCACCTGCCTTGGCCTCCCAAAGTGCCGAGATTACAGGCGTGAGCCACCGTGCCCAGCCAGAAATAAACATTTGACAAAATTTAACATCCATTCATGACTAAAATAAACTCTCAGCAAACTAGGAAGAGAAGGGAACTTTCTCAATTTGATAAAGGGCATGTGAGAAAAATGCACCTTAAACATCACAATAAATGGTGAAAAACTAAATACTTTCCCCCAAAGATTAGAACCAATACAAGAATGCCTGCTCTCACCTTCTGTTGAGCATGGTACTGGGGGTTCTAGCCTGTGAAAAAAGGAAGAAAAAAAAGCATCTCCACTGGAAAGGAAAAAGTAAAATGGTCCTTCTCTGTGGACAATATCATCTATGTTGAAAATGAAACAGAACCTACAAAGAAACTGCTAGAAACTAGTAAGTGGGTTTAGCAAGTTTTCAGGATAAATATCAATATGGCCGGGTGCAGTGGCTCATGCCTGTAATCCCAGCACTTTGGGAGGCCAAGGTGGGCAGATCACTTGAGGTCAGGAGTTCGAGAGCAGCCTGGCCAACATGGCAAAACCCTGTCTCTACTAAAAACACAAAAATTAGCCGGGCGTGGTGGTGCGTATCTGTAATCCCAGCTACTCAGGAGGCTGAGGCATGAGAATCGTTTGAACCCAGGAGGTGAAGACTGCAGTGAGCCGAGATCGCGCCACTGCACAGACAGAGACTCTGTCTCAAATAAATAAACAAATATCCATATGTAAAAATTAATTGTATTCTAGGCCAGGCGCGGTGGCTCACACCTGTAATCCCAGCATTTTGGGTGGCTGAGGCGGGCGAATCATGAGGTCAGGAGATCGAGACCATCCTGGCTAACACGGTGAAACCCCATCTCTACTAAAAATACAAAAAATTAGACAGGCGTGGTGACGGGCGCTTGTAGTCCCAGCTACTTGGGAGGCTGAGGCAGGAGAATGGTGTGAACCTGGGAGGAGGAGCTTGCAGTGAGCCGAGGTCGCACCACTGCACTCCAGCCTGGGCGACAGAGCAAGACTCCATCTCAAAAAAAAATAAAAATAAAAATAATAAAAAAAATTGTATTCTAGATACCAGCAACAATTAGAAATTTGAAATGTTTAAAAATATCATTTATAATAGCACCAAAAATATGAAACACTCAAGGATGGATCTGGCACAAGGGAACTAAGATTTGTTCATGGGAAACTACAAACCATTGCTTATAGAAACTAAAGATCTAAATAAATGGAAACAGGTGTCCTGTTCACAGCTTAGAAGATTCAATATTGTTATGATATTACCTCCCCCCAAATTTACTTATTGATTCAAAAAATCCCAGCAGGCTTTTTTTTTTTTTAATTAAAAAAACAGGGTCACCCAAGCTGGAGTGCAGTGATGTGATCACAGCTCACTATAGCCACAACCTTCCAAACTCAGGTGATCCTCCTACCTCAGCCTCCTGAGTAGCTGGGAGTACAGGCAAGTGCCACCAAGCCCAGCTAACTGTTTTTTTTTTTTTTTTTTTTTTTTTTTTTGGTAGAGCTGGGATTTTGCTATGTTGGCCTGGGCTGGTCTTGAACTCCTGGGCTCAAGTGATCCACCCTCCTCAGCCTCCCAAAGTGCTGAGATTACAGGCATGAGCCCCAGCAGGATTTTTTTCCTTTTGGTAGAAATTTAGAAGCTGATTCTACAATTCATATAAAAGTATAAAAAGACCTAGACTAGCCAAAATAACTTTGAAAAAGAAGCACATAGTTGGAGAGCTAAACTATCCAATATCAAGACTTACTAGAAGGCTTCAGTACTCAAGGCTGTAGGGTATTAGTGCAAAGATGGCCAAATAGGCTGGTGGAACAGAACAGATTTGTACATACGTGAAAAACTGATTCTTTCTGATAATGGTATGTATGAGTTCATTTTCATGCTGCTGATAAAGATATACCTGAGACTGGGCAATCTACAAATCAAAGGGGTTTAATTGGACTTACAGTTCCACGTGGCTTGGGGAGCCTCACAATCATGGCGAAAGGCAAGGAGGAAGGAGTCCCGTCTTACATGGATGGCAGCAGGCAAACAGAGAATGAGGAAGACGCAGAAGTGGAAACCCCTGATAAAACCATCAGATCTCGTGAGACTTATTCTCTACCATGAGAACAGTATGGTGGAAGCCACCCCCATGATTCAATTATCTCCCACCGGGTCCCTCCCACAACACATAGGAATTATGGGAGTACAATTCAAGATGAGATTTGGGTGGGGACACAGAGCCCAATCAGATCAAGGTCCAAGAGCAATTCAGTGGAGAAAGGATGACGTCTTCATCCAATGGGGCATGTGGATATTCACGGGCAAAAAGAGACCTTTAATCCATGCCACGCACCTCACCCAAAAATTAATTCAAAACGGATCATTGACCTATAATATGTAAATTCAAAAACTACAAAACTTCTGGGGGAAAAATATGAGAGAAATGTTCTGACCTTGAGTTTGGCAAAGATGTCTTAGAAACAACACCAAATGTGAGATCCGTAAAAGAAAAACTTGATAACTTGGGGTGATATGGTTTGAACACATGCCCCTGCCATATCTCCTGTTGAAATGTAATCCCCAGTATTGGACGTGGGGCCTGGTGTGAGCTAACTGGGTCATGGGGATGGATTTCTCATGAATGGTTTAGCGCCATCTCCTTGCCGCTGTTTGATAGTGAGAGTTCTCGGGAGATCTGGTTGTTGAAAAGAGAGTACCACCCCCCTCCCACTCTCTCTCACTCCTGATCTTGCCACAGGACACACCTGCTGCCACTTCACCGGCAGCCATGAGGCCTCCCCAGAATCCAAGCGATGTTGGCACCATGCTTGTACAGCCTTCAGAACTGTAAGCCAGTTAAACCTCTTTATAAATTACCCAACCTCTTCTTTATAGCAATGCAAGACAGCCTAATACATGGAGTTATCAAAATTAAAAATATTCATTAGAGGTTGCCTAGGGCTGGGGGTGGGGGTGGGGGTAGGAGAAAATGGGGCAGGACTGCTAATGCATATAAGATGATTTGTGGGGGTGATGAAGATGTTCTAATGTTGACAGTGGTGATGTTTGCACATATCTGTTAATACAAGTTGACCCTTGAACAACACGGGGGTTAGAGGCACTGACTCCCTGCAGTCAAAAATCCACGTATAACTTTTGACTCCCCCAAAACTTAACTACTAAGAGCTTACTGTTGTTCAAAAGCCTTACAGATAAACAGTTGATTCACACATATTTTGCATGTTATATGTATTATATACTGGATTCTTACTATAAGCTAGAGGAAAGAAAATGTTATTAAGAAAATCATAAGGAAAAGAAAGCATATTTACTGTTCATTAAGTGGAAGTGGATCATCCTAAAGGCCTTCATCCTCATGGTCTTCCCATTGAGGAGGAGGAGGAGGAGGGGTTGATCTTTCTGTCTCACGGGGAGCAGAGGTGGAAGGAAATCTGTGTATAAGTGGCCCATGTTGTTAAAATGAATATTGTTCAAGGGTCACCTGGATATTGAAAATCTTTGAGTTGTACATGTAAATGGGTGAATTGTGTAGTATATGACGTATATCCCAATAAAGCTATTTTAGTTTTAAAAAGAAAAAGTTAAAACTTCTGCTCTTCGAAAGAAGAGAATGGAAAGACACAAACTAGGAGAAAATATTTGTAAATAATTCATCCGATGAAGGACATATATAAAGAATATAAAAAGAACTCTCATAACTCAATCATAAGAAAACAACCCCCCACCTGCTTAAAAAAAGAAAAAAGTAGGCATAACATTTGAATAGATACTTCATCAAAGAAGTCATATATATATATATGTATATATACATATACATATGGCGAATAAGAAGATAAAAAGATGTTGAAAATCATTAGTTGTTAGAGAGATGCAGATTAAAACCACAACATGATACCACTACCCACCAATTAAGATGTCTAAAGTAAAAAGATTGATGAAATCAAATGTTTGGCGAGGGCGTGGCCGAAATAGAATTCTCATGTACTGCTGCTGGGAATGCAAAATGGTACAATGAATTTGGAAAAGGTTGCTGGTTTCTTAAAAAGTCAAAGATACACCTATTGTGTGGTCCAGCCATTTCATCCCTAGGTATTTGAGTGAAAGTATACATTTCATGAACGTATGAAATGTAGGATATGAAATGTATGAATGCCTGAATGTAAGAAATGAAAGTCCATACAAAGACTGGTACACAAATATTCATAGCAGCTTTATTTGTAATAGCTGAAGACTGGAAACAACTTATCAACAGGTAAATGGATTAACAAACTGTGTTATTTGCATACAATTGAACACTACTGTACAATAAAAATAAATGATCTATTCATAAAGCCAACAGCATGAATGAATCTCAGTATAATTATCCAAGTGAAAGAGGCCAGATGAAAAAGAGTCCATACTGTTGATTCCATTTATACAAAACTCTGCAAAATGTAAAGAATCTATGCTGACGGGAAGCAGAGTGTGGTTGCCAGAGGTCAGGACTGGGGAGCAGGGAAGCAGGGAGGGATGGAGGGAGAAGAAATGTGGGGAGCGATGGACGGGTTTACTATCTGATTGGGGTAATAGTTTTATGGGTGTATGCATGTCAAAACTTATCAAAGTATACCTTTTAAATTTGTGAGTTTTTGTTATCTCAATTATACATCATGGCCTGGTGTGGTGGCTCACACCTGTAATCCCAGCACTTTGGGAGGTCGAGGCAGATCACCTGAGTTCAGGAGTTCGAGACCAGCCTGGCCAACATGGTGAAACCCCATCTCTACTAGCCTGTAATCTCAGCTACTAGTGAGGCTGAGGCACAAGAATCGCTTGAACCTGGGAGGCGGAGGTTGCAGGGAGTCTAGATCATGCCACTGCACTCCAGCCTGGGCAACAGAGCTCGAGACTCCATCTCAAAAAAAAAAAATTATACATCAGTAGAGCTATTTTTAAAAAGTAACACCTCAGCTGGGTGTGGTGGCTCACTGGCCGGGCGTGGTGGCTCACACCTGTAATCCCAGCACTTTGGGAGGCTGAGGCAGGCGGATCACAAGGTCGAGAGATTGAGACCATCCTGGCCAACATGGTGAAACCCCGTCTCTACTAAAAATACAAAAATTAGCTGGACATGGTGGCATATGCCTGTAGTCCCAGCTACTCAGTAAGCTGAGGCAGAAGAATCGCTTGAACCTGGGAGGCGTAGGTTGCAGTGAGCCAAGATCGCACCACTGCACTCCAGCCTGGGTGACAGAGAGAGAGAGACTCCATCTCAAAAAAAAAAAAAAAAAAAAAAAAAAGTAACACCTCCCGGCTTTGGCAAGTGAAACCATGCAAAGATAAACAAAGAAAAGTTCACCATTTTCCCACCTTCCCTCCAATCTCACTTCTCCAAGGCATTCAGGGTCAGCAGCCAGTTTGGGACTGGTCCATGGATTCCTCCTATTCATACCCCACTGGTGGAGGGTAGCAGGATTATTTCTTGCTTCATATTAAAAAATGGAGATCATAACATACAGTGTCTATTTGGTATTCCCCCCTCTTTATCAAATATTTGATGGACATCCCCTTTCATGGTAATTGGCCTAGATTTAACTCATTCCATTTCAAGGCTGCCATGTGTAAATTTGCTACAATTTGTGTGTGTCGGGGAACGGGGGCTGCGGGCAGTTGAGAGCATTTTGCTCTGTCGCCCAGGCTAGAGCGCAGCAGTGCTATCACAGCTCACTGCATCCTCAACCTACCAGGCTCAGGCAATCCTCCTGCCTTAGCCTCCCTAGTAGCTGGGATCACAGGCATATGCCACCATGCCTGGCTAATGTTTTTGGTTTCTTTTTTTAGAAAAAGTCTTGCTCTATCACCCAGGCTGGAGTGCAGTGGCACAATCTTGGCTCAACCTCCACTTCCCTAGTTCAAGCGATTCTCCTGCCTCAGTCTCCCGAGTAGCTAGGATTACAGGCACGGGCCTGTATCCTAAACCACAACCAGCTGATTTTTGTATTTTTAGTGGAGAAGGGGTTTCACCATGTTGGCCAGGCTAGTCTCGAACTCCTGGCCTCAGGTGATCCACCTGCCTTGCCCTCCCAAACTGCTGGGATTACAGACATGAGCCACCATGCCTGGCCAATGGCTGGCTAATTTTTAAAATTATTTATAGAGATGGGATCGCATTATGTTGCCCAAGCTTGTCTTGAACTCCTGGGCTCAAGTAATCATTCTGCCTTGGCCTCCCAAAGTGCTGGGATTACAGGTGTCAACCACTGTGGCTGCCCTAAATATGCTACAATTATATACTTATAAAGATGTGCATTCACAAATTACTTCCAATTTCTTTATTTTTTTTGTTTTGCTTTGGTTTCACCACCATAGACAGTGCCGAAAAAGCATTCTTTTTTTTTTTTTTTTTTTTGAGGTGGAGTCTCACTCTGTTGACCAGGCTGGAGTGCAGTGGGGCCATATCAGCTCACTGTAACCTCCGCCTCCTGGGCTCAAGTGATTCTCCTGCCTCAGCCTCCTGAGTAGCTGGGATTACAGGTGTGTGACACCATGCCCAGCTAATTTTGTATTTTTAGTAGAAACAGGGTTTCACCATGTTGGCCTAGCTGGTCTCGAACTCCTGACCTCAGGTGATCCACCTGCCTCAGCCTCCCAAAATGCTGGAATTACAGGCATGAGCCACCGCACCCAGCTGGAAAAGCAATTCTTTTACATCTATTTTCATACCCCGTTGTTTTTGTTTCTAAAGAAGAGGTTCCCCAGAGTGGAATCACTGGGTCAAAGCTTATGTGTATTATTTTCATTTTAGTAGATATTGCCAGAGTACTTTCCCAGGAAGTAATTGCATTCACATTTCCACCAAGCATGTCCATGTCTATTTCCCCCAGGTTTTTTGCCTCAGTGAATCTTAGAGCTTTTATTAAATTTTAGCAACCTAAAGGGCGAACAATGTATCACTTCATGGCCTTAATTTGCATTTTCCTTTTGATGAGGCTAAACATTGCTTCATGTTTGCTCACTAGAACCAATGTTGGTCATCGTATCTGTATCTTTAAATAATGTCATATTTTACTAGGGTTTGCATATATTTTAAGTGCAATTGACTATGTGAATTTCCTTTTCTATGAATTACTTGTTTATATTTATGCCTATTTTTCTGTTGAGTTGTTTATCTGTTTCTTATCAAATTTGTGGGCTTTTTGAATATTGAGAAAATTAAACATGATACACACATATACATGCCTCACACATCATGTATATACCCAAATATGTGCATCTTTCTCTCACACACACACCCATACAATAGAGAGAACGACATGTTCCCGGGCACAGTCCAGCGGGAAAATCAGGGCCTGGAGGGGTAGGTGTGGAGCAGAGGGCAGGCAGAGGGCTGTGGGTGCACAGCACAGCTGATCCAGACCTTGGAAAGGGTTGGACCCCACTTGGCCTGCTATGACGTTCTCTTCCACTTCTGACATCCATATGAGGAAACGCAGGGGACCCTGCACCCCACGCCCTGGAATCCCTGGCCAGCACACCTGGTCTCCACCCTCCCCACCCATGAAATGGCTGTACCAGCAGGGGACAAATGGAGCCGGGCCTTGCTCCCACGTCCTGCTGCAGTAGCTTCCAGGAGCCTCAGTGCAGGTGCCTCCCACCTGATGTGTCTTTGGGGTGTTTTGAATGAGCAGCTTTTGGCGCGTGGAAGAGAATTGATTTCTCCTCCTGCTTCTGAGGCTCCACTCCTAAGGCCTTGATTACAGGAGGCCCTGGGGCTGGGGAGCGCTGGTGTCAGCCTGGCAGGTGCAGGTGATGTCAGCTCCCAGGCAATGACGTTGGGGTGGGTATGGGCACCATTCTGTGCCTGGATTCACTCTGTCATTTAACCCCTGTGTTCACAGAGTTCCCCAGGCCCAGCACCCCTCACTTTTCATGGCTTTGTCAGCATCAGGATGTGTCAGCCATCAGGAGACCTTCCCCATCCTCCTCCCCCCGGACCATCATCAAACCCACTCTCCTTCCCTCTTATGCCCTCACAGGAGGAACCTCTACCCGCAAGCTCAGGGTCAATTCCACTCCGGAACCACGTATGCAGCTCCCATAGGCACTGTAGGAGGTGCTGGTGATGGAGCAATGAGCCCAGCCCTGGCCCCGGGAGAGCATTATGTCCTCAGTTTCTCTTCTCTGGCTGCATCTTCAGCCTTCCTTCCACCAGGTCCTTCCCACTGGCTTCCAAACTTACTTCCATATGGCCCCTCTTAAAAAATAAAACAGAACCTGCATTCCAGACAAGATGATCTAGGCTCATTTCTTCCTGCTCCTCCCCTCTCAAAGTACAACCATAAGCCCTGGAAATAACACAAGAGACAACCCAAGGAGAACGCAGAGGTGGATGGAAGACAGTCGACAGGTGAGAGCCCCCGGACTGGAGGAGCCCCAGTGAGGCAGAGCGCCACGGCCCTCCACCTCGTGGAGGAAGGGAACCCAGGCCCAGCAAAAACAGACAAGCCAGATAGGGTCCTCTGTGTCCCCAGATTAAACAGGAGTCCCGTCCACAACATGTGGTAAGCTAGTGGCACCAGCAAAGGAACAAGCAGGGGCCCCATCACCCCGCTACTGAGACTTGGCCAGAGAAACCTCCCCTCCCCCACCAAGAGATGCCAGGGGCAGGGGTCACCTGCAGGAGGAACCTTTGTCTTCTTTGTCCCTGTGGGCTGCGGCTCCCTTCACCCACCTAGAAGCACCCACAGACACTCCTTCTGCCACCTTAAGAAGAACCAGCAGGAACCAGTAGCAGCCCCGATGGCACCAGATTAACCACGCCGACCAAACTAACACCAAAAAGGTTCTGCTAATTAGGTTGTCATGGAAACCACAGCCAGTAACAGTAGGGCAGGACCGGCATGCTAAACCTAAGCAGAGTGGCTGCCTACTAAAATAAAAGATTTATTTTATTTTATTTTATTTATTATTATTATTTTAGAGACAGGGTCTCACTCTGTGGCCCAAGCTGGAGTGCAGTGGCACGATCACAGCTCACTACAGCCTCGACCTCCCAGGCTCAAGTGATCCTCCCAGCTCAGCCTCCTGAGTAGCTGGGACTACAGATATATGCCACCACGCCTGGCTAATTTTTTAAATTTTTTGTAGAGACGGGAGTCTCACTATGTTGCTCAGACTAGTCTTGAACTCCTGGGCTCAAGCAATCCTTCTGCCTCAGCCTCCCAAAGTGCTCAGATTACAAGTGTGAGCCACCGCGCTGGCCAAAAGATTTGACGAGAGCCCAGAGCCTCCTAATGTAACAGCTTAAATGTCCAGGACACAATAAAAAAAAAAACTCGCCCATCATACCAAGGCCTGAAAAGGCCACAGGTTGAATGAGAAAAGACAACCAACCAATGCCAACACCGGGATAAATCAGATGTAGGAAAAATCTGGCCAGGACTTCAGAGCAGCATAAAAATGCTTTAGCAAGCAATTCTAAGTTATCTTGAAACATGAAAAAATAGAAAATCTCAGCAAATAGTTATCAGCAAGAACAGGATATAAATTACAGCACTGAAAAATACAATAACAGAAATGAACAGTCTCCATGGTAGAATGGGATCATAGAGGACAGAATTAGCGAACTTCAGAACAGATGGATAGAATTTACCCAAACTGAACAACAGAAAGTATACTGGTGTGGGGAGAAAAAGAACAGTACCTCAGGCATCTGTGGAACGATAGAACAAAAGATCCAACATACATATTATTGGAGTTACCCAGAAATAGGGGAGAAAAAGAAAGAGGCTGAGGCCTGGTGTGGTGGCTCACGCCTGTAATCCCAGCACTTTGGGAGGCTGAGGCGGGTGGATCACCTGAGGTCAGGAGTTCTAAACCAGCCTGGCCAACATGATGAAACCCCGTCTCTACTAAAAATACAAAAATTAGCCAGGCGAGGTGGCATGTGCCTGTAATCCCAGCTACTCGGACGCTAAGGCAGCAGAATCACTTGAAACCAGGAGGCAGAGCTTGCAGTGAGCTGAGATGGCGCCACTGCACTCCAGCATGGGCGACAGAGCGAGAATCTGACTCAAAAAAAAAAAAAAAAAAAAAAAAAAAATGAGGCTGAAAGAGTATTAAAAGAACGAGTGGCTTAAAACTTCTGAAATTTGCCAAATGACAAATCTACACATTCAAGAAGCTGAGCAAGTCCCAGATAGTTACCCAAAGAAATCCATGCTGAGACACCTGATAATTAAACTTCTGAAAACTAAAGAAAAAAAATATGTTGAAAGCTGCCAGAACAAAATGATACATTCCCTGTAGGGGAACACCCACTCAAACCATAGATTCCTCATCAGAAACCACGGAGACCAGGTGAAGGTGAGTGTTTGCAAGTGCTGCAAACAAAGAATTGCCAACAGCGAATCATGTCTGGCAAAACCATCCTTCAGGAATGAAGGGGAAATAAAGACATTCTGAGATTTTAAAGCGGCTTAAAAATATTTCAGTGGCAATTACAAGTTCTCTTGAAACAAATGAAAAAATAGAAAATCTATTTTTTTTCTGAACGAATTTGTTGCTAGCAGACCTGCCCTTAAAGAACAGCTAAAGGAAGTTTTTTCACAAAGAAAGAAAATGATTTTTAAAATAAAATGGGCTGGGCGTGGTGGCTCATGCCTGTAATCCTAGCACTTTGGGATGCTGAGGTGGCTGGATCACCTGAGGTCAGGAGTTCAAGACCAGCCTGGCCAACATGGTGAAACCCTGTCTCTACTAAAAATACAAAAATTAGCCGGGCATGGTGGCACATGCCTGTAATGCCAGCTACTCGGGAGGCTGAGTCAGGAGAAGTGCTGGAACCCGGGAGGCGGAGGCTGCAGCGAGCCGAGATCACGCCACTGCACTCCAGCCTGGGCGACGGAGAGAGACTCTATTTCAAATAATAATAAATAAAATAAAATAAAATAAAATGGAATCTTGGAGCATTAAGAAGGAAAAAATAATGGAAAGAACAAGTGTATGGGAATCTGCAATAGATGATCCTTCTCATGAGCTTTATAAATCAAATTTAATGATTGAAGCAAAAATTCTAACACTGTCTGATATTCAAGACAATGATATTTAAAAAGGTGTGGTGGGGGGTGCAGTGGCCCACGCCTGTAATCCCAGCACTTTGGGAGGCTGAAGCATGAGAATCCTTTGAGCCCAGGTGTTAAAGACCAGCCCAGGCAACATAGTGAGACCCCATCTCTACAATCAATCAATCAATCAATAGGCCAGGTGTGGTGACATGTGCCTGTAGTCCTGGTTACTCAGGCAGCTGAGGCAGGAAGATCACTTAAGAACAGGAGGTTGAGGCTGCGGTGAGCCGTGATTGTGCCACTGCACTCCAGCCTGGGCAACAAAGTGAGACCCTGTCTCAAAAATAACATAAAATGAAAATAAAAGGGGGACAGGTTAAAGAACCTACATGGAAGTAAGGCTTCCACATTCACTGCAGGTGGTAAAATGCTACCCGTGTACCTTGTAATAACCAGAGCGACCACTAGGGAAGTGATACAAAGAAACGCCCTCTAGATGACTATAAATCAACCAAGATGAACCTCAATCCTAATGTTCAAGGAATCCACAGAAAAGCAAGAAAACATACACAGAGAAAACAAATCCTTAAATGGCAGACCTAAGTCCTAACATATTGATAATTTTCTTTAAAGGTAAATGAAATACACCAAGTAAAAAGCAAGAGATTGGCAGTCTATTTTTTGAAAAACAACCTAACCATACACTGTTTACAAGAAACTCGCTTCAAATTCAATGGTGACATTTCACCAAAGAGAATATACAGATGGCAAGTGAGCACATGAAAAGCTGTCCAACACCATGAGCCATGGGGGGAATGCAAATTAGAACCACAGTGAGATACCATCAACACCTATCAGAAATTAAAAATAGTGGCAACGCCAAATGCTGGTGGGGATGCACAGAAATAGGATCACTCAGAAAATGCTACCGGGGGCCAGGCGTGGTGGCTCACGCCTGTAATCCCAGCACTCTGGGAGGCCAAGGCGGGTGGATCACCTGAGGTCAGGAGTTCGGAACCAGCCTGGCCAACATGGTGAAACCCTATCTCTACAAAAATTAGCTGGGCATGATGGCGGGTGTCTATAATCCCAGCTACTCGGGAGGCTGAGGCAGGAGTGTTGCTTGAACTGAGGAGGTACAAGTTGCAGTGAGCCAAGATCGTGCCATTGCACTCCAGCCTCGGCGACAGAGCAAAACTCCGTCTCGAAAAAAAAAAAAAAGAAAAAAACAAGAAAAAGAAACTGCTACTGGTCCTGTCACATGGTGCAGCCCCTCTGGAAAACAATTTGGCAGTTTCTTATAAAACTAAACACACAATTGCCATAAGACCCAGCAACTGTGCTCTTGGCCATTTATCCCAGAGAAATGGAAGCTTTTGTTCACATCAAAACCTATACACAAGGCTGGGCGTGGTAGATTACGCCTATAGTCCCAACACCCTGGGAGGCCGAGGCGGGAGGATTACTCAGTCAGGAGTTTGCGATCAGCCCAGGCAACATAGCAAGACCCTGTCTCTATAAAAAAACTTTAAAAATTAGCAGGGCGTGGTGGTGCACACTTGTAGTCCCAGCTACTCAGAAGGCTGAGTGGGGAGGATCACTTGAGCCTGGGAGTTTGAGGCTACAGTGAGCTGTGATTGTGCCACTACACTCCAGCCTGGGCGACAGAGCAAGACCCTGTCTCTAAAAAATAAAAATAAAAAATAAAAGAAGCTGCATACAAGTGTTCATAGCAGCTTATGCATAATAGCCAAAAACCAGAAACACCTGGTTGACCTTCAGTGGGCGAATGCTAAACATGCTGTCGTGCCTCCACGTCACGGATCGGGAAAAGGAACCCCGGACTGGGCCACACAAGACCTTGCAGGAATCTCCAGGGAATGATTTTGAGGGAAAAAGCCACTCCCAGAAGGTTACAAGGTGTATGATTCCGTTCACATAAGATTCTTGAAATAACAGACTTGGAGACTTGGAGGCAGATTAGGAAGAGGAAGGAGGTCGGTCCAGTTGCAAAAGAGTGATCCAGGGCGTCCTTGGGGTGCCGCAGCGTTCAGCGTTGTGACTGCGGTGGTGGATACAGGAAGCTACACAGGTCACAGAAAGGAAATACACACAAATGGGTACAAGCAGAAGGGAAACGTCAGTAAGATGGGTTCACCGGATCAATATCCACGTCTTGGTTGTAACATTGTACTCTAGTCTTACAAGACACCACCATGGGTGGGACTCTGGGTAGGGGACATAGATCCTTCTGTATTATTTCTTACAACAACAACATGTAAATAAACAATTATCTCAACATTAAAATGTTAATTTAAAAAATAAACAAAACCTACTCAGCACTTTGGGAGGCCAAGGTGAGCAGATTGCTTGAGCCCAAGAGTTTGACACCAGCCGAAGCAACAAAGTGAGACCCAGTCTCGAAAAGAGAGAAGAGAGGAGAGGGAAGGGGATGGGAAAGGAGGGGAAAGCAGGGGAGGGGAGGGAGGGGAGGGGAAAGCAGGGGAGGGGAGGGAGACAAAGAGACGAGAGGGGAGGGGACAGGAGGGGAGGGGAAGGGAGGAGAGGGGAGGGGAGGGATTAGCTGGGTATGGTGGCATATGCCTGTGGTCCCAGCTACTCGGGAGGCTGAGGTGGGAGAATCGCTTGAGCCTGGGAGGTCAAGCCTGCAGTGAGCCGTGATCATGCCACTGCACTACAGCCTGAGTGACACAGCAAGATTGTCTCAAATAAATAAATAAATAAAATCTAGTTCAAGCTTTCAAGCTGGTGTTTAAAAAAAGAAAAGAAAGAAACCGAACCAAACCATAACTGCCTCCTGACTGCCCTCACCTCCAGTTCTGCTGCCTGTGTGTGTGTGTCCGTCCATCTGTCTGTCCCACCAGCCACTGCTGCAGAAAGCTCCTGCCCTGTGTTTTCGAAGGCAGCTGTGCTGTGGTGGGGCTGGAATCAAAAGCCAGAGGCAGATGGGCACGTTTTCATCCTCCCTGCATCTTCCAGGGTGTGGACTTCGGCAAAGACTTCACATAGAAGTCCCCAAATCTGAGGAGGTTTTAGAAATATGAATCTGAGATTCCACCCAGGCCTGTTCAAGAACGGCTCCCTGCAAGCAGCATCCTGGTGTTTCTATTCGAACCAGACACCAGGTGTTAAGCCAGCCAGCCACATACCCATTTTGGGGGGTTCCCAACCGTAACCCTCCGAGCGTCTGTTTCTCCCCCCTGTGAAATGGGAGAAAATGCAGTAAAGGAAGGCCAGGGTGTGAAAGGGGCTCACAAGGTGAAAAGCGGGGATCACCGAGGCCGGTGGGGTTCCGCCTTGAACCCCACTCCTCCTCCGGGCTCCTGGTCCCCCTGGGCTCTCTCTGCCTCCTCCCCAATGGCTTCAGGCTCGGTTGGTGTGGGGACTGTCCATGCCCCAACCCCTCTTTCCTTCCAGTGGGCGGCCTTCCCTGGGTACACGTTAGGCCCCACTCCAGCTGGTGGTGGGACTGGTGAGCTTGGAGGAAGGAGCCCCCTGACTCAGCCCCTCCCTCTGCGAGATGAGGCACCTGCACAGTGCACACGGCTTCTGCAAGTATGTGAAACAGGTGCCTCCCCCGGGCTGGCCCAGCAGGCAGAATCTGCGGAGCCTAGTGCAAAATGAGAGTGTGGGGCCCCTTGTTCAAAATGTGCGGAGGGCGTCAGGACAGCAACAGCAGAGAATGGAACCGAGGCAAGGCCTGCACCAGGCCCGAGGGGCGGAGGCTGCGGCGGCCCAGCTCACCAGCTTGCGGGAAGCCTGACTCCTTCAGGAGTGAGCTACCCACCAAGCCCCTTCCCGAAGACCCCGCGCGTCCTCCAAGCAGGCGTGTCTCCAGACCCAGGCTGCCATCGTAAGCTGCACTTGTCTGAGCCTGCATGTCCCTCCTTCTTCAGCCTGAGTGGGACAAAGGGGAGCTGCTTCTGAACACACCTTCAACCCCATCAGTCTGCAAGGAGACTTCTAGAAACATGCAGTCCAGGAAGCAAGGCCTCCTCCAGATCCTACCCAGATCCCTCTTGCTGCAGTGGGGCCTCTACTCTGTCCAACGTGGCAGATGGGCACATTCTCTTCCCTCCTGTAGCGCCTTGGGTCTGAGCCCTTCCCGGCCTCCCCAGCTCAGCCTGAATCCACCTCCCACCCACTGCTCAGGCCCAAAGCAACGGTGCTGCCCCCAGAGCCCTCCCGTCCTGGCCTCTCACGCCTGGCTCTGGGCCGCTGCGGTGCTGGCTTGGCTGGTCTCCTGCTCCTCACTTACCCCGAGAACCCCTTTCCCAGCAGAGCAGCCAACGTGGTCTGGCTCCGAGGACTTAGCAAACCCGTCACGGCGGAACACAGCTTAATTCAGGGCCCTGGATTAAAAACCCCGGGCTGCTGCAGCCGGTCCAAGATGTGTGGCCCCAGATGACAGGGCCCAGTCTCCTGTGTCCCAGGTTGGCCCCTGGCTGGAGCTGAACTTTGTGGCTACTCTGTCTCCCAGGCTAATGAAGGCCCTTCCTGCCCTGGGCCCCCAAGGTTGAGACTCCCCGGGGTCCCCAGGCCTGTGCCCAAGGGGAGAGGGTGGGACGGGCAGGGGCTCACGGAGTTGACCCCTCCACCTGCCTCTTCAGGAGTTGCTGGGGAAGGAGGAGGCTTGGCCTCCAGATGCCACCAGGCCCTTGGGAGGGGCCCACCCAGTCAGTGCTTCTCCCGAGACCTCCAACCTCAGAAAAGGGACGGGCACCTCCTTGAAGGAGGGGGGCGAGGGAGGGAAAAAGGAGGGGAAGTGGGAGGAGGAAGGGCAGGTGGAGGAGGTCTAGGGGTCACCTCTCTGCCACCTTTCCCAGGGTGAGCCACGTGATGGGGTCTCAGAAACCAGCGCTTCAGGGGAAGTGTCAGGAGCAGGCTTTCTGCCTTGGAATCTCCAAGTGCCTATTTGAATGCAAAGTCCCGGACCTTTCTGACCCACTCAGTATCTACCTCTCTGCCAGGGATCTGTGGGTACATCTATGTCTAAGAACCTTGCTGAGGCCAGGCGTGGTGGCTCATGCCTGTAAGCTCAGCACTTTGGGAGGCCAAGGCAGGAAGATCACTTGAGGTCAGGAGTTCCAGACCAGCCTGGCCAACGTGGTGAAAACCCATCTCTACTAAAAATACAAAGAAAAATTACAGGTGTCCTGGCGCACACCTGTAATCCCAGCTACTCCGGAGGCTGAGGCAGGAGAATCACTTGAACCCAGGAAGCAGAGGTTGTGGTGAGCTGAGATCACGCCACTGCACTCCAGCCTGGGTGACAGAGTGAGACTCCATCTCAAAAAACAAACAAACAAAAAAACCTTGCTGAGGACCAGAGGGAAAAGGATGGCAGGGGGTGGGGTGGTCTGGGAGAGGCAGGAGAGCTGGGAGACTGAGCAACCAATTCCAGAGCTTTCCAAAGGCCCCGCCCCATTCCCAAGCCAGCACTTAATCCTCCACCCCTGCTACTTAACCTCTCCCACCAGGGACTGGGGCACTTTAACTCCTTTTAAATAAGCCCTGAGGGCTCAGAAGACACCGTTGCCAGCAATTCAAAAGCTCAGAACCCCAAGGGCAGTCAGGGGCTTTTCATCAGCTGCGGTGGGGTCCAGAGGCCCAGGCCTGTTATCCTGGGGAAGGGCCTCTAGGGAGGGGGCATCCCAGGGAGGGGGCTCTCTGGGGAGGGTGCGTGGTCACAGCCTCTTGGGCTACGCTTGCTGTCCTGGCTTAGCGTCCTTCTGATTCTCTTGCATCCAAGCAAAGGGGACCCCAGTGAGGCAGATCTGGACCCCAAACCTCTTCCTGGCTCAGAAATCCTGGACAGTTGTTCAGCCTGAAGCTCCTCTTCCTTTTCTGCAAAATGGGGTCGCAGCTCTCGTGAGAGTGAAACGGACAATGACCACAAAACACCAGGCCTGGTGCCTGACAGGTAGGAGGGACACAGGGCTCAAGCCAGGAGTCACTGGATACCTATCCACGGCTGAGGAAGGAAAGGTGTGAGCCGGGACTCAGCCCTCCAGGTGTGAGCCGGCCGCCCGGATCCAGCAGCCTCCCAGGATCTGAAGCCACTCAGCACCAGAGGGGAGCATCACCAGGCAAAACACAGGCCGGTTACATTTGAATGTCAGACACACAGCAAATCGTCTTTTAGTATAAGTCCGTCCCAGATTTACATGGGAGGGTGTTATCTGAAATTCAAATTTACGTGGGTGTTTTATATTTTTATTTGCAAAATCTAGAAATCTTCACTGAAAGATGCCAAGCAGCTGGAGTTTGAGTTGGGGTTTTGGTTTTTCTCTTTTTTCTTTTCTTTTCTTTCTTTCTTTTCTTTTTTTTTTTTTTTTTTTTTGAGACAGTCTCACTCTGTTGCCCAGGTTGCAGTGCAATGGCATGAACACAGCTCACTGCATTCTCAATCTCCTGGGCTCAAGTGATCCTCCTGCCTCAGCCTCCCATGGAGCTGGGACCACAGGTGCATGCCACCACATCCGGCTAATATTTTTTATTTTTTGTAGAGATGGGGGTCTCACTTTGTTGCCCAGGCTGGTCTTAAACTCCCAGGCTCAAGTCATTCTCCCATCTCATCCTCCCAAAGTGCTGACATTACAGGTGCGAGCCACTGCACCACGGCTTTTGTTTTTTCAAATCACCTGATGAGAGGAGTCAAAAAATAAAAATACAAAGTTAAGTGAAAAGCAGGATATCATTATTTGTTTTTTGTTTTGTTTTTGAGAAGAAGTCTCCCTCTGTCACCCAGGCTGGAGTACAGTGGCACCATCTTGGCTCACTGCAACCTCCGCCTCCCTGGCTCAAGTGATTCTCTCACCTCAGCCTTCCTAGTAGCTGGGACCACAGACACATGCCACCATGCATGGCTAATTTTTTTGTATTTTTTAGTAGAGACAGGGTTTCACCATGTTGCCCAGGCTGGTCTCGAACTCCTGAGCTCAAGTGATCCATCTGCCTTGGCCTCCCAAAGTACTAGGATTACAGGTGTGAGCCACTGCGAGTGGCCAAATGATAATGTTTTTAAAATTTAATGTATTTAATGTATTCACATAGAGAGAACGACCCGGATATAGACACCAACCAAGCCTGAGATAGAGACAGAAGAAAGATTGGAAGGAAATCCCCAAAGCTTAACAGTGTCTGTCTCTGTGTCATAAGATTATAGGCAATTGGCCTTTCTCTCTCTTCCTTCTTTTTTCTCTCTCTCTCTTTTCTTTTCTTTTCTTTCTTTCTTTCTTTCTTTCTTTCTTTCTTTCTTTCTTTCTTTCTTTCTTCTTTCTTTCTTTCTCTTTCTTCTTTCTTTCTTTCTCTTTTTTCTTTCTTCCTCTTTCTTTTTTCCTTCCTTCCTTTCTTCCTTCTTCCCCTCTCTCTCTCCCTTCCTTTTTGAATTTTCCAGTAAATATGTATTTCTTTATGACAAAAAATATATTTAAAACCAATCACTAGGGGCCTGGTGCAGTGGCTCACGCCTGTAATCCCAGCACTTTGGGAGGCCAAGGTGGGTGAATCACTTGAGCTCAGGACTTTAAGCAGCCTGGGCAACATGGTGAAACCCTGTCTCTACGGAAAAAAATACAAAAATTAGCCAGGCATAGTGACGTGTGTCTGTAGTCACAGCTGCTCAGTGGGAGGATCACTTGAGCCTGGGAGGTGGAGGCTACAGTGAGCCGAGATCATGCCACAGCACTCCAACCCGGGTGACAGAGCAAGACCTTGTCTAAAAATAAAAAAATAAAAAAAAAAATCAAAACAATCACTAACATGGCGAGTCTTGTTAAAATGTGGTTGCACTGTTCAGGAGTGGCCGAGTGAAACGAGGAAAGCCTCAGGCCTCGCCTCCTGTCCTTGCAGGACCCCAGGAGGGCAGCTTCCCTAGCTGCACCCATGGGTTATCCTTTCTCTGGTGCATCTGAGGCACTGGCTTCAATAGTGCCTCAGGACTGAGCCCAGGTGGTGGTGACTTCAGGATCTTGGGAACAGGCCGGGGGCCCCCACTGTGCTTCCGGACCCAGCCCCACCCAGGTTATGCTTTTGAGTTCCTGCACTTGGTTTTGTTTTTATAGTTTTCAGTTTCCTCCTCACTGTCAACTGTTGCTACTCCCTGCTATCTGCATGCCTGTCCCTAACAGTCATGCTCACTTCTACATCTCCCTTCTCATCCTCCGTGAACCAACAAAAAGGCTGTGTGGTTCTTAAGATTGTGTGTGGGGCCGGGAGAAGGGGCTCACTCCTGTAATCCCAGCACTTTGGGAGGCCGGAGTGGACGAGTCACCTGAAGTCAGGAGTTCGAGACCAGCCTGACCAACATGGAGAAACCCCGTCTGCACTAAAAATACACAAATTAAGCCAGGCACGGTGACTCACACATGTAATCCCAGCACTTTGGGAGGCCGAGGTGGGCGGATCACGAGGTCAGGAGATCGAGACCATCCTGGCTAACACAGTGAAACCCCGTCTCTACTAAAAATACGAAAAATTAGCCGGGTGTGGTGGCGGGCGCCTGTAGTCCCAGCTACTTGGGAGGCTGAGGCAGGAGAATGCCGTGAACCCGGGAGGCGGAGCTTGAAGTGAGCCGAGATCACGCCACTGCACTCCAGCCTGGGTGACAGAGCAAGACTCTGTCTCAAAACAAACAAACAAACAAAACCCGACACACCCCATCATGGAACTGGAGGCCTGGGACTTGAATGAAGGTTACAGGACAAAAGGACTGGAGGTGACCAAGGTTAAAAGACGTATCAGTGAGGGCTCAGGTGCAGAAAACAGAAGGCACTTTGGCTCCTTGTGGCAGAAATGAAATAAGAAGCTCAGAAAAATCACTGGAAAAGCTGGAGAAGCAGGCTGCACCTCGAGCCTCCAAAACGGTTCCCAGGATGCCACCAAACTGGCCCGCCAAAATGCCATGCCTCTGCCACATCAGGACGGTGGAGCATCTGGGGACCATTAGCTCCGGAGCACCCGGTAGACCCACGGGTCAGCAAGCGGCCAGGACCTACCACATCTGCTGGATTCATCCTGGCCAAAAAATAGACAGCCTTCCCCCTTCCTCTCAGCACCCACGGAGCCAGCAGCTGGCCCCTGGAACATGGCCCAGCACGTCCACCACCAAGCCTGCCGAGGAGACGTTGGGATCCTCTGCATCACTTCCCATTTCCCAGGCAAGGAAGTCTGAGAAATGCACCTTCCAGCCTTCTCCGTGGAGGGTGAGGGGGAAGGAGAGCCATCAAGTGCCAGCCCATCCATCCCACAGGACAGAGACAGAATCAGACCACTCACCTGTTAGAAAACCTCCTTCAAGGGGCACTCGCACGGGGGACTCACGGTGGGGATGGTCTGAGGCTGGCTCTAGAACCTGCTTGCTGTGTGGTCTTGGCCACGTCACTTTAGACTTGAGTCTTACATGAGATAATTGCAGTGCTTTGTAAAACTGTAAAGCGGGGAAGCCCCTGCTGCTCCAGCAGTCACTCAATGCAAGCATCCTTTCCTTCCCTCTGCAGTGGGCATGGAAGCTGATTTTCACCCATGGCCTAACCAGGTTCCAGAGGGACAGGTGAGCCAACTCAGAGAGTAGACCCAGGCTCCAGGGAGATGCCACCCACAGATGGAATTGTCCTGGGTTGTAAAATTTGCAGGAATTTTGACAGCCAGTACTCTTCCTGTTGGCAGCTTGAAATTGGCCATGGTGGAAATAGTCACATCATAGGAACTGCATAATGATACAGATCAGGGCTATTTGTCCCCATGCCCCAGAGCTGACTATTAAACATTTATCAGCTTGCCATTGGTTAAGGCAATAGGATGGGTGAAATTTCTGGAAGGCTGTGACTTGGTGGCTGTCCCCACTAGCTGTAAATGAGGATCGCCTGGGGAGCACCAATCACATCCCAAAAGCGCAGACTCCCCGCCGCCCAGGCGAATTGACGAGAAGCTGGAGGAAGCAGAGGGATCGGGGCAGTAGCTATAGAGGGTGGAGGGATCACAGGAAGAGACCTGCCAGCACATGTTTGCTTGTGAGCGGAAAGTCCTTTGCCTGGGAGTCGCAGAGAGAAGAGGCAAGGGTGACGTCCCTGGGTGAGCCAGGAGAGAGGAGCTCCAGAGGCCACAGCAGGAGGAGGGAGGAGGCAGGGCAGAGCAAGGCAGGCTAGCAGGGAAGGTGCAGGAGTCGTCACCAGGACACGTATCGTTTTCTCTCTCTTTTTTTTTTCTTGAGACGAGTCTTGCTCTGTTGCCCAGGCTAGAGTCCAACGGCGCAATCTCGGCTCACTGCAACCTCCACCTCCTAGGTTCGAGCGATTCTCCTGGCACAGCCTCCTGAGTAGCTGGGATTACAGGCACCCACCACCATGCCTGGCTAATTTTTGTATTTTTAGTGGAGGCGGGGTTTCACCATGTTGGTCAGGATGGTCTTGAACTCCTGACCTCAGGTGATCCACCTGCCTCAGCCTACCAAAGTGCTGGGATTACAGGCGTGAGCCACCATGCCCGGCCGACACCTGTGGTTTTCAAAGAGGGGACAGTTTCAGCTGGAAGGGCTTGGGGGGCTGTTGCATTCAGGTTGGTGTCCGCTGTACCATCCTCTGAGCTCTCTTGCATCAGGATCCTCAAAGAAGAAATTCCTCTAATAGAACTTGTGACAGTTAGCGCAAGGCAGAGAAGCTCCACCCCCAGCTCAAGTCAAACAATGGGGGCGTTGTGCAGGAGGTCTTCCTGGCTTTATTATTTTTGGAAAAAAAAAAATGTACATGGTGATTGTAAACTAAATTTATTTTTTTTTATTTTATTTTTTGAGATGAAGTTTTCGCTCTTGTTGCCTAGGCTGGAGTGCGGTGGCATAATCTCGGCTCACTGCAACCTCCGCCTCCTGGGTTCAAGGGATTCTCCTGCCTCAGCCTCCCAAGTAGCTGGGATTACAGGCACACGCCACCATGCCCGGCTAATTTTTTTTTTTTTTTTTTTTTGCATTTTTAGTAGAGACAGGGTTTCACCATATTGGTCAGGCTGGTCTCAAACTCCTGACCTCAACTGATCCGCCCACCTCGGCCTCCCAAAGTGCTGGAATTACAGGTGTGAGCCACCGCACCCTGACAATAAACTAAATTTAAAATCACAAAAGAGGCCAGGCACAGTGGCTCATGCCTGTAATTCCAGCACTTTGGGAGGCCGAGGCGGGCAGATCACCTGAGGTCGGGCGCTCGAGACCAGCCTGGCCAACATGGTAAAACCTCATCTCTACTAAAAATACAAACATTAGCCAGGCATGGTGGCACGTGCCTGTAATCCAGCTAGTCGGGAGGCTGAGGCACGAGAATCGCTTGAACCTGGGAGGCGGAGTTTGCAGTGAGCCGAGATCACACCGCTGCACTCCAGCCTGGACGATACGGCAAGACTCTGTCTCGAATCAATAAATAAAATAAAATAAACCACAAAAGAGAAAGGAAGAAAATAAAACTCATCAGACGCCACTGCCCAGAGGTGATGACAATGGAGTGAGCATGCCTCCACGCACCTCTCTGCAAATTCACACCTTACAGAGTGTGATGGACCACCCTCCCCGGCATGCTCAGCTCAGACCTCTCTGTTGGCATCCTGGGACTCCAAACAGGCAGGGAGAGGAGAAGGGGAATTGGGCCACTTCAGCCCAACTGAACGAACAGCAGGCTCTCAGCCCCTGGACACGGGCCAGGCCAAGCCCTTGTCCTGAGCCACTGCTTTGTGGCCGCTTGCAGGTCTTCACCAGGAACAGGGTTAGGATGGGGCAGCCTCAGTCTCTGCAGGGTCTGCCCTGGCTGGCCGAGCCTCCCTGCTGAGCAGCCATTGCTCCCTAATCTCCAGCTGACCCTGCGTGCAGCCCCAGCCTCCCCTAGGAACACTGCGCAATGACCTTGTCTTTGGCTTTTCTGAAAAGACCACAGCCAGGGTGAGCACCCCCTCAGACCCCCTTCCCCTCCTAGCACTCCAGAGCAAGGCACCTGATCTGCCCTCCTTCCTGCCAGGCTCTGCACCTTTCCAAGGCAGACGCCCCCGCATCCAAACTCCTCGCACCCCCGGTTCCCCGTCATCTTCAATTCTTTTTATTCCAACTCTTGTCTCTTCTGTCCTGAAATACACACACCTCTGCTTGACCCCTGCCGCCCTCCCACCCAGCCCCTCACTCACCTCTCCTCTCTGACAGCCTGCATGACATGGCCAAGCGTCAGTCTTGCTGCCTGTGCATATGTGTGTGCATGTGTGTATTCGTGTGTGTGCCCACGTGCATGCACGTGTGTTTGCTGGTGTGTGTGTATTTATATGGGCATGTGTGTGTGTGTGTGTGCATGAATCCGACCCCAACCCTCCATAACTTCCTGTCTGCTCTTTTCTGTCTATGAAACTTCTCTGTCCAAGTTCCCCTCCTCAGTCCCTGGGGCCCATCTCCGACCCACCCTTGGGTCTCCCTGACCCTCCCCCCGTCTTTAAGCCTGTGATTGCTGTGGCCTCTGGGACCGTCTCCCTGGCCTCCATCCATCTCTTCCATGGCTGCCCTTCCTCAGATATTCCCCCGGGAACTGCCCCTGACCTCCTGCACCTCCTTCCTCTGCTTTTTGCAGAGAGTGACCCAATCTATAGCTCCAGCACATTCCAGACTCCTAACAACAGCACCAAGCAGCAACAGGAAGTCCAAGGGCTTACTGTCCTCCCCAAACTCAGCCTCCTCGGGCTCTGGAGGTGGGCCATGTAAGGCCCCCTATACAGAGAGGAGCCTGAGATCCAGGACCACCCCCCACTGTGGCCAGGACTCCAGTGCAGGTGGCTTCTAACCACCCCGTTCACAGCCTTCCCCTCTGGCCACGGCTGGCTGCCCACAGAGCATCCTCCTGGCTGTCCAGGCCACTGCAACCCCACCTGGTGACCTTTCTGCTCAGCCAGCATCACCTCCTTCTGCCGGGCACGCTGTGCTCCCCGGCTGGCTCCCAGAGTCTGTGGCCACTCGCCACGCCATCACATCGACTCAGGTGTTGATGCTGCTGCAATCGCCTGCTCCTGTCTGCCTGCTCCTGTGCACCCCAGCCCCTGCTGCTGCCTAATCTCCCGAAAACGCTGGCAAGAGTCGAGCGCTGATTGCATCACTTGTCAAGTGTGGGTTTCAGCTCGGCTGTGGTCCACGTCGGGCGAGCTCCAATAAATCCTTTGGAATTCTGAAGACCATTATCCCTGAAAATGTGTGTGTGCTCACCGATCCTGGCTGCACAGCTGGATTTCAGGAACAGCCTGCTGAGGCTTGAAGGTGCCCCAAGAGCAGGGTCAGCTGGGGGGATTCTCTTATTGCTCACAGGGCCGAGCCCAGGGGAGGGGGCTGTATGAGTTCCTGGGGCTGCCGTCACAAATAACCAACACGAGTTGGTTTCAACAATGGAAGTTTATTGTCTTGGGCTCCTGGAGGCCAGAGTCCAAAATCCAGGTGGCAATAGGGCCAGGCTCGCCTTGAGGATCTGGGGTCAAATCTTTCCTGCCTCTTCGGCTTCCGGTGGCTGCCGGCAACCCGTGGTACACCTTAGCTGTGGCTGCCTCCCTCCCATCTCAGCCTTCATCTTCATTTGGCCTTTTGGCCTTCCTCCCTCTCTGTCCAAGTTTTTCTCTTTTTGTAAGGACACTAGTTTTGGCCAGGCGTGGTGGCTCACATCTGTAATCCCAGCACTTTGGGAGGCCGAGGCAGGTGGATCACCTGAGGTCAGGAGTTCGAGACCAGCCTGGCCAACATGGTGAAACCCTGTCTCTACTTAAAACACAAAAATTAGCTGGGTGTGGTGGCAGGTGCCTGTAGTCCCAGCTACTCGGGAGGCTGAGGCACGAGAATTGCTTGAACCTGGGAGATGGAGGTTGCAGTAAGCTGGCATCGCGCCACTGCACTCCAGCCTGGGTGACAGAGTAAGACTCGGTCTCAAAAAAAAAAAAAAGACATCAGTTTTATTGAATTAAGGGCCCACCCTAATCCCGTATGACCTAATCTCAATTTGATTTTACATCTGCAAAGACCCTATTTCTAAACAAGGTCACATTCTGAGGTCCTGGGTGGACATGAATGTGGGGGCAGGGGGCACTCTATTCCACCTCCCGGCGCCATCCCAGCAACAAAATGACAAGGCTTGCAGAAGCAGCCTGGAAAAGCCCCAGCAAAGCCAAGGGATGGGAGGATCGGGACGCTGAGGCCAGGGAATGGGACTTGCTAAACACGACTGAAGGGAGGAGGAAGAGAAGGAAGAGAGGGACAGAGGGATGCAGACAAGAGGAGGAACGGCTGGGGTAGGTGGACACCCTGGAGCAGAGTCTGTGGCTGGTGGCAGGAGGTCAGAGCCAACAGGACGGCCCTGAAGATGGCATGACCCCCACCAGCCCCTGTCTCCACCGCAGAGGGATTTCGCATTCCAATCCCAGGCCTCTGCTGCAGCACGGAAGGCCCCACGCGGAGCCCCGGCCCTTCACATCTCACCGAGCAGCTGACGGCACCGAGGCCGCCCCGGCTGGGCCACCAGCCCCGCGAGAAGCACATGCGCAGACCCGTCCTCAAGGACGCAGCCCCCGTAATTACCCTCAGCTGCCAGAGCATGGTATCCACTTAAATGATAAACAGGCTCAGGCGGGAGGCCACCCCGCCCGCTGCTCTGGTGGCAGGCCACAGACACCTCAGAGGGGCAGCCGCGGTCCCGCTGACATCAGCGGCTTCACTGCCTGTAACCAAAGCGTGGACGGGCACGAGGGAAGAAGCAGCCTCCCCCAGAGGAAACCCAAGCCCCAGCTGCGCCTGCCAGCCAGCCTCCAGGCCAGCCAGCCTCCAGGCCAGCCAGCCTCCAGGCCAGTGCTAAACTGCCGTCTCCTGGGATGGGAGCCTTTGCAGTGGCCCCGGACTAGCAGATGACACATTATTGATGTGACCTTCCAGATCCAGGGACCCAACACCACAGCCCCTCCAGGTGCCTGCAAAGGCCACCTCCCATCCCGCCTCTGACCTCCTTTTCTAAGTCCACCTGGGGAGGCCTCCCCGGGAGGCAGGCTGGAGACCACGCTGTCTGTACTTTTTTGGGCCCAGATGAAGCCCCCTTGCCAGGTCTGGTGCCAGGCTTGCCACACTGGGCACATAAATGACCACATGACCACTGATACCAAGTCCAGCCACCGATGCTGCCTCAGGCCCCTACGACTGTGAGGGACATACCATAAAGCTCTAACCGGTCAGAGCCCAGAGGAATTTGCTCCACCTGGGATGTGAAAGTCACCCCATCCTGTCCCAGACGCTTACTGTCCACTGTGGGGGCCAAGAGCCACGTGTGCCTATGGGGCCCTTGGAATTCAGCGAGTCCCGGCGGAGAGGGGCTGTCAAGTACAAGATCCACACTGGATTTCCAAGACTTAGAACAACAATAATGACAATGTAAATATTTCATTGTATAATTTTTATACTTTTTTTTTTTTTGAGACCGAGTCTCCCTCTGTTGCCCAGGCTGGAGTGCAGTGGCGCGATCTTGGCTCACTGCAACCTCTGCCTCCTAGGTTCGAGCGATTCTCCTGCCTCAGCCTCCTGAGTATCTGGGATTACAGGCACCTGCCCCCATGCCCAGCTAATGCTGAGGTGGGAGGATGACTTGAGCCTAGGGGTCGAGGCTGCAGTGAGCTATCACACTATTGCACTCCAGCCTGGGAGAAAAGAGCAAGACTCTGCCTCAGAAAAGAAACGTGAGGGCTCCTGGGAAGAGCTAGGGTGCAGGTAAAGGGCTTCAAGCCCTACCTGGGATGTAGCTGAGCTCTGTACATGTCCTCCCCTCACTCCCTCCCCTGAAAGGGCAGGGGCACCACCTGAGCAGGCCAGGGCCCATAAGGAGGGTTGCAGGGAGGCTGCTCAGCTGCGATGGAGCTTCTCCGAGGGGAGCAGGGAAACAGGGAACAGACATGAGGCTGAAGAGGAAGTCCCAGGCAGGAGGCGGGTGCCAGGAGAAGGTCTCTGGTGCCCAGACAAGGGAACCGGGCAGCTTGAGAGGGAATGAGTGATAAGATGGGGCAGATCAGTGGAGGAAAGGTAGAGCTGTGGCACCCACCCCAATCCAGACACTCAGAGATGATGGCTGGACCCAGGGCAGGACTAGGAACAGCCACGGAGCTTTGTCCTTCCAGAAATTTCATGTGTGTTTAGCGGGGACTATGAGAGTTTTATTTATTTATTTATTTATTTATTTATTTATTTATTTATTTATTTTGAGGCGGAGTCTTGCTCTGTCACCCAGGCTGGAGTGCAGTGACCCCATCTAGGCTCACTGCAACCTCCATCTCCCAGGTTCAAGCGATTCTCCTGCCTCAGCCTCCCGAGTAGCTGGGATTACAGGTGCCCACCACCACACCTCACTAATTTTTGTATTTTTAGTAGAGGTGGGGTTTCACCAGGCTGGTCTCAAACTCCTGACCTCAAGTGATCCACCTGCCTTGGCCTCCCGAAGTGCCGGGATTACAGGTGTGAGCCACCGTGCCCGGCAAAGAGTTTTTATGTTATGTTTTATTTTGTTTTAGAAACAGTCTCCTTATGTTGCCCAGGCTGGTCTCAAACTCCTAGGCTCAAGCGATCCTCCCACCTCGGCCTCCCAAAGTGCTGGGATTACAGGCGTAAGCCACTGTGCCCAGTGAACTGCAGGGATTTTAATGGCACCATGCTGGGTCCATTGAGTGATCTGCTTGTTTCCCCATTGTATCTTGCACGTTCAGGGGCATTTTGATGATGAGATGGTTAATTTCATGTGTCAGCTTGACAGGGCTGAGTCTGCGAGGGTGTTTCCGAAAGTGGTTCCCACTTGGATTTGTAGACCGCACCTCACCAATGTAGGCAACATTAGCCAAGCCTCGAGGGCCTGAGTAGAACAGGAAGGCTGGGAGCAGGCTACTGCACTGGGTCTGCTTGACCTGGACCATCCACCTCCAGCTGCCCTCAGACACGAGAGCTCCTGCTTCTAGGGCCTTCAGACTCAGACTGAACATCATGGCTGGCTTCCCTGGTTCCCCACCTTGCAGATGGCTGGCCCTGCAACCTCTCAGCCTCCATAGTGTGTGAGCGAATTCCCACGGGGGTCCCCTCTTAGAGCCTCCATGTATCCTATCAGGTCTGTTTTTCCGGAGAGCCCTGGGCGAGCCCCAGCAGAGGCCAACAGCAGCTCCTGGGAGAGGAGTCCCCATTCTGTGTGTCCTCCCCACATTCTCAGGGCCAGGTCAGGGCCATGTGAGGTGTTCTTTCTTCTATAGCATGGATAACAGTGACGATTTCACATTGAATGGAGATTAAATGAGGAAACATCACAGCACCTGGCCCATAGTAGGTGCTCAGGAAATAATAAGAAAAGAATGTGAGGGTGGGCGCAGTGGCTCATGCCTGTAATCCCAGCACTTTGGGAGGCCGAGGCAGACAGATTACCTGAGGTCAGGAGTTCAAGACCAGTCTGGCCAACATGGCGAAACCCTGTCTCTACTAAAAATACAAAAATTAGCCAGGCGTGGTGGTGGGCACCTATAATCCCAGCTACTCAGGAGGCTGAGGCAGGAAAATTGCTTGAACCTGGGAGGTGGAAGTTGCAGTGAGCCAAGATCGAGCCACTGCACACCAGCTTGGGCGACAAACAGAGTGAGACTCTGTCTCACAAGAAAGAAAAGGATGCGGGACTTTTACACCAGGATCCAGGCTGGGCAGGCAGCCGAGCCGCACAGGGACAGGAAGAAACGAGGCCTCAGGGGCAAGCCCTGGCTCCATCCCAACCTGGAGAGCTTCAAACAGCAGAGATGGATTCTCTCCTGGTTCTGAAGTCCAGAAGTCCTAAATCAAGGTGTCATCAGGGCTGTGCTACCTGCAGAGTCCCCAGGAGGGACTCCTGCCTGGCGTTTCTGGGCCTGTGGCTGCATCGCTCCATCCTCTGCCTCCGTCTTCCCTGGCTTCTGCTTCAGATGCCAGGAGAATGTCCCTGCGTGTCCTCCCCTCTTCAGTCTCTTCTACCATTGGATTCAGGACCCACTCCAATCCAGGGCGATCTCCTCTCAAGATCTGCACCTTAATCACATCTACAAAGACCCTTGTTCCAAATAAGTCACATTCTGACGTTCCAGGTAGACAAATATTTGGGGGAGGCAAGTATTCAATGCATTAGGATTCGCCCTGTGGCTCCCAAAATCCACACTGTCCCACTCTTTACAAATATCCACCCCTCATGCCCTCTTGCTCATTGCTCAACTCTCTGGGCCTCAGTTTCCTCTGCAAAGCTGAGGATAATTAGGACAACCTCATGCAGTGTTTGTGCGGATAAGATAGGAATGTGTTCACCAGGCGCTCAGCTCAGTCCAGTGTTTGGTGAACGAGCCGCCTAAAGGCAGTCCTCAGCCCACACTACCTGCACCAGCTTCTATCTTCTAAAACTGCAAACCCTGAGACTGGGCACAGTGGCTTACATCTGTAATTCCAGACCTTTGAGAGGCAGAGGCAGGAGGATCACTTGAGGCCAGGAGTTTGAGACCAGCCTGGGCAACATGGTGAGACCCGTCTCCAGAAAACACACACACACACACACACACACACACACACACACACACACACAGAGTAAATTCTGAGACAATGGGGACTTGTGTCTGTTTAATTCACTCCAAATCGCACTGCACTTCCCCCACCACCCCCGAGGACTCATCAGGGTCAGGGAATGGAAGAGAAGCGGGGGGAGCTGCTGTCCAGCTCGAAGTGAGAGGGCCCAGGGCACGTGCCCAGGGCTGGCAACCCTGGGTTTGCGTCCGAGCTCTGCTGCCACTTTGCACAAAAGTCACAGCTTCAGTTTCCCCCTCTGAAGTGGGGGCATAAGACGCTCCTCTCAAAATGAGGTACAGGCTGTGTGATCACAACACGCTGCCATCCTGACCACATGGCCCAGGTGGGTTTCCAGCCATCGACACAATCCAGCCGGTGGCTCCCCAGGAGCTGGATGGCACCCTGGTTCCTCTCTTGTGGTCCCCTTGACCCCTCACCTTGCTGCCCAGAACTGCCCAGCCGAGCCTCCCAAGCTGTGTGTCCAAGGCGGGCACCGGGTGGGCGTTAAAATCTCCTCTTCACACGCAGTGAGCCAAAGGCCCCAAGTACACAGCGCACACCCCCACATCCCGACTCTGCTTCTCAGAGAGGACCCTGCCCCCAGCAGTGTTTGTGCTCAGCTCCAATCCCGGTGCCTCCACCAAGCCCAGCCTTTCTATCTGCACTGAGGACTTCCTGGGAATAAACAGACCCAGCAGAGGGTCAACCCTGAACTAAGGACCAAAGCCTTCCGATGCCTATTCCCCAGGGTCACCATCAAGGCTGGCGGGGAGTGAGGGGCACCAATGGGTTAGCAGTGGCAGCACTGGGGCCCCAAGTCCCGAGGGCCCCAGGGCTCTGTGGCCCCAGATGTCCACCTCCTCCAGCTCTGGAACCTTTGGCTGGACTACACGTAACACCTACTGCCCCAGAGACGCGGCAGCGTGTGCAGCTCAGTCCAGCTGGCAGGGAGCAGAGCCAGGCCTTGGAGAGGATTTACCCCGACAGGCTCCAACCCATGAGCCTTGGTCCAGGATCCCCACCCGCTCTGCCAACAGGGCAGTGTGCTCAGGCATCCTGGCCTGGGCTTGGCTGCCCCGGGTGTTTCTCTGTCCTAATAGCGATAATAACAACAATAAAAATAACAGTAATAGCTTCCATGTGTTGTGCACTCACTCTCGCTGGATACAGTGCTAAGTGCTTTGCCTATTAATCCAGTTAACCTCCGTGACCACCAACCACTTCATCATGAGCCTCGATTTCAGGATGGAGAAACTGAGGCACAGGGGGGTGAAATCAGTTGCTCAAGGTCAAAGAGTGAATAAATGGCCCAGCCAGAACACAGAGCTATGCAACCTGGCTGCCGGCATCTCCGTCTTCGGCCTTCGAGTCTTTAAATTCACACTCCTTTGAGGGAGACATGTTGCTTCTACATTGCCTCGAAGAAGCTGACCTGTTGCAGGAGAACGCCCTCTGGGGAGGGCAGTGGCATGGTGGCTCTCTACCCCCAGTCCCTGCTGATCCCACAGCTCCTCCTCTAGTCCCAGGAATTGCCCTGTGGCCCCAGGGTCTGGGTCTGACCCCGTTATCTGGTCCCCCCACTTCCTTGCTTAAAACCTCCAAAGCTTTGCCATAACAATGAGACTCAAGTCCAAACTCCGAGTCACAGACACTCAGGCAAACTGCCTTCCTCCTTCTTCAGTCTGCCATCTGACCCCACTCCCCCAGCCCACGCTGCCCACTGCTCCTGCCTTCCTTCTGGTCCTCAAACACACTCAGGAGGTGCCTACCTCAGGGCCTTGGCACCTGCTGTCCCAGCTCCTCCCCAACCTAGAGATGACAAGCCACACACTCCTTCCTCAGTGAGCCTTCCCTGACCACTAAACCTAAAGCGTGCTTTCTGCAAACACACTTAAAAAATAAACTTAAAAAAGGACAATTCTTTCCCAGCAGCAAGAGGAGAGTCAGGGCCAGGGTTAGATCAGCCCCTCCTTGGGTTGAGCAGATATAGATGGTGGCAGCATAGACATGGTCAGTCCCTAAACAGCTGGGAGAATGGAGAGCAGGCAGCAGCATCAGGCAACCCCAAGGATAACGGGGCATGCGTCCAGGGGCATGTGGCCCTCAGCCTTTGGACAATGCCTAGGGGCTTGGAGCTCTGGGCATGCGTGCAGCCCACAGGAAGGAACACCTTGTCCCAGAAGTATGAGCTAAAGATACTGTCCCAAAAGGCCAAGGTCACCATCCTCAGGACTGGGCTGCACCTTTCGTCATGACCCTGTCGAACACGCTGTGGTCCCTGCCCTACTGACACCTGGTTCTTACCACTTGCGCCCTTGGCCTGGTCAGGCCTCCTGTCTCCTAGCCTTCTTTGGGGTTGGCTATCTATGGAGTTGAATTAATTCCCTCAGCCCTGCCTAATTAAACATCTCTCATTTGTTTACAGTAATCTAAATGCCTCCTCTGGGCTGGTGCTTGTATGAGATGCTAGTAAATGTTTAGCATTAACAATTGGCTCTCTGAAAAAAAGAAATGTATGCATGCATGTATATTTATTTATTTATTTATTTATTTATTGTAAATATTACTGATAGGCAGGGCGCGGTGGCTCACACCTGTAATCCCAGCACTTTGGGAGGCCAAGGTGGGAGGATCACTTAAGGTCAGGAGTTTGAGACCAGCCTGGCCAATATGGTGAAACCCTATCTCTACTAAAAATACAAAAAATTAGCCAGGCATGGTGGTGAGTGCCTGTAATCCCACCTAATGGGAGGCTGAGACAGGAGAATCGCTTGAACCCAGGAGGTGGAGGATGCCCTGAACAAAGATCGCACCACTGCACTCCAGCCTGGGCGACAGAGCGAGACTCCGTTCTTAAAATATTTTTTTTTCATAAATAAATAAATATTACAGATATAAAGGATGCATAGCACGCCATTCACAAATAATAAAATAGGCCAGTCACGGTGACTCACGGCTGTAATCCCATCACTTTGGGAGGCCGAGGCGGGCAGATCACCTGAGGTCAGGAGTTCAAGACCAGCCTGACCAACACGGAGAAACCCCGTCTCTGCTAACAATACAAAATTAGCCAGGCATGGTGGCATATGCCGGTATTCCCAGCTACTCAGGAGGCTGAGACGGGAGAATCACTTGAACCTGGCAGGCAGAGGTTGCAGTGAGCTGAGATCACACCGTTGCACTCCAGCCTGGGCAGCAAGAGGGAAACTCCATCTCAAAAAAATAAAATAAAATAAATAAACAAATAATAAAATAGAAGATACTCTTCATTGTAAGCTCCATATACTGATGGATTCACAGAAGGTTTTTGTTGCTTTTTTGCCAAACTCTGGGATCAGTTGCCAGCCCAGGCTTGCCTTTGATAAATGAGTGTGGTTCTGACTTGAATGGCTGTGGGTATTTTCATTTAAGTTAACCAGTAAAACGAAAGTGAAACAACGAAGGAATAGGTCAAACTTCTCGTTCATAATGATGTCAGGAACTTCTTTCATAAATCAGGGAATAGTTTTTTAATACTACTTCCTCCATTCCTGTGCTCTTAGGAACATAATGGGCTGGGTGTGGTGGCTCATGCCTGTAGTCCCACCACTTTGAGAGACCGAGGCCACTGGATCACTTGAGCCCAGGAGTTTGAGACCAGCCTGGACAACACAGCAAAAACCCGTCTGTACTAAAAAATACAAAAATATTAGCCAGGCATGGAAGTGCACGCTTGTAGTCCCAGCTAATTGGGAGGCTGAGGTGGGAGGATTGCTTGAGCCCGAGAGTTGCAGATCACAGTGAGCCAAAATTTTGCCGCTGCCCTCCAGCCTGGGTGACACAGTGAGACCCTGTATAAAAAAAAAAAAGAAAAAAAGAAGAAGAAGAAGAAAAGAAGGAACAAAAGAACATAATGGCTACAAACAGGACACACTTTTTTGTTTGTTTTGTTTTGTTTTTTGAGATGGAGTCTCGCTATTGTCACCCAGGCTGGAGTGCAGTGGTGCAATCTGGGCTCACTGCAACCTCCGCCTCCTGGGTTCAAGCAATTCTCCTGCCTCAGCCTCCTGAGTAGCTGGGATTACAGGCGCCCGCTACCACGCTACCACACCCGGCTAATTTTTGTATTTGTAGTAGAGACGGGGTTTCACCATGTTGACCAGGCTGGTCTCGAACTCCTGACCTCAAGTGATCTGCCCGCCTTGGCCTCCCAAAGTGCTGGGATTGCAGGCGTGAGCCATCGTGCCCAGCCAACAGGACACACTTTTAAGTTTAATCTGCATGATTAACACTTTTTCATCACTTTCTTTTTTTTTTTTCTATCACTTTCTAAAGTATAGACAATCAACAAAAGAAAAAATCAAGTCACGATTTGTCGTGTTTACCAATTTCTGTTGAGTAAAAGCTCCAGCCATAGCTGGCTTCAAGCTACCATTAGGACAGCGCTGAAGGCAGAATTGGGCCGAGATGTGCAGCAGCAGCTGCCCCTGCGTGGCGTTTTCCACCACACACAGGGGACACAAAGAACCCGGGAACATGTGAATCTGAGGAAATCACTAGGAAGGAGTCAGTAGTGAGCATTTATTATTGTTGTTCTTTACATAATTTAATTGTAAATGCCAATCATTTAATTTGTAATCATGGCTGGGTTCAACAACGGGTTCACAAAATGTCTGAGAATGTGGCCAACGGCTCTTGCCAGCCCGTACGGGTGGACCAGCTTCATCTGGCTGTGTGAGCTCACTCGGTCCTCACACAAATCCTATTAATTCAACATTCATCTGACAGGTACGTGCTGGGCACTGTGCCAGATGCCAGGGACACGTCGGACAAGGGTGTGGACACGCCCCGACGCTTGCAGCTCTTATGTTCCAACAGGAGATGCAGGCTGGAAACACCATCAACATCCAGAGGATACTGTCTGTAAGGAGGTGAGGGTGCTATGTAAGCAGGAATAAGGAGATTGGGAGTGTTGGTGGGGACAGGGCTGGGACCGTAGTGATCAGGTGGTCAGGGCCAGCTCATTACAAAGATGACATTTGAGTAAAGACTTGAGTGAAAAAGAACCATGCAGTTATTGGAGAAAGAACATTCCAAGTGGTGGCTACAGTCAGTTCAAAGGCCCTGAGGCAACACCAAGTCAGTGTTTGAGGATTAGTGGAGGAGCCCGTGTGCCCAGAACAGAGTGTATAAGGGAGAGAGGGGTGGAAAAGAAAGCCAGGAGGTCACGGGGACACATGAGGCAGGGCCTTGGATGTCAGAGGACTTCTTAGGGTGTTGAGCCTAGAAAGTCTCCTCTCCCCTTTGCAGATGAATACACTGGTGCTCGGAGTCACGCCGGTGGCCGGCGGGAGAGCGGGGAGAAGCCTGGGTCCGTCTGGCTCTTACCACACCATGCTCCTGCTTCCACATGGCAGAGGGACAGTCAGCAGGTGTGCAGCGCCCCAGCTCCTACTTGTCTCAACAGTCCTAACTGGCCATGGCCAAGAGTTCTGTCAGGTCAGTCCCCGTGGATCTGGACCTCTGCCTGGGTGGCTCACGGGGCAAGCTGGGAGGAACAGAGACTCTACTAGGTATTAGGACCCAAGGCCCATAGAGGCTCCCACACGAAGCTGAAGACAAGGCTGTCTAGGACAAGTAGATGAGTCACATCTAGTCTGACACGCAAGTCACTGGGGTGCACCCCACTTGCAGGGGCATTCCTCCCACATGAGTAAGTTGCTCAGCTGCTGGTGACCTGGGGAGGTGCAACCTTAATGGGATGAAGAGGAAAAGGGGCTGGGTGTGGTGGCTCATGCCTATAATCCCAGCACTCTGGGAGGCCGAGGCGGGCAGATCACCTGAGGCCAGGAGTTCGAGAACAGCCTGGGCAACATGGTGAAACCCCTTCTCTACTAAAAATACAAAAAAAAAAAAATTTAGCTGGGCATGTGGTGCACGCTTGTAATCCCAGCTACTCAGAAGGCTAAGGCAGGAGAATTGCTCGAACCTGGGAGGCGGAGGTTGCAGTGAGCCAAGACTGTGCCACTGCACTCCAGCCTGAGTGACAGAGGGAGTCTCTGTCTCAAAAAAAGAAAAAAAAAAAAGGAAAAGAAAGGGTGCGTGTAGTGTAGCTGGGAGGAGGGTGACCGAGCATGCAAACACCACTACTGGGGCACCCCAGCAGGCTTGGGGACTGATGAGGCCTCAGCTCAGAAAGCCTGCTCCAGGCCCCTCCTCCTCCGCCCTCAGCCACGTGAGCCTGCTCATCCTGACTACAGCTGGACACCTGACCCTGGGGCCACCACTAGTTTCCCCCAACAGGGATGACGAGGATTAACGGGACAGCTCTCAGCCTGGGAGGACTCTGGTTGCTGGAATGAGCTGGTCTGTTGGGGGAGGGGGCACTGGAAGCCAAAGGACCCAGAGGGAAGCAGAAACGAGACAGGAGCCAAATCACAGCCACGGAAAGCCAGCAGAGACCAGTGAGCTGCCAGAGGAGGGGACAGGGCCTGTCACATGGGACCTGCACAGACCCATGGGGCCCTGAGATCAGAATGGCCCCAGGTGGGTGGCATGGTCCAACACCTTGAAATTGTTAATAATTATTAATCAAGGAGCCCCACATTTTCATTTTGCCCTGTGAAGCGAAAGGCCCCACCACCCTTGTCTGGGGCTCACAGGGAATTGGGAAACTCTCACGAGGGGGTCCCTCCAGGCAGAGTCCTCTGGATAAAAAAGGGACAGGTTCTGGGGAGCTGGGATGTTCTTTGTGTCACCTTGAGTCATAAGCCGGGGTAGAAGTGAGGGAGGAAAGAAACCTTTCTTAGTTTTCTTAGGTTTCAGACCCATGTGCCTTCGGGACGGGTGGGGATGCTGGTGGGTTCTGTCTTGGGAGCCCATTGCTCATTCTCCCAGATATTTCTGCCCAGCTAGGGTCCTGCCTGTGGGCCTCTGGGCCGTGCGAGGAGGACCAGAGCCTGGCTGTTTTGAAATAGACAATTATGGCCAGTTGGACCAGCCTGTTCAATACTCTATTGACAAGTTCACCTTGGCAACCTGGAGCCTGGCTCCTCTGTGAGTGATTCTACCTCCTGGTGTCCCTTTGGTCTTAAAGACATATCTCCACCCTCTCCCAGACTGTGCATGACCCCCGACGAAGGGACCAGGCCATGCATGCACCAGCAGAAGGTGCAGGGACTCCTCCCCGCCCAACTCTCAGCCCCACTGCCACTCTGCAGTGAGGGAGTCTCCTCCTCTGTGCCTCACCCTCAGTCCCAGGACCTGACGATAAAGCTCGTTTACCTGGGGCAGGGGTTGCAGAGGTAGATGATGTATTTCATCCCTAGTCTGCTCTGGAGGGTGGGATATACAAACCCTCAGGTCCAGCGACACCTCTGCAGGATTGGAGGGTCTGAGCTGAGGGGAAATCACGGACGTGCATCACCCCTAATCAGACTGCTAATGAGCGACATGAAAAATGATGGCGGTACAATCTATGTCGCCCTGGAGCAGCCTGCGCCAGCTCGGCAGGCTGCGTCCGTCAACACTGACCTTTCCTTTCTGGAAAACCAGAGCTGCCCCAGAGCTGGGACTTGTCCTCCAGGACACACACAGGTGCCACAGCAGAACACAGTGTTTCTTGGTAATTCCTGCGACGTGCACATCAGAAGGCAGATGTGGCTCCCCTGGGTCAGGCTGAGAAGCAAGTGAGACATTGTCAGGGGCCAAGTTGCCCTTGGTCCAATTGCTTAACACCTCTAGCATTGCGTCTGCACCCATCTGTCCGTCTGCCTGCCTGCCAGGGCCTATCTGGGGAAAGAAGGCAGAAGTCAGGCTTAGTGCAAATGAGAACGTATCTTTGCCCGTGGGTAACCAAGAAGAAGATGAAAAAGTGACATCAGCAGAGTGTGGGAGTGAGCTATCCTCAGATCGCTCCGTGTACATACAGCTGTGGCTGTTTTTCAAAATTCCGAGAAAGACTTCTCTCCCACCTAGGCTTCTGTGGCAGTATTTTCTCTGGTTTTGTGCAATAGTTATCGGCTTCTATGGTACTAACTCTTGGTCTCCAGGCTAAAAAGATAAACCCCAGTCATCCCCAATAGCTTCAAAAAGAGAAGGGTCCTTTCTCTGTGGCAGTTCATCCATAAGATCCTGCCATTTCGTTAGAATCAAAAGACTAGTTTCAAGCAAGGGGTTGGGGGTGGAGGACATGGGTCTATTTCTGAACCTTCCGATCTGAATGAGTCAAAGAATACAAAATCACCCCATTATCATCATTACTGTCAAATCATAGGGCAATCAACTCCCTGACACAGGCCAGATGGACATCCGGGAGAAATCCATAGTACTGGAGCTGGTTCAGAGCCCCACGGAATTAACTCGGAATAAAACCACGAGAGAAAGGTAGGCTTGTGTGTTTATTCCCCCTTCTCCCTGTTACTTTGACATGCTCTTTGTTTTAGTCAAATAAACAGAAGCCAGCATTCAATAGTGAGGAGAAGTGGCCCAAGGTTGTCCTCGTGTCCCAGGGCACAGGGGCAGGTGGACTCTGGGCCACCACGGCCATCAGTCTAGGGCCAACAGCTGATTTCACTGAAGGCGTCCACAAGGAAGCTGGTGGTCCTGACTTGTGAGGTCTCCTCAGAGGTGCCATTCTTGAAACCTCCCCCAGAAGCGGGACTGCACCCTCACTTTCATGGACCCCTTCCTCCATAGAAAGTTATTTAAAATTACATTGTATAGGCTGGGCGCAGTGGCTCACGCCTGTAATACCAGCACTTTGGGAGGCTGCAGGAATCACCTGAGGTCAGGAGTTGGAGACCAGCCTGGCCAACATGGCGAAACCCCGTCTCTACTGAAAATACAAAAAAAAAATTAGCCAGGTGTGGTGGTGGATGCCTGTAATCCCAGCTACTTGGGAGGCTGAGGCAGGAGAATCACTTGAGCCTGGGAGGCGGAGGTTGCAATGAGCCAAGACTGCACCATTGCACTCCAGCCTGGGTGACAAGAATGAAAGTCCGTGCCCAAAAAAATAAAATAAAATAAGTAGAATTACATTTTATAGCTTTGTTGGGATGAACACATTAATATTATATATTAAAATATTCTGGGTTTTGGCTGGGCGCAGTGGCTCACACCTGTAATCCTAGCACTTTGGGAGGCCAAGGCGGGCAGATCGCTTGAGGTCAGGAGTTCGAGACCAGGCTGGCCAACATGGCGAAATCCTGTCTTTACTAAAAATACAAAAACCAGCTGGGCAGGGTGGCGCATGCCTGTAGTCCCAGCTACTTGGGGGCCTGAGGCAGGAGAATTGCTTGAACCCAAGAGGGGGAGGTTGCAGAGAGGAGAGATCATGTCACTGCACTCTAGCCTAGGCGACAGAGCGAGACTCCATCTCAAAAATAAATAAATAAAAATTTAAAAAAAAATAGTCTTGTTTTTTTGAGACAGGGTCTTGTCCTGTCACCAGGCTGGACATGCAGTGGCATGATTTCGGCTCCCTGCAACCTCCACCTCTTGGGCTCAAGAGATCCTTCCACCTCAGCCTCCCAAGCAGCTGGGACTACAGGTTTGCACCACCATGCCCAGCTAATTTTCATATTTTGTTTAGAGATGGGGGTTTCCTCATGTTGCCCAGGCTGGCCTTGAACTCAAGGATGAGTTCAACTCATGGATGAGCTCAAGCAATCAACGGGCTTCGGTGTCCCAAAGTGCTGGGATTAAAGGCATGAGCCACTGTGCCCAGCCAGTTTCTTCTGATTTTAAAATAAATTATATATACACACAATGGAATATTATTCAGCCTTTAAAAGAATGGAAATTCCCTGGAGATATTGGCTTAAAGAAAAAGGATGGGTGGGCCGGGCACGGTGGCTCACGCATGTAATCCCAGCACTTTGGGAGGCTGAGGCGGGCGGATCACCTGAGGTTGGGAGTTCGAGATCAGCCTGACCAACATGGAGAAACCCCGTCTCTACTAAAAATTCAAAATTAGCTGGGCGTAGTGGCGCATGCCTGTAATCCCAGCTACCCAGGAGGCTGAGGCAGGAGAATCGTTTGAACCCGGGAGGCAGAAGTTTCCGTGAGCTGAGATCGCACCATTGCACTCCAGCCTGGGCAACGAGCAAAACTCCACCTCAAAAAACAAAAAAAGAAAAAAGAGAGAGGATGGAACTTCTGACTCCTGCTACAGCATGGATGAACCTTGATGACATTGTGCTGAGTGAAATAAGCCAGTCACAATGGACAAATTCTGTGTGAGTTCACTCAGATGAGGTCCCCAGAGTAGTCAAATTCATAGAGACAGAAGGTAGAATGCAGGCTGCCAGGGTCTAAGAGAGGGAGCTGGTGTTTAATGAAGACAGAGTTTCAGTTTGGGAAGATGAAAAAGTTCTAGCAGTTGTGATGGTCCCACTACAACATGAATGTGCATATGCCACTGAATTGAGCCTGAAAATTGGTTAAAATGGTTCATTTCATGTTATATGTATTTTACCACAATTTTTAAAATAAACAATTCTTTTTTACTAGAACATTTTCATGGGCCCTGCACGGAGCCTCCTGGGCCTGATGGAGAGGGGCCCCACCCAGAAGAGCACAGGGCTGGCCCCACCCCTGCACCACACATGCCCTTTATCAACTGAACACTCCCACAGCCACACGGACAGGATTCCTTCCAGTCTGTGTCTGTCTGAGCCCAGAAAAAGAGGAAATACTGAGCTCTAGCTGGAGCTTCATCCAGCGATGATAAATAATCTCGTGCTCCAATTCAGCTCCCATCCTCTCAAGGGCATGGTCGCCACCGGAGGTCTAGGTCTTGGGGCCCCTTCCCCCGACCTGGGGTATCTCTTAGGGCTTTAGTGTCCTCAATTAGCAACCCAGGGGAAGCACAGAAGTGTCTGGGCTCTGTTAAGAGGCGGCTTTATCAGCCAGGCGAACATTTTTTTCAGAGAACCTCAGTTTAGGGGAAGCAGTTCCTGGCGGGGCTTTGGTTCCAGGCTCTCCCCCTCCAGGGACACTCATTCCTAAGGGGAGCAGGCTGGGCTGTCTGGGAACATTTGCCCTGTAATATCAGTTTGCTTCTTATTGGTCCTTTGATAGCAGAACAAGAGGCTCTGTGATCCTCTGGACCTCAGATTTCCTTTTAAACTCTCAAATAAAAAGATATGTGTGTGCTGCTCGTGTGGACTTCCCGCTGGGAGTGGAAGGGCCCCGAGCACGAGGCCCGCGTCGGGGACAATAGCCCGCACCCCTGGGGCCTGTTCCGTGCTCAGGGCGCAGGGGCTCCCAAGGTTCAAAGTCCCCTGGAGCGGGTTGTTTCTGGCTACGAAAGCAGCAGCCCGGCCGCCGTGGGGAGGGGGAAGGGACGGGGTGTGCAGGAGGCGGGGGTGCGGGGCTTTTCAGGCCATCTCTCATTGCAGCGAGACCCCCGCTTTGCCCGCGTCCGGACCTCCTTCCCCCCTGCGGGAGAGGCGCGGAGGGGCTGCCGGACCGGCCAGGGGGAGCCCGCCCCCTAGGGGAGGGCGTGGCGAGTGCAAGCTCCTCTGCGCCCCTGCCCGGGCCCTGCCTGGGCACCCGGGACTGGCAGGCGAGGAGCCAAGGGGGATCCCTGGGGTTGGGGGCTCGGGGGGGCTGGGGGAGGTCCTCAGGGGCCATCCCCAGGGACCACTTCAGGAAACGGCCTTCTGGAAGAAGCTGGGGAAGGGGACTTTTAGGGCACACCTGGGTTATCTTCCCGTAGGTGGGGTCGAGGGGACACCCGAACATTTCTACCAGGATTCAGGAGGGCGGGGCGACCAGATAGACTGGGGTGACCGCGTCCCACGACCTCGTCATCGGGGATGGGGGTGGGGTTGGGGGCTGGACAGGTAGGGATGAAGTTGCACTGCGACCGGACTCGGCTCCGGAAGTGTCCAAAGCCTGGGCCCCATGCAGACAATATGGAATTTTGGGGGTGCCCGAGGTGTTACCACCCGCCCTGCAGTGCAGGCCAAGCTGCGGTCCGGCTGGGCCCTGCCGGCCGCCATCCCACGGCCACAGGATCCCTGAGCCCCTCTCCGTTCGCCCCTCAGTCCTGCAGAGGCATCGGGACCCCCCAGGTGTCCGGCGGGGTTCACCGCGCTCCCGCCTTTGGGGATCGATCGGCTGGCGGGCGACGCGCGGCCGCGGCTCCGGAGCCTCCGCCCCCCTCCCCCTCTCGGGCTACGCAGGACGCGGCCTCCAAGCAGCGTCCTCGCGGTTCCGGGCCGCGGCCAGGCCAGGCTGCAGGCCAGCCGGGGAGGCGGAGACGCGCCGGGCCCTTCCGATCGGGCCGCCCCTCGGCTCCGGGGTTGGGGAGAGGGAACTAGAGCGAGCCCAGCTTCTCCGCCAGCGGCGCTCGGCGCCCCCTTTTCTCGCCCCCCTCCCAAGCCAAATACCCCCACCTCGCGCGCGCGCTTAACCCTCGGCGCGCCGCGAGGCTGGGAGCTGGGAGGGGAGTAGCCGAGGGGGAGGGGCGCAGGGGAGCGAGTTGGAGGGGGGCAGTTGCGCTTCGGCTGACGACCACTTCGGGGTCCGCCTAGCGATTTTTATTTCATTCCCTGCCTTGCTGCAGCAGCTCTTGGTTGGAAAAAGGAAGAAAGAAATCTGCCCTGCGAGTGGGCCCCGCTGGGTTTGGGGGCGCGACGGGGACACCCGAGAGGAAAACGCAGGGGCTGGCGTGAAGGGGTGAACCTCAGGGGCACGGGAGAGCCGCGGGGCGACCTTGAGCAAACGAAACCCAAATAAAAACACAGTGCGCCGAGGCCGTTGTGAGCGCGGCGGCGGCGGCGGCGGGCGGTGGAAGCCGTTCCAAAGATCATATTTGAAATATGGATCCCGGGGGCGCAGATCTCCAGGCCGGCGGGGCCTCGCGACTGAGTGGGGGCCGGGGGCCGGGTGGGCTTCTCCGGGCGGGCCTGAGGTGGCTGCCCTGACGTTGGGAGGGACGGACGTCGTAGAAAACAGCGCGTCCCGCTTCGGCGCCTGCGACCCCAGCGTGCCGCAATGCGGAGGCGCGGCCCTGCGGGCGGCGGTGTGGCCCCGAGGGGTGCTTGGGCCCTGCCAAAGGACCCTGGCGTCGCGGTGCTCGGGGCCCGCGTCCCCGTCCGCGCACCCTGTCGGGCCAGTCCGCAGGAACCCCCGGCTGCAGTGCCGCGCGGCCCGCTAGGGTGGGACTCGGGGGCGTCGGAGGCTTCGCCGACCAAATGAAAGCCGAGCTTTCACGGGCGGTGGGACAAAGAGCAGAAACATTGAAGTGGGGACCCGGGGGTTGGGGGGGCACCCTTAGAAACAAAGCCACTCCTCCAGAAGGGTGGAGGGGCGGAGTGCAGGGCTCCCTCACAGCCTCCCCCTGCACGCACAACCCCACCAGTTCCGCTGCCCCTAAGCTGCCGCTACAAGTACGATATGATCAACGCCAGCGCGAAGTTTTTCTAAGGACAAGGGAGAGAAATGAGCGCTTGTTAAAGCCCGGGTAGATTCTGTAGTGGTTACTGGTAAATCCCCTCTCGGTGATCTGCAATCCACCTCCGAGGGCCGGGAAAACGATACCAACTTGAGAGCTTTCTGAGTCGGGGGAGCGACCCGGGAAGCCACAGGCGGCCCGCTCAAGGCAGAGCCCAAATCTGGGTTCCGTGGGCTGGCGGTGGCAATCTCCTGGCCCAGAGCACCCGCTCAGCGAGAAGATTCCCTTAAGAAGTCGTTTATTTCCCCGGGATGGTGCGGGTCATGCCTCTTCCCAGACCGAACACTTAGTAGCCACCCTCCAGCCCACGGCTGTTAAAAGGTTCCCGACCTCTCCAGGGTCCACTCCTTCAGCCTGGCCCCCACCAGGAGCGAGCCTGTGGCTGAGCTAGATAGCAGCTCTCCTCTCCTGGGGCCCCTGAGGGCCCTGGGGGCCCAAACCGAGGTGGCGTCTGGAAGGCTTCAGTCTGGCAGCAGAACCAGGGGCTCGACCAGCCCCTGTCTGGGAGGGGGCAGTATCAAATAAGCAGGCCAGCGGCCCTTCTCGGGGACCTGTGCGGAGCTGGTTATCCGAAGTCGGGGGCAGGAGCCCCAGCAGAAGGCTCTGGGAATCCCAGGTGTAGGGCTAGTTTCTCCTGCGGCTCCCTGGGAGGGGCCAAGACAGCCGGGTGGGATGGTATGGGGCACCCCCCCGGGAGGTTTCCCAGGAAGGGCCCTCTGGGGCATCAGGGGAGCTTCCAGGGCGTCCGCTGTACCTTCCCAGGATTCTGTCCCACCTCCTGGCGCCCATTCGCTCTCCCGCGGACCTGAGCTCCTCCCCACACCGGCTGGCAGGGGTGGTCTAGGGACCAGCCACCGAGGTTAGGTAGGGGCCTCTCTCCCCATCTGCCCACCATCCACAAAGACAAAATAAATAACCACGGAAGGGAAGTCAATTGCTGGTGCTTGTGCATTTCACTTTCAAAGTCGTTGGCAAAAAGGCCAGGAGCGGGGGTGGCCGGGGGCTCCTTGGGCTTCTGAAGTGCTTGGGCGGCCCCTCAGGTAGTCTTGGGGAGCCTCAAGACGCTTCCTGCCGCCGCACAGGCAGCAACAGAAAAGATCCGCTGCACCGACCCCCGCCCCTTCCTCCCCAGCTCCGCGGCTGGCCCAGCCCGGGTCCTGCGCAAACTCGTCGTCGGGGCACCGGGTCCTGCTGTGTGGCCCCGAAGTCCTGAGCGTGGGCCCCTGAGGGGCCTGGGCGTAGTGAGCGAAGCGGAGTCCGACGCCCCTGGCAGCAGGGAGGCTGCAGCAGCCGCTCGGCCTCCCCCGGCAGCCCAGACCTGGACGCCGCGGAAACACCCATTGCAAACAGATTTTCCAGGGGATTTTCAAGAGGGGGAGGGTAGAGTGTCGGGAAGCTCAGCCCCTTCCCGGACAAGGGGACTGGCCGGGACAAAGTTGCTGCAGACCTCCCGATGGTCCGACGGCGCAGACGGCCTGTGCGGCGTGGACGGATGACTGCCACCTACAGCGCTTCCCGCGCCAGCCTCGCGACCCCTCTCCCTCCGCGGTGGAGCTGCCCCGCGCGACAGTTCTTCGCCCTGGGCAAAAATGCCAGGAAAAAGCCAAACACGGCAGGAGAAAAATATTTTCCTGTACACCCACCCAGCTTCTGGTGGCCCCTGAGAGCCGGCCCCCACCCCCCGCAACTAGTCAGGGAAACCAGGCAGGCGTCGTCCCACCTTGCTTGCCCCCCCGCCGCACCCCAACACTCAGGGAATCCTAGGTTTGCGCCTCAAGCTCGTTAGAGATCAGTCGCAAACCCAACACCTCTGCTGTCACCAGAAGACAACCGTCACCCCTACACCCCTGGGGAGGGGCCACGTGGGTCTCGGTGGGTAGCAGCCGCCGGGCAGCAGCAGCCTCCGTGGCGCAAGAGCTGCAAGGTGGTAATGAAATGGAGTCCACGTGTGCGTTCAACACCAGACCGTCTTCGAGCTTCTCCGGGATTCCTGGGCGAACACGAGCCCCGCGCAGGCTCCTCCCTCCCCTGCTCGCCCGAGCCCCCGTGCGGTCCCCAACAGACAGCCGGGTCGCGTGTCAGGGCGGTGGTGGAGACCCGGATGGCTCTTTGCCCGCCCCCATCCCTCGCTCCACTCTCGCTCTGCTTTTGCTCTTTTTCTTTCTCCGTGGACGCTCAGCCAAGGGATTGCGCAAGCCTCCTGCTCGCGGTCCTTCAAGAGCCCGGAGCCGGGGCCCAGACACACCCCAGGCCAGGCGCGCCCCTGCCCCTGCCCCTCGGGCCGCGCTGTCCGCTCCCGGGTCCCCCCACCCCGACCCCACGGAGCTCGCGGGCCCTCGGCGGCGCCCTCGGCAGGCCGCATAGGGCGCAGCAGCTCCACCAGCCGGACGCAGGAGCCGCGCGCCAGAACGCGCCGTCTCGCCGCCGGAGGTGCCAAACTTCACACTCGCTGCTGCTCAGGCCGCGTCAGTCCGGAGGGCCTTGGCTTGGTCGCCTGTCGGGAACAAGGGTCCGCGGACACAAGGCGAATGCGTGGCTCCTCGGCCATTCCGTTCATCTCCCCTTTGCGCTGCCCGTTCGTCCCCCGCTCAGCCTCAAGCTCTTCCCGGCCCTCCCAGCTCCCTGTTTCTAGGCCACTCCCGGGACCCCACGAAGTCCCCTCAGGCCCCCAGGCGGACCCTGGCCTCCCGCGCCCGCTCTCTCTGCCTCCTACGCCTCTCGCCTAGCTTGGCTCTGGAGGCTGCTAGAAACAGGACATCTCGCCCCGTCAATAAGAGGACCAAGTGTAAATTCGGAGCCATTGAGGATCGGGGTGGGATCGGATTTGGAGCCCTTTCTGCCGAGGTTCTTGGGCGCCAGGGCCCCGGGATTGGCTGCTCCTCGGTCCCCTTCCTCGTGCGTTCTTCAATCTCTCCTTGGCACCCAGTCCTCGGCCTTCTCTCCGCCCTGTCCCTTTCCCTCCTCGCGCTCCAAAATGCCCGGAGCCTGGAGGCGAGGCGGGGCCCGCAGTGGGGCGCGAGCTGCCCCTGCCCCATTCCGCCCCCTGCCGGCGGGGCCCGCGCGTCCCGGGGCGCTGGTGACGCAATTCGGTGCAACTGGGAGCGGCGGCGGATGCTTCCGTGGCCCCCAGCAGGGGTCCCGGGGCCGTGAACACTGAGAACGTGCCGCGAGGGGGAGGCCCGGGCACCGGGATGTGGGCGAGGGGTCGCCGCCGAGACCCTTCCGGGCTGTCAAGCTCTCCGCCCGCCTCCGCCCCGGCGGACACACCTCTCCTTCCCGGTCCCGCTCCCTCTCTGCAGCCTCCCTCTCCCAGGCTCGCCGATCCCTCCCCCTGCACCTCCCCGGCGCCCTCCCCTCCGCGTCCCCCACCCGCGCCCTTTCCTCCTCCCCCCGCCGCCCAGGCCCGGGGCCTCCGGTAGGCCCGGCTGCGCCAATCCGCGCCGCGGCCCGCCCCCTGACGCCGAGCTGGGCCCGGCGAGGCCCCGCCCGCTGACGTCCGGGATTTGCATGAGTTCTTGTGCAGCCGCGGCCCGGGCTCAGTTGTCTGAGCGAGCGCGAGCCGGGAGCCGGGGCGGGCGCGGGCAGCGGCGGGCCGGCCGGGCTGTGCGGGGCGAGCGGCGGCGGCGGCGGGGGCGCTTCGGCCGGGGCGGCAGCTGGGCGCCGGCGGGAGCTAGCAGCGTCTGCAGCCGCGCCGGCCGCCAGCGCCCCGGCGCGCTCCGGCTCGGCCATGGAGCTGCCAGCTGTTGGCGAGCACGTCTTCGCGGTGGAGAGCATCGAGAAGAAGCGGATCCGCAAGGTAGGGCGGCGCGGGGGCGGCGAGCGGCGGCCGGAGCGGCCCGCGAGGAGGCGGGGAGGGGGTGGGGAGGCTGCGGGCCGGGCCGGGGATCCCGCGGAAGCTGATGGAGTGCTGTCTCTTCCCCCCAGGGCAGAGTGGAGTATCTGGTGAAATGGAGAGGCTGGTCGCCCAAGTAAGTCGCGGCGGAGGGCGGGGGCCCGGGGGCCGAGGCGCGGGGCTCGGGGCCGCGGACCCGCCGAGCTGCTGGGGGGGTGGGGGGAGCGGACGGGAGGCGGGGTGGAGGTGGGGTGGAGGGAGGAGGGGGTGGGGAAGTCGGTGGCAGGCACTGGGGAAGCCGAGCCGCCGAGCCCGAGCCCGGCGCCCTGTGTTGTGCTCCGCTCTCCGGGAAATGCCATCACTAATTTATGCACTAAAAGGAGCCGGAGGAGCTGGAGAGACGCGGGGCCGAGCCGGGGAGGCCGGCGGAGGGAGGGAGGGCGCAGGCACTGACTGATGTGCAGCAGAAAATGGCTCCTTTCCCCTTTCCCTCCACCGAACGGCTCCATATTGCAAAACCAAAAAAAAAAAATTAAAAAGCGACGAAAATGCAATTGTGTGCCTTCTCCCTCCTAGTGGTGCAGGGAGGGGAAGAAGAAAGGCAGAAAATGTTGGGAACTGTCACTGCGGCGCTTTTGGTGGAGAATTTTTTTTCTTTAATTTGAAATGCGAAGGCACCGGATGGAGATAGACGCGCAGGCACACGCACACTCACACACACACACGGAGGCATATTTTTGTGTTGCTGAGTATTTGGGGTTTGCTCGCCCGTGACAGCGGGCTCCTGGGCCACGAGGGGGTGTGGGGGGGACGCTTGGCTGTTGGCTATCGGATTAGGGGTCAAATGGAGAACGGCTGAAGCCCTCGCGGGGACTCGGGGCTGGGGAGAGGAGGGGGACTGCGACTTTGCATTTCGGCTGCTTTGCACGCAGGGTTCCTGGTGAGCAAAGTGGCTTTGGAACATGTCGCAGTAACATGCTTAAAATTCTTGACAACTGCAAAATAAACTGCTAGTTTCATTTTCCTTACCCCTCCCCTTTCTTCCTGCCCTTGCGTGTTTATTTGAGGGGGGGGCTGTGTATCAGGGACTACGTCAGGCCTGCGGAAATCTACCTTCCACATCCACGGCTAAATGTTCATAAAGACAGAGTAGGGCCTTATGTCACTCCCCACCTGGAGGCCGCGGCAAAGGTGGCTTTTTTTTTTTTTTTTACACCGTGTCCCCCTCCCTTTTCCCTTGCAAGATATAACACGTGGGAACCGGAGGAGAACATCCTGGACCCCAGGCTGCTGATCGCCTTCCAGAACAGGTGAGCGTCCCCCACGCAGCCACCGCCTGCCACCCGTGACCGTATATGGGAATGGCAAAGTGGGCGACGCAGCAATAGGAAAGGGGCGTGGAGGGGGCTGGTGGGAGCCCCCTCCCCAACCGGCCTGGATGGGCACGCTGCGGCCCCAGCTCCTCTAACCAGCGTCCTTGGCGGTTGCTGCAGCTTGGGGTGGGGGCGGGGCAAGGCCAGGGAAGGCCAGGCTTGGGTTTTGGGGGAAGTTTGGGAAGGGTGTGTGTGGGTGGCCATGCAGCTGCCCGGAGAACTTGGGGCTGTGCCTGGTTCCCCAGGGGCCCCTCCTGTTGCAACCTGGGAGCCCCACCCCCGGAGCCTAGGTGTTGCTGTCCTGCAGCCACTGGCCGCTTGGCACCAGCACCTCGCGGTGCAGCTCTGAGGGAGCTGGCATTGTGAAACCGCCCGGACGTCATGGAACTGAACTTAACCTGTTGGCGGCTGGAGGAAAGTTGACATGGCCTTAAAAGCTGCACCCGCACACCCCAGGGAATTTAAGCTTGGTCAGGAGTAGATTCCATAGGGTGCTGGGTTGCCCCCCGCCCCGGACCCCACTGGGCTGTTTGGCAGGGCAGGGCCACCCACCCTCAAGGCAGGGGGGCTTGGCCCAAGGGCCTGGGGTGGGCGCTGCTTGGTGGTGGAGGGGTGGCTTCTTCTGGGGGACTCATCCTCGTGCGCACGGTTGCTTGTCACGCTGCAGCTGCTGCAGCTGGGTTCGTCGCCGGTGGCTGTGGTTCTCTGTTTCGGAGAGGGTAGAAGGGGGAAGGGCGAGGAGGGGAGGAGCAGCCGGGGCCCTTGGAGCTCGGCCACCCCGCTGCCTTCCATCTCTCCTCCCCCTTTTATTTTGCACTATTTCCTGTGGCGCGTTTGGCGCTAAAACTGTAAACTGTAGACCCTCTGAGCTAGCCACCGGCGGGGCAGGGCAGTTGCCCTCCCGCAATGCAGGGGGGGCACGTAGCTGGGATCCTGCCCCATTCCACCTGGGAGTTCACCACCCTGTAACCATGTCAGCGGCTGATGCCACGTTGCATAATGGGTCCCTGAAGAATTAAAACGCAGGCTGTCGCAATGCCACGCAACTTCAGAGTCAGGCCCCGGCCCCCGCCCTGGGGCATGTCAGAACTCCCCAGGGTTGGTCCAAGGAGGCATGGGGGTGGTAGCTAGGGTCTGTGAGGAACCCGTTTCCGGCCCAGGAATGGGCTGCAACTTTGGCAGACACTAGAGAGGCATCCCACTCGTCCGTGGAGGGCTGGGTAGTGCCTGGGAAGATCCAGCCCCCAGCTGTGGATCACCCTTAGGCTGGCCTGCAGGCAGGAGCCTGGTGGCTGTAGTGACCGGTGCCTCCGCCCATGGGCTTTATTCATTATTTGGAAATTGAGGCAGCCAGGAGCCAGACTCCGAGGAGGAGGCGGTGCTTCTCTAAGCTGCTCCGGCCACGCCCACCTGCTCAGCTGGGAGGAGCGCAGCGTTCACCAGGTGGCCACAAACCTGGCCACACCCTGGCCTTGGTGGCCCGCCCCCGCCCCCAGCCCCTAATTGGCTCATTTGCCGCTGTGTAAACAAGGGCGCAGCCCCTCCCCCTGTTTAGTGCCTGGCCTTTAAGAAAGGGCCCTCCCTTCTGCCGGAGGCACTCGTTATCGGAATCTTAATGAGGTCATTAGCATCCCGCGCTTCTGACGGGAGGGATGAGGTCGGCGCACACCTCGCTTGGGCTGGTTTGTCTTCCCTGGATCCCCGTGTCCACTTTGCTTCGCACAGAGCCACAGGCCCAAGGCCGTGGGCAGGAGGGCCAGAGGTGCAGCCCTGAGCTTCTGCCTCCTGAGCACAGAGGTGGGGCTTGGGGGGGTGCTGGTTCGGGTGTGGGCATCAAAGTGGGGGAGCCCTTTGCCCAGGACCTCTTGGGCAGAGGAGGGTTGGTGTGAGGGTTAAGGGCGCAGAGGCCTGACCTGCCCTGAACTCTTGATTCCTGTGTCCGGCCAGCCCTACCTGATGCTCTCTGAAGCGGGGGGGGGGGCATCACAGAAGATTCCGGAATTAGCGGGTAGGGGGCGACCCTGAGGCTAACAGCACTGCCCTCTGTTCCCTCCCACCCAGGGAACGGCAGGAGCAGCTGATGGGATATCGGAAGAGAGGGCCGAAGCCCAAACCGCTAGTGGTGCAGGTGAATACACACGGCCGCCCCTGGGCACCCCCTTGACATGGCCACCAGAGCTGCCTCCAGGCCTGGGGATGGGGGGGGTGGTGGTGGTTCCTCCCAGCACCCTGACCCTGTTCCCTTTCTACTAGACCTCCCACCTCCTGCCCCCCATGAGGCAGCTGCGGACCTGGTGGGGGCTGGGACGCTCCAGAAACTCCCGGCATGCGGTGGGGCTGTCTCCTCCCTCCTCTCACCCCTGCACCCGTTCCCTCAGGTGCCTACCTTTGCCCGTCGTTCCAATGTCCTGACCGGCCTCCAGGACTCCTCCACTGACAACCGTGCCAAGCTGGATTTGGGCGCGCAGGGGAAGGGCCAGGGGCATCAGTACGAGCTCAACAGCAAGAAGCACCACCAGTACCAGCCGCACAGCAAGGAGCGGGCGGGCAAGCCCCCGCCGCCGGGCAAGAGCGGCAAGTACTACTACCAGCTCAACAGCAAGAAGCACCACCCCTACCAGCCCGACCCCAAAATGTACGACCTGCAGTACCAGGGCGGCCACAAGGAGGCGCCCAGCCCCACCTGCCCGGACCTGGGGGCCAAGAGCCACCCGCCCGACAAGTGGGCGCAAGGTGCGGGGGCCAAAGGCTACCTGGGGGCGGTGAAGCCCCTGGCCGGTGCGGCGGGTGCTCCAGGCAAAGGCTCCGAGAAGGGCCCCCCCAACGGAATGATGCCGGCCCCCAAAGAGGCTGTGACGGGCAACGGGATTGGGGGCAAGATGAAGATAGTCAAGAACAAGAACAAGAACGGACGCATCGTGATCGTGATGAGCAAATACATGGAGAACGGCATGCAGGCGGTGAAGATCAAGTCCGGCGAGGTGGCAGAGGGGGAGGCTCGCTCCCCCAGCCACAAGAAGCGGGCAGCCGACGAGCGCCACCCTCCTGCCGACAGGACTTTTAAAAAGGCGGCGGGCGCAGAGGAGAAGAAGGTGGAGGCGCCGCCCAAGAGGAGGGAGGAGGAGGTGTCCGGGGTTAGCGATCCGCAGCCCCAGGATGCCGGCTCCCGCAAGCTGTCCCCGACCAAGGAGGCCTTTGGAGAGCAGCCCCTGCAGCTCACCACCAAGCCCGACCTGCTTGCCTGGGACCCGGCCCGGAACACGCACCCGCCCTCACACCACCCGCACCCGCACCCCCATCACCACCACCACCACCACCACCACCACCACCACGCCGTCGGCCTGAATCTCTCCCACGTGCGCAAGCGCTGCCTCTCCGAGACCCACGGCGAGCGCGAGCCCTGCAAGAAGCGGCTGACTGCGCGCAGCATCAGCACCCCCACCTGCCTGGGGGGCAGCCCAGCCGCTGAGCGCCCGGCCGACCTGCCACCAGCCGCCGCCCTCCCGCAGCCCGAGGTCATCCTGCTAGACTCAGACCTGGATGAACCCATAGACTTGCGCTGCGTCAAGACGCGCAGCGAGGCCGGGGAGCCGCCCAGCTCCCTCCAGGTGAAGCCCGAGACACCGGCGTCGGCGGCGGTGGCGGTGGCGGCGGCAGCGGCACCCACCACGACGGCGGAGAAGCCTCCAGCCGAGGCCCAGGACGAACCTGCAGAGTCGCTGAGCGAGTTCAAGCCCTTCTTTGGGAATATAATTATCACCGACGTCACCGCGAACTGCCTCACCGTTACTTTCAAGGAGTACGTGACGGTGTAGCCGGAGGGCGTCGGAAGGGGAAGCGCCATTCCCGCGGGGGGGCGGGGAGCTGAGCACCTGGGGCCTCGGGGCGGGCTCCCCTCTCGCCAACCCGCCAACCGCGAGAGACCCAGGCTGGCCCCCAGGGTGAGGACGCCCGGAGCGGAGGTAACCATGTTCCCCCTGCGGCGGCTGTCAGACCTGGGCGGAGGCCCCTTCCACGCGGTGCCGGCGGGGCTCGCCCTCTCCTGCCCTTCCCCGCTGGAGATGGACCCCCGGAACGGACAGGGCAGCTCTGCGCCCGGCCTCAGAGTTCTAGTATTATATTTTAACCGTGCTAACTTGTCAAGTGCTGACTCTACTCCCGTTTGTACGTGGTGTTATTATTGAAATGTATTGTTTGAGCTCAAAAGGCCCGACCACCCCCCTTCGGGCTGCTATATATATATTTATTTGTAGGTATTTATATATTGAAATATAAAAACCTAGATTTATGGAGTTTCCTCTAGATCATGTTATATTCTATATCAGACAAACTATTTTCTTTTGACCTTTCTTCCCCTCCATCCAGTATTTCGGTTGATTTCATTTTCTCCCCTCTCTTCCCCTTCCACGAACTGCAATACCAGTAACCTTGGTATATATTTTTTGATACTGTACACATGGATGTCTTGTTTCTATGTGCAAAAAAAAAAAAAAAAAAAAGTTTGTTAAAAGGCTACACGAGCTCTCTAGAAACTGCTGCTACTAGAAATGTCTAAACTATAAGCTTCCAACTATTACCTGCTTGAATGTAAATATTAAATGGAGATGTTGAAGGTGCATTTTCGCTGTTTGAGATGAGCGGACCCCTCTCGCCACCAACTCCGCCTTCGAGCCCTGTGCTGAACCTTTGCACCAGCGAAGTGGGCTGGTTTTGCGGGCCGCGGCGCCGGCGCAGGAGGGTGACCCCGCTCCCTGGGAAGTCGAGAGGCGCCCGGCTGGGAAGGGGAATTCCTGCGGGGGGGTGGGTGTGGGAGCCGTCCCCGCCCCCAGGGCTTTCCGGCCGGCGGTGCCCAAGGCACTGGCAAACCCTGGGTTCTGGGTAGGGGAGGAGGGGGTGCAGGGGTGGGCGGCGCGGACACGCGGGTGGGGCTAGTCTCCCTCGCGGCACCCACTGGGCAGCGGCTGACCTTTGGCTCTCCTCCCCCGTAGCCTCCACCCCTGGGGCTCAACACACCCAGGCGCAAGCCCTGGCGGGGCAGGGAGGTTCCTTCTTAATAATCGCGCCCGGTAGGGCAGGTTCCGCGGGGCGGGGACCCCCAGCCTCTCCGGCGTCCCTGGCTGGCATCGCCGGCCCTGCCCCACTGAGGAAGCTGCCGAGGCCCTTGCTCTTCGGGCTCTCTCCCCGGAAACCACCAGGCCAGAGGCTCCCACTAGAGGCGCGGCGAGCGCTGCCGGGGTGGGGGGCGGGGGGCTTCCTGCGAGATGGATGGGGACGGGGAGGAGGGCGGGGGAGCGAGGCCTGCCACCCCCACTTCCTTAGCGAGGAGAGCTGGGACTCCTCACCCTTCTCCCTTAGGGTGGCAAGGCCAAGGCCCTTGGTGTCGCGGGGGAGGAAGGGGTTAAGGTCCCAGAGGGGGCGACGGGACTGGGCCGAACTCCGGGGTGCGGCTCAGCGGGCCAGGAAGCCGCGACCCGGGAACGCGGCGGCGGTGGCCAGCTTTCTGCAGACGCAGCGATCTTCCTCCTGGTTGAGGTGGCCGCACAGGGCCAGGGACCGCGGGGCTGGGGGCCTGGCGGGCGCGGGGCTGCTCCCGGCCTCCGAAGCCCTTCCCCTGCCCGCCTGGGACCAAGGGGCCCGGGTCTGTGCGGGGCGCCAGGGCGGAAGAGGTCAACGTGGTTCAGAGTGGTGGGGGGTGGCGAGGTGGCGAGAGAGCCAGTGTGGGGAAGGCTGGGGAGAGATGAGGGCCAGGAGGGCGGGGAGGCCTGAATGCGGACAGTGTGGCCAGTGTTGGCTGCAGGCCACCAGCGGCTGGACGTGGGGGAGGGGAGCCCAGCATGGGGAGGGGAGGGGGAAGGGAAGTTCTTTAAAAAAAAGCCGTTGGGAGTTTCTAGCCCTGGCTTTTGTGAGTGGTCCCTCCCACTCCCCGGTCACCCCAGCCCCATTTAGAGTGAGTTACACAGTCCCCTCCCCCTCCACGGAATGAATGTCCTTTGCCACCCCGGGGGTGGAAGGAGGGTGATCTTGCTTCTGGCAAACTGCCTGCTGGGCACGAGAATTGGGCCTGTCCTTCACCGGCTGGTACACAAAGGCCCATGCCAGGCGTGGACGTCGTCTCCCTGTTTTTCTAGCTGAGGAGAACTGAAGACTCGGGAGGGGAAGGGAAGCCTCTTGTTCAGGCCCACAGTTGGTGACCAGAGTGACCCTTAGCCCTTGGTGGTGTCCCCCACCCTGTGGGTGGCTTCTGCCTGGCTGGGTCTGGGGGTGGGAGAGGGGAGGTAGAGGGTGGCACTCCCGCAGAACAGGGAAGGAAACCGTTCCACTACCATTCCTGGAAAGGTGTGGCCTGCAGGTGGCCTGAGGCCTTCAAAACCAGGCCTGCTAGCAGAGCCCTCGAGTGGAGAAGGGTGGTCCTGGGCAGAGCCTGAAGCCTGAGGTCAGAAGGCAGACAACGGGCAGAGGCCACGGGTGGGTCAGGAAGAGCTGCTGGGATATCAGCCTGGTGCCAGACCCAACAGAGTGCCCAAGACCCCCTCTGCCCCTAGTGTCCGAGACCCCCTCTGCCCCTAGAGTGTCCGAGACCCCCTCTGTCCCTAGAGTGTCCGAGACCCCCTCTGTCCCTAGAGGGTCCGAGACCCCCTCTGTCCCTAGACGAAAGGGACATTTGCTGACCCTTCTGAGACATGTCAGGTGCCACTGGGCTTGTGACTCTTGTTCAATTCAGTCCCCACAGGGGTTGGGCTTCCCTGTGGGAGGAGAGTCTGAGGTCCTGATAGGCAGACAGCCTGCCCAGGTTCCATGCTCATTCTAGAGCCCAGCTGGCTGCTCCACCACCTGCAGGGAGACACGCCATGGCCACCTGCCCCAGGGCCTCTTGGACACAGGCTTTCGAAGGTGTTAAGGGTTTGGAAATGCTCCAAGGGGGCCAGGGACAGGAGGGTTTCTCCTCAAAGGGTCTTTGGGGTGGGGAGAGTCCAGGTGCCCCAGTTCTTCTGGGTGTAGACGGCCTCTTCCTAACCCTGGATGTCCCTCAGTGCCCACAAGCAAAGGGTAGTAAAACCTCTCTTTGAGCCCAAGCTCAGGGAAGAGAAGGAAAGCAGGGTGCTAGGTCTTAACCCTGCACACTAGCAAGCCCACGGTCTTTATTTTTCCTCAAAATGAATCTTTCTAATGGGGCTGAACCTCCAGCATTCAGGCTGGAGCTCACCCAGGCAGAGAGAGGAGCACTTGTGTATCCACCCCTGAAAAGCGAGCCCTGCCTACCCCAGCCCCGCCCCAGTCTCTGGTCTCCGTGCAGCCTGCCCCTCCCCCAGCTCATTTGCAGAAGAGCCAAGTTCGGCCCTTTAGCGTTTGCTCCATCCCTGGATCCCACTGGGTCCAGCGGAGAGGAGATCCACAGATCCAGGGTGCTTTGGGTCCAGTGTTGGCAGACTGAGCAAATAAAAATCTAGGGCGCCCAGTGAAATTTGAATTTCAGATGCACAATGCATAATCTTTTAGTGGAAGTTGTCCCATGAAATGCTGGAGACATATTTCTACTTTTTTAAAAAAAGGATGTGTTGTTTATGTAAAATTCAGACTCTAGTTGGCCATCCTGGATTTTATCTGGAAGCCGTATTTTGGTCCTGAGTCGTCAACAGGGTCAGTCCCTGCCCACAGGGATGTTCTAGTCCAGTAGGAGAGAGAAGGCATGGGAAGCTGAAAGCCACCTGTCCTGCCACTGTGGTTATGATACTGTATGTTGTCAGGCATAGAACAATTGCTGGATGACTGCATGATGGTAGGGTCCTCACCTGGTATTTAGTGGGGGCTGGGTGGGAGTTCTCAGGTTCTCTGTGCATGCGATACAACCCAGAGAAGTGGGGGAGACCAGAATGGGTCCCTCTGCCATTTGACCCACATTGGGCTCCTCCCCGACTCCCGCCAGCACCAAACAGCAAACTTCTAGAGCAAACAAGGGAGATGGCTGGTGCACCAACTCCCCTCACCAGAGAACCTTTACCTGTCCACAGCTCCATTTCTTGGTTACCTTAAAGGATGAGCCAAGATGGTGAAGATGAATTGGGTTGGGAGAGAACCTTAAGCACTCCTGGAAAACTCCCTAAGTAAACACACAGGTTATTTTTTCACCAGGGAACATTAAACATCTTGTGTCAGATCTAAATGTCTTCTAACGATTTCTGGCCTGGAGTCTTAGTTTGACTGAGGCATGGACACACAGTCATATTTACCTCTAAAGAACTCTCCTGACCCCTCTCCCCCTCTCTAAAGAACTCTCCTGACCCCTCTCCCCCTCTCTAAAGCTCTCTGCCTTCTTCCCTCAGTTCCTGCTGGGGGGATTATCTGTGGATCTGAAACCTCAGCCTCAGCCTCCCCAACTTTATCCTGGGTCCCTAAGAGTGACATTGGGACAGGAGAGTTAGGACAAGCCGCAAATTGGCAAGCCTGCACTTGGACAAAATCAAATCTTCTTTCTTCTCCAAATAAGCGTATTCTCTGGCTCTGTGTTCTGGTGGCTGCTCCTCTGAGAAGGTGACTGCTGGGCAGAGGAAATCCTACTGAAGGTTGTTATTCTTGGACACAAGTGTCTACTTCCTGCAGCCACCACACCCCCAACTCCCTCCTCCTGCTCCTCTCTTCCCTTTGCAGTAAATGATAACAGTTAACATTGATTGAGCTTACTATGTGCCAAGCACTTTAGGGGAATTATCTCATTAAATCCTCACATCTGGTGAGGTGGGGAATGTCATTGTCCCTCTCTCACAGGTGGCAATATGGAGGCCTTGAGTAACCTGCCCAAGGTCAAACAGCCAGTCAATGAGGAAAGAAGGATTTAGAGCTAGCATCATCCGCCTCTCAGGGTCCGTCCTGCTCCCAATTTCCAGGGTCCTGTGAGTCCTTCAGAGGCCAGCTCAGGCCCCATCCCCTCCCTGAGGTTGTTCTAGATTATTCCAGCCTTTACCAGGGCCTGCTCTGCTGAATTATTGATGTATTCACTGTTTACTGCCCCCCACCCCCGCCCACTACTCATTGTCAATCAATTGCACATTCCAACACCCATATATGCATATGGGCCTGGATTCTCCAACTAGACAGAGCCTGGAGCTCCTGAAAGGAAAACAGTGTGTCTTGGTGTCCTCTGCACTCCCTCAGCTCCTGCACAGTTCTTAAATAGAAACCTCAGAATCCAATGCCTTGTGTCTGTATAGAACTGTGTGTGTGTGTGTGTGTGTGTGTGTGTGTGTGTGTGTGAGAGAGAGAGAGAGAGAGAGAGAGACTGGGGCTTTCAGGCAGAGAAGCCAGTTCCTGCTCTGCAAGCCGTTAACATCACCCACAAACCCAGGGCCCAGGGCTGCCCCCAGGAGCCCCAGCATTTAGGAGACTCATCCCTCTCATCCCAGAGGCTGTTCCCTCTCTCCCCACCATGGGCAGAGCAGACATGTGCACGCTCAGCTGCTCTGGGGTCCTGCTGCCCCCTGGCTCTCCACCTGATCCATTGGTGAGAATTTCAGGAGACTCCAGGTAATTATGTAGTAATTGAATTTGGGGAAACAGACCCTAAGGATAATCCTGGAGTAAGTTCCAGAGGCTCATGGTTGAATTTCTGTATTTAGCCTAGTGGTACCTGTTATACATTTTTTTCTTTTCTTTATTTTTTTTTTTGAGACGGAGTTTCGCTCTTGTTGCCCAGGCTGGAGTGCAATGGCGCAATCTCGGCTCACCACAACCTCCACCTCCCGGGTTCGAGTGATTCTCCTGCCTCAGCCTCCCGAGTAGCTAGGATTACAGGTGCCCACCACCATGCCCTGCTAATTTTTGTATTTTTAGTAGATATGGGGTTTTGCCATGTTGGTTAGACTGGTCTCGAGCTCCTGAGCTCAAGTGATTCACCTGCCTCAGCCCCCCAAATTCGTGGGATTCCAGGCATGAGCCATCATGCCCAGACACATGTTACACGTTTCTAACAGCATGGCAACCACTTTACCCTTACGTAGGCAGCTTTAACACGCAACTCAGGGTGGCAGAGATGTGGGTGTGCATGTGACCCCCCCCCCACACACACACAGCAACACACAGAGGACAAAGCACACTTTTATTTTTGGATCTGGTCTTCGTGTGAACTGTTTGGATAAGGCCTGACACATAAGAGCTTACTAACTGTTGGCTGGGATTATTTCTCTTAACCAGAAAACTTGATTACCTACAAGTTTTCAAATCTAGTTTGGGGCAGAGGGCTGACATTAACAAGAGATATCCAAGATGCACGTGTGTGCATGCATGTGTGTGTGTGCATGCGTGTGTGCGTGTGTGTGCATGTGTGTGCGTGTGTGCATGCATGTGTGTGCGTGTGCGTGTCTGTGTGCATGCATGTGCGTGCACACGTGTGCGCGCGTGTGTGCATGTATGCATGCATGTGTGCATGTGTGTGCGTGTGTGTGCATGCATGTGTGTGCATACATGTGTGTGCATGCATGTGTGTGCATACATGTGTGTGCATACATGTGTGTGCACGTGTGTGTACACGTGTGTGTGCACGTGTGTATGCACGTAGGGCTGGAGATCTGCAGCGATGCAACCTATCCTGGCAGGAACGCCTCTCTTTGGCTGCCCGAGTGAAGGACCCTTTCAAACGCAGCCTGGAGTTTAATATTGCCAACAACTGGCCCTGAATCCTTTCAACCTGAGCCAGGTGTAATGTAAACCCCTCTGGATTTCCTCCCTTTCCTGTTTCATCTGAGAAATTCTTTGCTAATTCCATGGTATCTGGTTTCTCATTGTTTCCCCCTGCGTTAGACAGCCTCTTGGGGTGGGCTTTGGGAAGATGTGTGGAATGCACTCAGCCCTCCGAAATGACACGGCTCTACGCTCATTCCCACTGCCACCCTCCGGAACCTCCTAAGAGACTGTGCTGGCTGTCAGGGCCACGTGAGTCTTAGTACCCTGGGGAAAGGGGCGAATACCTGTTACACTGTCAGAGAACAGTCTCCAGTGGTCACCACACTTTCGTAAACCAGTGTCCAAATTAGGAACAGGACAATTAATGTCAAGCTCCTTTGGAATATGACACTGAGATGAATGTCACAAAAATAATAGTGTACTATCCATTCTTTGTTAGGATACTTGCTGTTTGGGGTTGAGGACAAGGAAAAAGACAAGCCAGGTAGAGGAAGGCTGGGCCAGTGCAGCAGGACCATCTCCTCCTCTGAGCCTCCAGAGGAGCTGGGAGTACAAAATCCTGTGCATGGCAGGGGGTGGGGAGTGGAGAGATTGCCGAGCAGAATCCCTTCTAGGAAGAGCGGAAGTGAGCATCATGATAGCCGTTTCCTGCCTTGTTTATGGCGCACTCCGACTCTCCCACCAGCGCCGAGGTGGAAAGAGGAAGTGCCCAGCAGGGCGAGGGAGACTTGGGGCTGGCTGTGTTCCTCTCAACCTTCCATGCATCTTCCCACCGTCTCCTCTCCTGGCATTGAAAATTATTTATGTTTGCAAATTGCTTTTGACTCACATGAGTTATTCCTCTTGCCTGCCAACAAGTCTGGGGAGAGAAGAGAGTTATCGAGCCTGCGAGCTGAGAAATCCAGGGAAGACGAATGCTGGAGCACCGAAGTCAAAGTCATCAGCCTTGGGATTCAGTCCCTGCTCTGCTGCTGCTATGGCCATTGCGTCCCCTTTCTGGACCTTGGGTTTTTCATCTGCAAAAGGAGAGGGTTGGGTGGAGTGTGAGCTCTCCAGGCCCTTGGTTCTGACATCCCCTGAGCTGTGTCACCTGAAGAGGCAAAGAAAAGGTAGGCCAACCTCTGAGCTGCTCCCTAACCTGCAGCTGGCGAGCCCTGAGACTGCTGAGGGCCTGAGGCTGGAGACGGTGCTAAGCAGCCCCTGGCCCAGCAGGAAGAACTAGACAGGGTGGCCAGGAGTGTTTCTCCCCTTTGTCTTTTGCATCACTCTGGTCCTTAGTGATGTCTTGTTCCATAGACTAAGATGAAAACAAATGTTTGCAGAGGAACCAGAAGGGCGGAAGTCCCAGGGGTTGGTCCAGGAGGGAAACACACACAAACATACCAAATCATCATCATAACCAAGACCAGGGACGGCGCAGGGTCAGCTCCACGGGGAGTGTAAGTCATCTGCCCCTCCCAGAGGAAAGGGTTGGCCCATTGATGGTGGAGTGATAGCTCCTGGAAGCTCAGAACAGAGAGGGACCAGGGGGTTTCTATTCCAAGCCCTTTGTTCTACAATGGGGAAAGTGAGGCCCCAAAGACAAAAGTCAACATCAAGGTGAATGATTGACATCATCACCTTGGCAATGATGATGTCATTGCCAAGACATCATCGTTGGGCAAGAGAGACCATTCTTTGCCCACAAGTGGATATCTGAGTTCCAGTCAGGAACAGTGTTTACCTGTCTACCAGCTATAAAATTAGGTATAGTAATAGGAATGATGATAACATAATTCAAAGTTCAATGCCGAAGCAGTGAGTGAGTGGTCAAGTGTGGCTGTTAGAGGGCCGTGGTCTGGCTTCCATTCTCCAGACTGTGGTTTGGGGCCTAACCCAGAAAGATGTGAGGGTCTGGTCTTCCTCCAATCCGGTGACCACCAAGTGGAGAGGAAGGCTGCTGTGGGCCCCGTCCTTCAAAGGGTGAGAAACCTGCTAACCTCAGAGCTGGGAGTTGACTCTGCCTTGGCAGGCAGACAGACAGTATTTGCTCAGCTGTAGCCAAACCACAGCGAACCTCAGCCCTAGGTCCACAGGGGAGTAGGGGTCTGTGTGCCCTCCTGTGCAAGAGGACCTATGGGTGGGCAGAAGGCAGTTAGATGGCAGGGAGAGGAGCTTTCCTATGGAATGCTTGGTCCTGAAGCCAGCCCTTTCTCCTGGGCCTGGAGATGAGTTCCTGGATGAGTCTCGCCTAGGGTAGAGTATGAGGCCTCCAAGGTCCAGCTCCGCAGAGGGAACTCTCCTCACTTCCATTTTAATCCTCTTAGGAAAGAAGTGAGAACCAGAGGGTGCACCTTGCAGTCTTTAGCTGTAGGTTAACCTGGTGGTTGATCCATGTGGCACTTGCAGTCATGGACATTTCAGTGTTTTGGAGAGAGAATAAGAAAGGGATGAGACAGGGATAAAATCAAGGGAGAAGGCGGCAGCAGGGAGAGAGGAAACCAAGAGAAGAGCAGAGATAAAGACAGAGACAGAAACAGAGGTCAGGAAGCCAAAGGGTCGGGGACCAAACACCAGAGAAACATCATAACAGAAACAGACAGAAGCAGGCGAGGAGCACCCAGGATGACCGGGGTGCCCAGGACAACGACGAGGAAGACACAAAGGCCCAGAGGAGGCGGGAAATGGTGCGAATCAAAAACACCGCACTGGGCAGCCATAAAAAAGAACGACGTGGGCCAGGTGCGGCGGCTCACGCCTGTAATCCCCATACTTTGGGAGGCTGAGGCGGGAGGATCACCTGAGACCAGGAGTTCGAAATCAGCCTGGCCAACATGATGAAACCCCATCTCTACTAAAATTACAAAATTAGGCCAGGCGCGGTGGCTCACGCCTGTAATCCCAGCACTCTGGGAGGCCGAGGCGGGCGATCACGAGGTCAGGAGATCGAGACCATCCTGGCTAACACGGTGAAACCCCATCTCTACTAAAAATACAAAAAATGAGCCTGGTGTGGTGGCGGGTGCCTGTAGTCCCAGCTACTTGGGAGGCTGGGGCAGGACAATGGTGTGAACCCGGGAGGCGGAGCTTGCAGTGAGCCGAGATGGCGCCACTGAACTCCAGCCTGGGCGACACAGCGAGACTCCATCTCACAAAAAAAAAAAAAAAAAATTACAAAAATTAGCCAGGCGTGTTGGTGTGCACCTGTAGTCACAGCTTTTCAGGAGGCCGAGGCACGAGAATCACCTGAATCCTGGAGACAGAGGTTGCAGTGAGCCAAGATTGTGCCACTGTGCTCTAGCCTGGGTGACAGATTGAAACTCCATCTAAAAAAAAAAAAAGAAAGAAAGAGATCACGTCCTTTGCAGGGACATGGATGGAGCTGGAGGCCATTGTCCTCAGCAAACTAACGCAGGAACAGAAAACCAAACACCACATGTTCTTACTTATAAGTGGGAGTTAAATGATGAGAACACATGGACACATAGAAAGGAACAACACACACGGAAGTCTTTTGGAGGGTGGAGGGTGGGAGGAAGGAGAGGATCAAGAAAAACAGCTAATGGGTACTAGGTTTAATACCTGGGTGAGGCTGGGCACGGTGGCTGAAGCCTGTAATCCCAGCACTCTGGAAGGCTGAGGCGGGCGGATCACGAGGTCAGGAGATCGAGACCATCCTGGCTAACACGATGAAACCCTGTCTCTACTAAAAATACAAAAAATTAGCTGGGCATGGTGGCGTGCGCCTGTAGTCCCAGCTACACGAGAGGCTGAGGCAGGAGAATGGCGTGAACCCGGGAGGCAGAGCTTGCAGTGAGTGGAGATCGGGCCACTGCACTCCAGCCTGGGCAACAGAGCGAGACTCCGTCTCAAAAAAGAAAAAAAAAATACCTGGGTGATGAAATAATTTATGCCACAAACCTCCACGCCGCAAGTTTACCTACGTAACAAACCTGCACTTGTACCCCTGAACTTAAAATAAAAGTTAAAAAAAAATCACATTGGAAGGATCAAAGCCAGTGTTACCAATCATGGGCCAAACTGCCATCGTGGGCCTCCCAACACTGAGAAGCCGCACCCAGAAGTCCGTAGTGTCATTCCAGCGGTTTTCCCGCCAGAACGCAGCGCCCGAATCCAACCACGAAGAAATCCCAGATGCGTACTCTTCAGAAGCCAAGGTGAAAGAACACAGAGAGAGGCCAAGGTCCTGCCCAGCGCAAAGGAGACCAGAGGGAGAGGGCGCAGAATGAGCGCAGGATCCTTTGCTCTTGGAACAGAAAAGAGAAGTGAGTTATAAAGAGCATTATTGAGGAGACTGAGAAAACGGCATCTGGACTGTGGGTTAGACAACAGTATTGGATTGATGTTAAACATCCTGATTCTGGCCATTGCACTGTGGTTGTTGTGTAAGATCTTGTCCTTGATCTCAGGGAAAACACACTACCCCAAAGTATGCAGGCAGAAAGGGCACAAGGTCTCCAATGGACTCTCAAATGGTTCAGAAAAAAATATGTGGGAAGGCCGGACGCGGTGGCTCACACCTGTCATCCCAGCATATTGGGAGGCTGAGGCAGGCGGATCACCTGAGGTCAGGAGCTTGAGACCAGCCTGGCCAACATGGTGAAACCTCGTCTCTACTAAAAATACAAAAAATTAGCCGGGCGTGGTGGCCGGTGCCTATAATCCCAGCTACTTGGGAGGCTGAGGCAGGAGAATTGCTTGAACCCGGGAGGTGGTGGTTGCAATGAGCCGAGATCGCGCCTGGGTAACAAGAGGGAGACTCCATCTCAAAACAAACACAAACACACACACACACACACACACACACACACACACACACACACACACACAGAATAGAGAGAGCACCAATGACAAAGCAGATGGGCAAATGTCAACAACTGGTAAATCTAGATAAAAAATATAGGCAAGTTCCTTTACTCATCTTGCAGCTTCTCTGTAAGTTGGCCAAAAATGCTGAGCTGAGATTTAAAATAGGTTCTTCGGAGTGCCTCCTTGGGGCTGGGGATAGGCGCTGGCCCTGGAGCCTCACGGCAGGCCTGGGAAGGACCGCAAGTGCCTCCCTACCTGGGCCAAGCGGAGAGTCCCAAACTGCTGCGGCTGTGAATGGCCTGGGTGGGTCGTCTGCCTGCGCATGCATTTTCAGATCCTTCACCCCATGTCCTCAACACAAATGAACAGGATTCTGGGAGGGTGAGGACACTGGCACCAGGGCCCTGTACCAGGAGGCTCCTGGCCACCTCCAGCTCAGCCTGGCCCCTCCCACTGCACAGCTTAGCCCCACCTTTGGCCAACCACAATTCTTTGGCCAAGTGGGAAAGCAGGATGTGGCAGAAAGAGCAAGGATTAGGGGTTCAGGCAAGACCAGTCGTGGGTACCAGCTGCTCTGCATTTCCTAGCTCTGTGCCCTGGCACTGATGGCTCTGCCCCCAGACCTGCCCAAGGCCAGCTCATTGTTACCATTTAGTCCCCTAAATGCCACCTCTCAAGAGAAGCCGTCCCCAACCACCGGCCTAAAGTGGACTGCATCTCACTCCCCAGTTGTTCTTCTTAGAGCAGCTGTTCTTATCTGAAATTATTGATCTGTTGACTTGTCTCCTGCCCCCACTAGAATGTAAACACCGTGAGAGCAAGCCCTTGTCCCTCTTACCCATCACCCTGTTCTCAGCTCCTAGAACCGGTCAGCTGCTCCAGGGCTATTTGCTAAAGGAAGGGAGGAAGAAAGGAAAGGGAAAAATGATGTAGGAGGGAAGGAGAAGGAAGTGGAGAGAAGGGGAAGGGAGGAAAGAAGGAAGGGAAGTCCTTGAACCTCTCACCAGTAAAATGGAGGTGATCATTCCTGGGGCAGAAAGTTCACCTAGAGATGGTCTAAAGAGAGCCCTGGGTAGCGTGAGCCCAGAAGAAGCAGTAATCAAAAGCCAGCGTCCACATGATTGTCAAGTTCACCTCTGCCCTGGCCCAGGGCTGCTCACAGCCAGTACGTTCCTGCATGTGATCCAGTCATTAATCTGGATGCCCAGTCATTTTTATCTCATCTGGGGAAGGGTAGATTGGAAGGGGTGAATTATTTTGTCATGACGGGGCCAGCTCCTGGTGACAGCTTGGGTCCCAGAAACATTCAACCACACCTATAATGAGAAGATTCTAAAACTAAAGCACCCTCGGGGCCAGGCGAGGTGGCTCCTGCCTATAATCCTCACACTTCGGGAGGTCGAGGCGGGCAGATCCCCTGAGGTCAGGAGTTCGAGACCAGCCTGGACAACATGGTGAAACCCCATCTCTACTGAAATACAAAAATTATCCAGGCGTGGTGGTGCACAGCTGTGGTCCCAGCTACTCGGGAGGCTGAGGCACAAGAATCACTTGAACTCGGGAGGCGGAGGTTGCAGTGGGCTGAGATCGTGCCACTGCATTCCAGCCTGGGCAACAGTGAAACTCTGTCTCAAAAAGAAAGAAAGAAAGAAAAAAATCACCCTCGGCCCCCAGGTCACTCTCCTCATGCTGGGCTGGTGTTCCCCTCCTGACAGTGGACCATGCTAGAGAAGAACAACGCCTTCCTACTCTCTCACTTGCCTCCCTGTGATGGGAGAGAGGCAAAGTCAGTAGAAAATAGTCCACGTGGCCCGGCTGGCTGAGTAATGACTGAGCAAGTGAAGCCCTCTGGTAGTCTAGGTGAGTGTAGCTCACAATTTAGGTTGTCCCCTGGCACATATGACACTGTGGGAATGACAGACCCGCCCTAGGCCTTGCTAGAAGGCTGGCATTAGGCAGGACTGCAGCACCCAAGAAGTTTGCCAAGGGTGCTGAAGGCACTGTGGTCTCCCAAATGGGACTGGTCTCTTCCCCAATCCAATTAGGGCCCAAGGGTTCAATGAGGGCCTTTATGGAAACTGAAGCCCCAAAGAGACAGGAAGTAGCTCTCAAGATGGAGGTGGAAGCCTTCAGAACAGCATCCCTGGGAATTTGCATGCTGCTGTTGACGGCTGTCCAGCCTCCCTTACAGCATTGATGAAAGATCTAAATTCGTACCGTGCACTGCAGGGAACACACCACACAGGCCAATTTAGCTGGTCAAATCTTGGCAAGCCAGCAAGAAGGGACCATATTGACATTTAAAACATTTGAGGCGATCTCCTGGTTTGCTCCAGCCGCCTGCCGAGCTGGGCAGAGAAATGAAGTGTGCCTCCAACTCCAGACCAGCTGGGTCTCTTGCAGGCAAGCCATCTCTTTGTGTCATCCATGCCTTGTGAGGTGGGTGTGGGCATTGCCATGTTGAATGGACTGCTGACAAAGGAAGAGACCAACTTGTGACCTAGTGTCCCAAATTCCTGTCTTCAAGATAAGAGTGGGCAAACAGTCAGATCTATAAATAATGCTTTCCAGAGTGGCCCTTCCCGAAGCACCTCGCAGGCTCAGCAGGCTTGGGCCGCTTACCTCTCTCTGCTCCAAATGCAGAGCTGGCTAGCTCTCACCCGGAACCTTGGAAGCTCCCGATGGAAGAGCCCTCCTTTTCTTCTCTACCTCGCAGAGATGAGGGTCACAAAGCAAGGAACAAGGCGACTTTCCTCTGGAAGGCTCTCTTCCTTCTGCATGCCCTGCAGTGGCACAGCTGCCCAGAAATTAGCTTGGGTGGGAAAGATCCCTGGCTCTTGGGGGTTTTAAATCCCCAATGCACCCCCAGTTAAGGTGAAGAATGTGTCCAGAATTCCAGACCGAGGCCGTGTGCTCAGTAATGCCCCGAAGGGATCCTGGTCTTGTTGCCCTACTCTGTTGGCTTGTCTTACTCATCAGCTGGACCCAATGTCTCTCGCTGGTAGGGACTGTGTCTTTTTTACTATCACTCTCCAGCACAGCTTAGCACTGTTTCTGGAAGTCCTAGATAAATACTGATTGAATGAATGAGTTTTGTGTACAAGGTCTCAGTCACTGCTGCTGCCTAGAAAAGAGTAGAACTCCCAGGGGGCCATGACCACTCTTGGCTCTCTGGCCAGGCTCCTGGCACACGGCCCACTCAGGGACCATCCCAGGGTCCCCAGGGTCGGTGGTATTTCCCACCTGCCCATGGTAGTGGAAGGCAGAGGAAACATCTCTCTCTCTGTCTCTCTTTCTCTCTGCATGTTTAAACACTAGTTATTGGCTTTGGTCTCTGTCCTTTACTCTTCTCTGATTTATGAAATACAGGTTCCTTTTGTCATAGCTTGTGGGGTATTTTGTTCTGTCTCTCTGATGACTTTCATCATCAGCTTGAATTTAGGAGAGATGCCAGAAGCAACACCCACCCCTGGATATACACACCACCGACTAGTGTTCCCACGGCCTCTTAATGACAACAGCTCACAATTACAGATTGCTCACTGAGCCAGGTGCCGCGGAGGAACCCTTACATGCATTGTCTTTTCATCCGTGTGGTAAACTGAGGTTATAGATACTATTATTACCTCCATGAGGAAATGGGTGCCTTGGGAGGTCAAACACCTGGCCCAGGGTCACACAGCTACTGAGTGGTAGGGCCGGGGCTGAAATCCACGTGGCCTGGGCTTCTAACTGCAGTGCTGTGCAGCTGCCGTAGGGAGTCATCAGGTGCAAAGAGCGTGCTGGCCAGGATGCCTCCCCCATAGGAGCGGCAGCACAGCCACAGCCACCCCTGCATCAGAGGCATCAGCTGTGCACTGAGATAGGCCTATAAAGTGAACGGTTTCTTAGGACCATAGAGTCACCACAAGGAGCTTTGGAGAGACTCTGGGACACCACTTTCATTTTACAGGTGGACACCAGGAGACTGAGCCCCACGCTTTAGCTGATGAAGCATCTAAGACCACTAGGGAACAGCACTTCTTCCTGTGGCCTCCACTTGGGACCGATACTCAATGCAGACTGGGTGAGACAGTTCAGCTGGATATGGGATGGGATCTGCTCAGGCCCTGGTTCAGACCCAAACACCTTGGTTTGTTCCAGAACTGGGTCAACCCTGCAGGAGGCCTCCCAAGCTGAATATGGCTTCAGAGTAGCCTCCAAAACAGAGGCTGCTGGTAACCACATCTGCACTCCAGAACTGGCAACTCACCCGTCTTCACACCTGAGTGTCCTTGCAGCCTCCTCTGTCATGCAATCGCAAGCTGATGAGAGGATCTTCATTCACCATCTTCACTTCATGGTTGTTCTGTTTCTATAGCTATTCCATCAATACCCAAGTTCAAGACACAACCTCATGGGCTGAGCTGCTAGCCCTACACATCCTAAGCCAGAAGCCCAGGGTGGTTAGACAGCTTCCATCTGACCTTTCCTCCACCTCAGCCCCAGGTTAACCTCTGTGAATGTTCTCAGTGGCACCCAACACTTCCCCTTCTTGGCACTTCCCAAGGTTGTAAATTACATGTGTGTGGCATTTTGATCAGTCTCCTTTCGCCCCACGCTGTAAGCTCCACGAGGGCAGAAGCTAGGTCTGTTTTATTCATAAAAATATCCTAACTCTGAGCACTGGGCTGGACCAGCACAGAGAAGTAGTTAGGAGGCTAGATGGCTGGATGGCTGGATACTGAGAGACAGTGGAAAATTGTCTAGGATGCCAGATGGCCAGAATGGCACGGTTCTCTGAAGATGAGCAATGTCTCATTGTGCAGAACCGTGAGGCCAAAAGTGGCCGGGGTCACTGCTCTAATTCTTCCCCACCTTCCTGCTCCACCTGCAGTCTCTCCAGGCTCTGGAGGGCTCCCACTAAAACTGTCCCAGAGGGCTTTCCATCCCTTCAGTTACTATCAGCTCCCAGTGGCTGGTGACTGAGGCTAAGTTCTTTCTTCTTTCTGGTCGTTGGTATTTTGTCCCCTTCTTTCTTCCGCTGCTGCCCTAGGAAGGTGTCTGGGCTATCCCAGTAACTGGGGGAGGTTTTGTGAGCTGCTTCTAGTAAGGGATCTCGGCTATCCCAGTACCGAGGGAAGCTGCGTGCACAGGCAGAAGGAGCTCACTTTTACTCTCTGCCCAGAAACCCAATCCCAGGTTGATGTCTCTTGTCTTATCTTGAGATCTCCAAGAAGAAGAGGAGGTGGATGGGGCACAGTTGCCCACTCTCAGAGGCACTGGTTTCCCTTCTGCTGCTACCTCCAGGCTGGTGATGCATGGGACCTTCTCGGCACCTTTTTCATACCAGCCTGGGTGCAGGACCTAGAACAGTGCCAGGAATTGAGGAACATTTGGAGCATGAAATGAAGTTTTCCATAATCAGGATGGCAACGGGGACTGTGGGACATGACCACCGACATGGAAACCAAAGGGCCTCCTTCCCACCGCTTTTGTAATGTGGCACCTACCAAGCACCAGGCAGTTGGTGTTATTTCAGAGTTCTCACCATGGCCCCATAGTGCAGACAAGGAAATGGAGGCCTGGAGGAATGAAGGCCAGAACTGGGATTCAAACCCAGGCATGGGCCATACATCCATTTGGTTCCTTCCCTGAAAATTCGGCATCTGGGAGGTAGAGGACCTAGATGTCATTCAGGTCAACCTCCCACCTAAGCAGGAATTCCCTCCCAGAAGGGCTCCCCTGCCTATGGGGTGACCCCCAGCCCTCACTCTGCGGGGGCACGTTAAACGGGGCCTGTACCAGCTCTGGGCTCCTACTCAACTCCCCTCAACACCTGCAGAAAGGAGACCAGCTCTGCCCCGCATGGGGTAAAAAGCAGTGTCTTTTCTTGTTTTTCTCACTATCCTGGCACCCCCACCTGCTTTTAAAAACCTTTCAACCTGGCCTAGAAGGAATAAGCAAGCCATTAGACCCCTTGTGCGGAGGCAGATGCGCCTCCCCCCTGCCTCCCCACCGCAGTACCTCCTCCGCAAGGTTCCTCCGCAAGGTACCTCCGCAGTACCTTGTGCGGAGACAGTACCTCCTCCTCTCCGCAGGTTAACTACGGGGAAGAAGAACCGTAAAGGAGTAGGGATGGATCGGAAGCTCAAACCAGGAGGAGTGGGCTGGTCTGGGAGGACTCCCAGCACAGCACCGACACTGCCAGTGGGTGCTGACGGCTCCACTCTCCTCTCCCAAAAAAGCGAGATGGGGTGAGAAGGGGCGGGGTTCCGGGGGGGAGCGCACCCCGCGCACCTTGGCCCTGCTGACTCCGCAAAGCCGGCCCCACGTGTCCCAGCCGGGCACCAGGAGTCGCAGGGGCCGCCTGACCGAGCCCTGAGAGCGGCGCCCCTCCAGCGGCCGCGCCTGCCAGCCCTCCCGCGACCCTCGGCCGGGCCCCGCGCCACCGGCCATTTTCTCCCCTCGGCTCGGCGGCCGCCAAAGCGCAGACCCGCACAGGGGCCGAGACGGCAGCCCGGCGGCCACGCACGAGCCTGTGCCATCCCAGAGCCGTCACCACGTGGCGGGTGGCACCCGGGCACTGGACCCTGCCCTCCAGGTGGTTCTCATGGACAAGGCGGCTGGCTGGACGTGGGGGCGCAGTCGCTTTCTTGCAGCGACCAGGTGAATTGCCCTTGACGCCTTGGAAACCCGTGCGCGGGTGGCTGCGGGGGAACGTGCCTACCCGCCCACCGCAGTCGGGCAGCTGAAGCCGGGCGCCGATGCCAGCTGTTCCCCTCCTGTCCCGCCCGCGGTCCCCTCGAGGCCGGCCTGGGGCTCCCCGGGCGCTGTTCTGGGACCTCGAGCAGTCGCCCCTGCGGGCCTGGCCGCCTTTTCCGCGGCCCGCCATTCGATTCCGGGCTCAGCTCGGTGGCACAGCCCGGCTGTAAGCAACCCCAGGGCGGCACGGGGCCGGGTGCAGAAGGCGGCTCTGCGCCAGGTCGGCAGGGGACAGGCGACCCCGGCCCTGGAGCGGAGCATCCGACCGTCCGTTTCGCAATGTGGGGACACGGGGCGGGGAGCGGCCTGGAGGCCCCGGGCGCGCGGGCGGGAGCGTCGCTTGGACGCCGGCCTTCTGGGCAGAGCCATTCATCGCAGGGCGGCCGAGGCGGCGGCCGAGCCTGGCTCACCGCACCATGGAAGCTGGCCGGCCGCCGCCCGGGGAGGCTTGGGAAATGGGCGAAGTGGTCAGACTGGTTTCCGGAGCCGGGCTCGGAATCCACGCGGACTGGCAGACGTTGGTGGGGGAGGACCGAACCCCGAGGGTGGCGGTGGAGGGTCCTTTCCCGACCCTAGCAGGCGACCCCGCAGAGTGGAGGCGGGGGGACGGCAGGCATCCGGTCGGGGAAACCCCGTTTTCAGGTGTGGACCAGCAGACTGGCCGCTCCCCACCCCCATCCCCCAGGTGCCCGCGCCCCTCCCGCCGCCGCCGGGCTCCCCGAGGTTGGCCAAGTGTACTTGGAGGAGTGAGCTCCCGACCCACCAGTGAGCCTGGGCTTTGATCTCCGCATCTGAAAGAAATGGGGGTGGGGTGAAGAGGCAGCTCTGCCACAAGCCTTAGGAATGGCCTTACCCCATCACGTCCCCCTCCCAATCTCAGTTTCCTCATCTCCCACTGTCTCTTCCGGCCGGACGCTCCTGGGAGTCTAGGTAGACTGGGGCACGAGGACTCCTAGGGTCGGTCTCAGGAGGAGGAAGGCGGCAGAGCTGGTGGCCACGTGCTCCCCTGGGGGTCGAGCTGTCCCCAGGAAATACGATCGGTTGTTGTGGACAGGACCTTGGATGCTCCCATCCCAATGCCAGGCCTGAGGACTTGGAGACAGGAAAATGGAATCATTGGGGAGCAAATTTCCTATCAAGGAGTGGCATGCTTGATAACATAGGCTGCTAGGCACCGGGTTCTCGGTGTTTCTGGGCTGAGGAAGAGGTGCCTCACTCCCCACACAGCAGCCCAGGGCCTAGGTCCCGAGTTCCTGTGTAGGAGCGTCGAGGGAAAGGACCGAGAGGGCTGGGGGATTGAGGCGATAGTGCTCCCATCTGAGAGAATGGAGTGCCCAATTTTCCCGGTTTCAGCAGCTGCTGGGCGGGGGGGCGGGGGGGGGTCTCGAGAGCCGCCCACGCTGCCGTCTTTCTTGCGGTTCTTCCGTGGGAAAATTGGCGCGTGGGGCTGGCCCTAGGAGGGGGCGATGGGGGCTCTAGGGCTAGTGACCCCCCCAACCCCATCAGAAGAGAGAAGGAACCCAGAGCTAGAAAAAGTCCCCAGCCCTCATCTGTGCCGCGCCTGTGGGAACCCCTACTCCTTCCAGCAACCAGGGTGGGCTGGTGCTGGGGCTTGGGCGCGGGTCCAGTCTGGCGATCGGGAGTGGAAGGGGGGGTCCCGGCCGGCCCTCTGGGGCTGGGTGAGTGGTCGCCGCATGCAGAGCCCCCCTTGGGGCGAGGGGGGGCGCGCCGGCCCCCGGGAGGGGCGGGGCGAGGGTGCGGGCCTCGGGGGCCCCCAGGCCGCGCAGCCCGGGTGGGCTGCAGGGGCCCCCGCCGGCCCGGGGCGGGCTTTGTCTGCGGCAGCTCCGCTTTGGGAAGGCGCCAGCCGGGGTACAAGATGGCGGGGAAAGGGTGGGATCGCAGGCGCTCGCCACGCGGAGCGGCCCCGCTCTGCCTGCAATGCAGCAGGGGGAGGGGCGGGGGCACCGGCGACAGCGCCCGCCCGCCCCCCTCCGGCCGCCGGGCGCCCCCCCGCCGGTGACCCCGCGCCCGCCGCCCCCGCCGCCTCTGTCTGGCGGCTGCAGCCTCCGCCTCACTCCGCAGAGCCCCGGCCGCGGCAGCTGCAGAAAATGGCTGCCAAAGCGGCGCCAGTCGCCACGCTGCCCCGGCGGGGGCGGGCGCCGCAGCCCCCAGCCCCGCTCTCGGTGCCCGCCCGGGGACGCTCGGCCGGGCGCAGGGACCCTCCCGGGGGAGCGGGCGGGGGCGGCCGCGGGGCGAGCGGGGGAGGGGCGGTTACCTGCGGGCAGAGGGGGCACGGGGTGGGGGCGGCCGGGGACTGCGCAGGAAGGGCGCGCTCGGTCTGTCCCCACCCCCACCCCGGTGCCCGGTGCCCTCGCGAGGTCGCGGCGCTCCGGTGGGGAAATGTTAATGGGGTGTTGACCTCGGTGACCGTGTGTCGCTCCCACCCATTTAGAAATCAGTCTCCCCCACACCCTCTGGCGTTGGAGCTGGGCGGGCTAGCCCCGATGCTCCCCGCAGAAAAATTAAAAAAATAACAAATAACAAAGCTGTGTGCGTGCTGACTACAGACGAGCCAAGCCCGGAACTCCGCGGAGAAGATCCGGGTGGATCCTCGGGCGCCATAAACCGCAGCCACCACCGTAGCTCAGCAGGTGCCGAGCGCCCACCCTCCTCTCGGCGGGGAGCCGCTCTGCGACCCCCTCCTCGGCCCCGCCGAGAGCCATCCGCGCCGAAGAGGCGCCGGCGGCCACCCCGCCGCTCCCCAGCACCCGGGCCCGAGCACCCTTCTCCGGGCGCCAAGGGGAGCTCAGGGTGAACTGGACACCCGGCCTGGGGCATGGGCTCAGGGCAGGGCCCGGGGGCGCACCAGGGCAGGGGACGAAATCGCCCCAGGAGCTCCAGGACTGAGACTGCTGAGAAATAAACGAAAAGTGCGCACAGAGGACTGGTGGGTGGGGTTGGACTCCGGAGTTGGGACCCCTTGGCACAGCCGCGTGGGTTCGTACCCCCACTTCCCCAACCCAAAGGAACCCAGGCCCCAGCGGGCCGGGCCGGCCGGGGAGAGGTGTGCCTGTAGACTTGGTGCTTTATTTTTCCCTTTCTGCAAGTTTCTCTCTCATCCCTCTCCGCCAGCTGCGTTCTCGACTCTTCTGATTTCACCACCAGCGCCTGGAAAATTCAAATTCAGTGTATAAGAGGGCAGGGGCCAGGGACCAGGAGCCAACAGGTCAGGAAAAGGGGTTTCCAGATTCGGGAGCGCTTCTGCTCCTGGGGTTTAAGAACAGAGAAGAAAAGGCGCATTTGAGACACGTCCCTGTGCAGAGAGAAGTCGGGGGACATCCGGGGGTCCGCATTCCCCCTCCCCCACCTGGGCGGAGGAATCCATGTACCTAAGCACGCAGAAACTTGAAGATGGGGATCTATTATAAATGACCTGGCTAAATGGGCGTGGGGAGAGCGGGTCAGGGATGGTGTACTTCGGGGGCACCAAGAGGCAGCACCCGGGTATCCATGGATTTTCCAGGACCTGAAGAGGTCTCAATGGCAGAGGTCCGGCGCTGGGCGAAAACCCAGGCAAACTCTCCGCCCCAAGGGCACTCCCCAGTCCCTAGTCTGGAGGGAAACAGCTTTCTTCTGGGCAAAACACCGCGGCAGCGAATCTCAGCTAAGGTCAGGGAGGGATACATGCTGGCACCAAGGGCTGCCGCCGCCGCAGCGCTTCCTTCCGCAGAAACAGCAAGGAGGAGGCGGCCGAAGCTAACTCGATCCAGCAGGCAGCGCCCTCCCCAATCTAGCACCCTCGTTCCCTGGCAGTGCCCGCTTCCACCACCTTCCTCTGGTAGGGACCAGGTTAGGGAATTTGAGATTTTGAAGAGAAGGAGGACGAGGGTAAGGGAGGATGCCCAAGACGGGCGGAGGTCGCGCTGGTCATCGCGCCCTGGTCCCCATCCCCCACTCTAGCTGGCCCTCCCACGCGACCCCCACCTGCGCGGTGTTCCAGGCGCAGGCTGCCCAGCAGGGGGCATCGCCGGGCGCCTCCCGCAGGCGGCAGCCCTAGAGGCGAGCTCGGTCACAGGCACAGTCCCTAAGGGCACTAGGGTGTCCATTGTCTTAGCGGTTCCCTTTGGGTGAACTCAGGACAGGAGTGGGTCCCCGAGAGGATGGCTCTGGCCCCCACGGCGTCGCCAGAACACGCGCGCCGGAACCGTGACAGCCCCAGAGGGGTCAGCCGGACACCTGTGCATGCGTGCGCGTGCGCGCGCCTCGGCGGGTTGGGGAGGGGGCGAGGGGCGCCCCCGAATCCGCAGTGCCCTTTCTGCCTGAGTTTGAGGCGATCGAGAGCCTTATCCCCAGAGGAATAGCTACGCCTTCTCTCTTCGCCCGCTCCCATCCCGCGGGTGGGCCCGGCGCTGGGCACCTGACCAACAACCCGCAGCCACCGCTCCACTGCATTCTGCCTGGAAACCCCAGAGTGGTTCTCCTAGTGCATTTTTCTCCCCGCACGCAGGGGTTTTTTTTTCCTCAACAATTGGCAGGTTTTTAAAGTAACCTTTAAATGAGACATCGATTTACCATTATTATGATTGCATTCAGAAATCCAGCCCGAAGGGACACCCTGGGAGATGCTAATTTGGAGGTATCTAGGGCTGTTTATGATTTAGCACTTCCCTAGCCTCGGAAGCACATTTCTTTTGCAGCTAATTGCTCTGATTATCTAGGGGGGAGGTGGCGGAGGGGGGTGGGGGGGGGCGGTCTCGGACTGTTCCCAGAGCCCCGTGCGTGCACGCAGTGAACCTGATGCTGCAGCGGCTACTGCGGCAGCGACACACTCTCACACACACACACACACACGCACACACACACACACGCACAGACACACACGCACACAAGCTCCCCTCCCGCATCCGGGCCTTCCCGCTCCTCCGCCGTTGCTCGCCGGGTTTGGGGAGGGGGTGCGTGGGGTGGGAGTGGGAGCGTGCGCGGAGCGGGAGAGGACAGGCCAAGCGGCCACGGGAGAAGAATGACAACGAGGCAAAGGGAGGAGGAAGGCCGCGGGAAGAAAAATTGGGGAGAGGGTACAGGCAAAAAGGGGGGTTAAGCAACGAAGGGGGTGCGGAGGCGAGGAGCGGAGATACCCGGGGAGAAAGAAAGGGAGGGGGCGGGGAGCGGGCGGGGGCGGCTGGCTGGTTTCCACTCGTGAGAGCCGGTTGCCGAGAGACGCGCGGGCCAATGAGCGCGCACCAGCTCAGCCCGGCGCCCGCCGCGTGCCCTTATATGGTGCGGCCGCTCGGCGGGCGCTCGCGCACATCGCCATATAAGGGCAGGAACCTAAATACAGGCTATACCTTGTTCTCCGCTCGCCCGGCCGCGGCCCCGGCGATCGATGAGCGCGCCGCCGAGCGGGCTGCGGCGCGCGGGCCCCGGGAGCCGGCGGGGAGGGGGCCGCGGCGGCCGTTCAGCCCGGGCCAGATGTGGCCGGCGCAATGGCTGCCCGGCCAGCTGCAGCGCTCGGAAGGTGCCACTCGCCGCCGCCGCGCTCCCCATCCTTTCCCTCTCCCCCTGCCCCCCCATTTGGAGGTGCAAATGCAGATGAACCGGGATTGAAATCTAATTGCTTTTGTTTAAAAAAATGTGAGCCAGTCCGTGTTGAGTTTGAGCAGACGCCTGGGATCCCGGCAAACCAAGCAGAACGCCTGGGGGAGAGAAGGGGAAAAGCCCTAGGGTCTGGGCGGGGGGCGGGGGCCGGGGGGAGGCGCCGGTAGAGTGCTGCGTGGAGCCTCAGCGCCAGGAGGCCGGGAACAGTGGCCACGAGGACCCACTGGCTCTGTGCCCTGGAGGCGCGGGCGGCCTGGAGCCAGCCAGGTGGTGGAAGGGAGAGGTGAGAGGTGTCGCTGTCACACCTTTCTTCTCTGTCGCTGTGCCAGCCCTGCTCCTGACGGCAGGCTGCAAGAGGCTGGGGGGATAGGGGACAGGCCCCCCAGCTCGGAAGATTGAAGCCATCAGGGCCGGATCTGGGCAAGGAAGGAGTCATCTCAGGGATTCTCTGCCAGAGGGGCGGTGGGTCCTGGGTGAAGCCTCCTGAGATCCTGGTCTCCTTGGTCAGATTGACGCCTGCCTGTGCTGGTGACCTCAGTGTCCGTCTCGAACAGGACGCCCCACTTGCTTTCCCTCTCCCCACTTCTGGCTGGTCTGTTTGCCCACGGAAGAGGAGTCTGAGCTGCCCCTGCAAGGGTCTGGACGGTGAAAGTGGCCCCAGGATGTCCAGGGAGTGTGGAGGGGCCTCTCTGGCTAGGACACGTGGTGCACTGACCCAGTTCTCTCACGCAGCCTGGTGGCAAGGCGACTTGGTGCAGGTGTATGCTGTTGTAGACCTAGTGGTAGCCCGCCTAGCACCCCCACCAGGTGCACAGTGAGGCCTTTACCTCCCACGGGTGGCAGAAGGCAGGAGAGACCCCCGACACCCACAGGCCCCAAGGCCTCACCGGTGGATGGCACGGAAGAAGCTTATGCACCTGGAGCAGTGGCCCCTAATATGGAGAGGACTGTCCCTCAGCACATACCCATCGCCCCTCAGGTGTCCTTCTCCGCGCAGTTTAGACTGTGATTGTGTCAACCTTGCCTCGGCTCGCCAGTGCCTGGAGATGCTGACAAGAGAGCCTCTTTCTCCAAGGAGGCCATTTCCAGTAGCATGATGCCACCTATAGAATGTACCTGGAATTAGTCTGAGCTGCAGCCTTGCTGCCAGCAGTGTGGGGCTGGAGGGAGGAGCACACCTTAGATTGTTCCTCGCCAGAGTTGAGCCTGGAATGGTAGCCTAGTCACACAGGCCTTCCCCTGGAGTCCTCCTCTTGCCACCCTGTGTCTCCTAGTAGGTATTTGGTAGCTCTGGGCCTGGCATCATTGGGAAAATGGTGGCCAGTACCCGGTGTATCTGGGACAGGAATCTGCCACTCCTACTAGGAGTCCCTAGCTTCTTGGGCAGGCACAAACTCCAGGGTTCTGTGTACTGCCCTGGGCATGTGCATCAGTGGTCAGCACTCAACAGTCAACAAGTATTTCCAAAAGGTTCAGGAAAACCCTCATATGCCTACACGAATGATCTCGAGGTGTCGAACATGGAGACCAGACTGGCGGCCCCAAGGCTGCCTGCTCCGAATGCTGGTTTTGCAGGGAGAAAGAGAGAGACTTGTCCAAGGTAACCCAGTTAGCCAGGGGCAGAGCAAGCCTGGATTTCATTCCCAATCCACTGTTTTATGCATTATGCAGGTGCATCTCAGCAGCAGCCCAGGCATGGGCTTCTGTGTCAATGTGGCTTGTCAATCCTGGAACCCAGGAGCCCTAGCATGGGGACTTGAAACTGACTACCATTGATCTCAGCCAGTCCTACTCCCTGAGCAGCTGGACAGAGGCTGGAAAAGCCAGTGGGTCTCTGGTCTCAGGCTGCTAAGCTCCTGGTCCCGCCAAAGGCTGGGATTGGCCATAGCCAGTGACATTGCCACAGGCTGCTCTTCATGCCAAGCTCCAAACCCTAGCGCAGCACAGCCATGCCCGGCTCCCCTAGGTGCCTGGTTCCACACCAGCAAGAGCTACCCTGAAGCTTCCCCTTAGGCTCCTCAACTCTTGGGTGACAGATTTAGGTTGAGCTCTGTCCTGTGACTTAACTTGGTCATTAACAAGTTACTTAACCCTCTGAGCCTGTGTCTTCATCTTTAAATGGAGCCTCCCTCTAAGGGTTGTGATGAGGAATAGAAGCAGAGTCCCGTAAACCTCCAGCACAAAGCCTGGCTCAGAGCAGCCCTCACTCAGCGGATGGTGGCTACATCTGTCCACTCCCAGCACTCTGGTACACCCTCTTGTGCCAGGCTAGATACCAATGGGATACAAACACCATAACACATCATGTCCATTTGAGCCACTGTAGAAACAGGTATTCCCAGCACTCCCTCGCAGATGCCGTGATGAGTGGTTGGTGGGTATCAGATCCAACCCCCTTCCTGCCCTTGCACACTTTCTTCCAGTCCTGCCTAGCTCCACCCTCTGCCCTGCCCTGCCCCCTGTGACAATCCAGGGCCCTGCAACCCTTCACACACCACTTCCCAGGGCATCCTTGGAACTGCCATGTAGACAGCCCCAGAAACTTTCCTTCCAGGGAAGGGGATGCGTGAACCCACAGAAGCTGCGGAAGAAACCGAGCCTAGGACTCCTTTCTCATCTTGGAAAAACAGCAAGTGTGTGTGTGTGTGTGTGTGTGTGTGTGTGTGTAGTATGGAGTCCTGCTTTCCTGGGATCCTGTGGGTCCATTACAGATGCCTGTCATAGCAACAAAATGGGAAAGAACTGGCCCATTCTGCAGGTGGGACCACTGATTTCCAGGAGAGAGACCTGATCTTGTGGTGCAAGCACGTGAGGCACTTCCCCAGATTCCACTGGCCACTAGTCCCACGATTTGAAGGGACGGGCAGTCAGTGTTGAGAGAGGCAGCTGGTGAGGCACCTGGGTTAGACTGCAGGTGCCGAAGGACCCAACAGGAGCTGTGGGAGAAAGTGACTCAGTCTTGCCCTGTCTTGCCGTGGCAAATCATCTCCCCCAACATCCACTCCTGTCTTTCTCCCCTTTTCTTTCCCTACACTCGATGCCCTCACTCTGGGAACGACATCTCTGTGATCTCTGCCAGCGATGGCCCCACCTGCTCCTGAAGACCCTCGACTCCCCCATGCCCACCTGTGCCCACCTTCTTCATTTCGGCTGGACACCACTGCACACCAGACTTGTGCAAAGTGAGGGTCAGACTTGGGGATATGCTCTTAGATGTTCCCGACTCCTGAGAGGGACCTGTACCCACCCCGCTGTCCCTCACTGGGGAGCTGTAAGACCACTCCAAGGCTGAAGCCCAGTGTCCTGCACCCCTATCCAGTGGACACCCTTCCCATTGCTCAGGCCCTTCCAGGCTGAATGGCGCCCCCCTCAAGAGGAGAGGTCCAACCCCTCCCCTCAGCTTGGGACAGAGTGGGGGTGGGGTAGAGAGGACAGTTCCCCAAGGGACTGCCCACCCCCATCCCAGAGCTCGTATAATGCCTGGAGCAGGCTGGAGAATGAGGTCCGCCAGAGATCCTGTCTTGCAGACCTAAGAAAAGGTTTCAGGGAACAGAAGAATTGGTAACCCCTGCAGGCCTCCCTGCTGGCCACTTCCTCTTCTATTCATCCCAGGTCCTCCCTACTCTCCAAAAGGGAGAAACTGAGGGAGAAACCTGGGACTGAATGGAAGGCCTGGAATCCCAACTCCCCCTGAGGTTTTTGGCTGGGAAAATACCTGGGGACAGCTGGAGTCTTCGGGTATCCTGGGGCGCCCCTCCCCCAGAGCGCCCCCTTCCCCTAGGGAAACTTTGATCTCTCTCTCGCTCTGTCTCTCTCTCTCTCTCTCTCTCTCTCTCTCTCTCTCTCTCTCACACACACACACACACACACAGGCACACACACACACGAACACACACACATTGGAAAGGAGATGATACCTCTAAAGTCAGGCTGCACCGTCGGGGTGGTGTAAAAAAGTTAGAGACTGCCTCAAAAGGGCAGTGGGAATGACCGCAAAGGGAAGAGGAAGGAGATAAAATGAGGCCTATCCCTCCCAACCCAGCAGCCCGGCTCTCCAGAGACACTCCCTTTTCCAGGCCCTACAGTCCCTTGGCACCCTCCTCCCTTCCCACCAATACAGCATCTGAAGGTGTCACTGAGATCTTCCACCCATTTTTCCTCCCCCTACCCATCTCACCCACAGGTTGCTCTACTCACAGCAATTCCTTCCTAGGCTTCCTCCTGTAACCCTGAACTATTTAAAAGCTCATTTTAAAAAAGAACTTAAGACTGATACCAAACTTCTTAGTTGCAAGCCTGAACTGTGGGCACCTTCTCATTAAACGTAAAACCTGCATCTTTTCCAAGAGAGAGGACGTTCTTGTCCGTAGAGGGGTGACGGGAGGTGCTGCAGAGCCCTTTTGAGCTCCTCTCACTCTCTGCTCTGTGACTGCAAAAGTGAGAATGGTGCCCTCGGAGGAAACACGTTTTACTGCAAAAATTGTCTGGAGCCCGGAATTGCCCTGAAAGTGGCCCTGCAATTACAATTCTGGTCCAAATTCATTTACCATATTTATTTGTGGATTTTCTCCTCCCACTCCTCTGCGTATTAAAAAAGATCAAGAAGATTTTTTAATGTATAAAAGATGTTTCCTCCACTTAAGGCACCCCACCGCCACCCACGCACCCCTTTATTCTGCTTTGAATTCAACGACTTCTGCTGTCTCGGTGGCTGAGGCGACCATCCCAGAGCAAGGAAGTGCTCTGTCTTGATCTGTTCAAAGGGTGCGGAACTGAGTCCCTGGAAGGTCCGGACCCAGACCCCGGAGCTGGTTTGCAGGACACCCCTTTAATCCTCAGTAGGCTGCCAATCTACCCTCTCCACACCCCAACACATTGAACATCTGCCCCCAATACCCCAGCCACAGTCCATGTCTCTGCCTCGAGGGCCACCGAACCTCCCAGGATGGATGGGGCGATGGTGGGGGTATCTGCTGGGACTTCCACGGTGGCTTACCCCTTCATCCGTTTGGCCAAAAAGTAAGCTCTGAGGTTGAAACTAGAAAAATACAGAAACTCAGCGTGAACATCACATTTCCACTGCTTTAAACTTTCTCTCTCCTTGGTCCTGGTCAGGAACCCTACACCCTCTGCTAAACCGGCTTTTCTTGCCATAAGCCTCCTCTGTTTTTAGGATCTCAAGGACTAGCTGAAGAAAATTAATTTTGCCTCTGATTGCTGTGTTATTCTAGATAAGCCATTATTATGCAAATGAGGGAGTGCGGCTCTCAGGATGAATAAGACGGTGCCGGTAGCGGCGCGGGACAGCCCCAGATGTTTGCATAATTACTTCTGCCCCAACTTCGAGAGTGCAAAATGTCAAGGGAGGAAGTTGTGCGGGTAAATACGGTACCATGTTCCCTGAATTTGATTTCCTACAGAAGGGCGGGGAAACCGATCGGAGGCTTCAGCTGCAGAGAGAAAAGGCATCACGGCTCCCGGGCCGACGGTGTCCCGGCCGAGTGGCCGTCTGCGTCCGCCCCCACGATGCTGAGCCACCCCTCGGCCCAGGGCGGCCGGAGAGAGCAAGGTCCCGCCCGGGTAGCGAGGCGCTTGCGCGGGCACAGAGCAGCAGCTTGGCCCCACGCTTTCCGGCAGCCCCGGAACCGGCAACACGGCTTCTGGGCGTGCGCGGAGCCGCCGCGCTCTGGCCGCGGAGCCTCGACGCCAGCCGAGCCCCTTCGTGTCCCAGACGGCGCCTCCTCCCGGGGCAACGGCTAGGGGTGCACCGAGGAAGCCCTGTACCGGGGCTGCGAGGAAAGGCGTCGACCACAGTGGAGGACGCCGAGGCTTCGCCCAGAACCTCGCCGGCACCGTCGCGTTTTCTCGGTCAGCTCCCAAACGTCTGCCCTCGGGTTTGCCGCCCGCGTGGCCCACTCTTGCGGAGGGTAGGCGGCCCGGCAGACGCCTCTGTTCCCCGAGGTTCTGCGAGAGGCCCCAGACTGGCCTCCGCAGCTTGTGCCTTCTCGAATGACCCGGCAGGCCCTGCACTTAGGATTTTCTGATCTCTAAAAGGGGAAGCTGGACTGTGGCTCTTGGCGTTAACAATCTCGCAAGGGAACGGCACCGGCTGAGAGACTCCCACTTTGGAACTGACTTGAGGTCCCGACGTCCCAGCAAAAAAGTCACTTCAATTCCTTCTGCATGGGGGTGGGGTAGGAAATGAAAAAACGGGAAGCGCCAGGCGGAGTCCGAGGAGTCCCTGGAGCTTCCCTGGGACTCTGGAGAGCCGCGTGTGGTCCAGGAGGAGGCGGGAGGACTGTGGCACCCAGCATCGCTGGAGGCAGAAGTGCCCACCCTGGCGGAGCTCCGGCTCAAGGGAGCCCAGGAGGTCCAGCTGCCTCTCTGCGCCCAGGCTCTGGTGCCACCATTCCTTGACTCGCCCAGCCTCTCCCCGTGTTTTCCCGTGGGAGGGTTGGTGCTCCCCGCCTTTCTCATGAGCTGGGTCACGGGAGGAGGGGCGCTCATCAACCGTGGCTCGTAACCGCCAGGCCAAGCCTGTCAGTGCAGGCAGAATCTGGGGTCAAACTCTCCACTCGGGGTATCTGGAACCACAGGCTGCTCACGCGTTGAGCCAGGGCCCGGGGTGATGCGAGAACAGAGTCAGCGCGCCCCGGGCATCTCCAGGCAGGGGTTGGGGCTGGAGGTTTCTGATAACGTCCTGCTCTCGGACGGGACTCCAAGGCCTTGATCTCTAGGCCGCTCACTTGTCCCGGGCTGCTCTGCCGCCACACCCTGCCGGCCTCCCCTCGCCTCTCGCAGTCCCCGCCCCTGGCTGTGCCTAGTCCGTCCCGTCTGAGCCCCTTCTCCCCAGACCGTGAGAACTGAGCGCCCAGACCCAAGGACTCCCGGACTCCTTCCAGGTTGCGGTTGTCCGGCCCAACTCTGGACCGCCTCTTTCTGCTCCCCAAGGGCGCCTGGGGCTCCTAGGAATGGGTCTCACAAGCAGCACCAGCGAGCAGTCCGGGGATTGGGTGTGCGTGTGATGGGGGGGCGCGTGGGGGGGGGGCGGAAATGGGGCCGGCCCGCGGCGCGCATGCGTGCTGGTTCGGGCGCTGTGCGCGTGCTCCAGCGGCACCGCACCCTCAGCTCGCCCGGCCTCGGCGCTCCGAGGGGACGCCGGCGCGTTTTCCCAGCGAGCCCACGTGGCCCAACCGGTCCAGATGCCCAAGGAATGAATCAAAACTGCCTCTAAGCAGCATACGGTCCGTTTCCCAGGGAAGGATGGGTGTGTGCTGAGCACCCTCTCTGGGCTTGCCCCTCATGGAGAAGAAGGGACAGCCGAGGCTGATACTGGAGTTCCTGGGGAAAGTCAGAACAGAATCACTAGGTCCTATGAGTTTGTTCTGGTCTCAGAACACCAATAACAGCAACAACAGTAACTAATAATGAACATTTATTGAGCATTTGCCTGTGCCTGACAGTGTGGGGGTGCTTCCATATCTCATTGAACCCCCCATGGGCTCTGTTGGGAAAACGTGCTAATATTCCTTTTCTTATAGTTATGGAAGCTGAAACACAGAGAGGTTAAGTAACTTGCACAAGGGCACACAGCCAGCAAGTGCATTGGAACCCAGGCAGGCTGGCCCCAGAGCCCACCTTTTTTAGCCACTGTGCTCTAGCATTAAAAAAAAAAAAAAGCGAAAACGCCCACCAACATCCAGCTTCCAGTTGACTTAAATCGGCCCCTAGAACTCCCTCCTGTCTCTATTGTTCCAGTCTCATCCTTGTTGCCGAGGGCTCTGAGGGTCCTCCTGCTGGAGCACTGCTCTGCGCTTCCACGAGGCTCCACTGGACCTTTCTTGAATTCTTTCCTCAAGCCTTGGAGGAGCTGAAATTCACAAGGATCCAAAGCCCCTGCTGCGGAGCTTTAGGGACGTGAGCTTACGGCTTCTCAGGCAGAACCCCTGCTGCGTGCCCCTGAGCAAGTGACTTGGCCCCGCGGTGCCTCGCTTTCCTCATCTAGAAAATGGGGGTAAGGGAACTGATGTTACCTGGCTGTTGTGAATGTTAACTGGGATAACGCAGGCCCTAGATATAGGGCAACTAGTTAAGCAATAGATGTTGCTTAACTCTGAGGGGATATTTTCTTCCTGTGGAGGGGAAGAAAGGGGGCCTGATTTCAGTTTCCGGGGTTTAAGGCAGAAATGTGGCTTCTAGAATGTGTGCAGCCTTGTGGGAGATTCCTGTAGAGTGGGCAGCCCCTTCTTATCCTTTGCAGCCTGTTCCAGTGCTTCTCTAACAAGGAGGATGTGTGGATGTCTCCTAGGGAGGAGAAAGTGGGACAGGAAAGGTGGGAGCTTCTTGCTCTTGGGAACAACTAGCGGCGGGAACCAAGGCCAGAAACCTGGACAACCTCACTTCCAGTCACCCAGGCTGGGCCTTGGGACCAGTTTCCAGAATGTCGGGTCACCCTGCGGCATTCCCGCAGCAGGCGGCAGGCGCCCAGCCCTAGCTCGGCGTCTAGGAAGCAGCGCTGCGGGACGCCCGCCCGGCTCCGGGACCGCGGGAGGTAAGCCACTGGCCACAAGGCCACGCCTCGGAGCCGCCCGCGCTCATTTCACTGCCGGCCCGCCCGAGGCAAACGGTTGGCTTCCAAATCTGCCCGCGTCCGCGGCCAAGACCGGGCAGGTCCGACGCCCGCCAAGCCGCGAAGTTGAAACGCTCCCAAAGAACCGGGCCGGCCTCATCCTCAAGCTAGAGGACGCGCTAGGGCTTGCCGGCCTGGCCCAAGACCCAGGAGCCCAGCGCCCCGCTGGGGCCCGTCCGCCCCTCTCCTTGGAGTGCTCCAGCCTCCACCCTCCCTCCCGGAGGACGAGTCCGTGGTCCGCGGGCCCAGGGAGGCCTAAGAGGGCCCCCAAACTCCGGGCTCTCAGGAGGCTGCAGCATCGAGGGCAGAGTCCTGGCACCTTTTAGAGGCTGGGGCCAAGGGTAGGGCGGGCTCCCGGGAGCAGGTCGCAGACCCTTTGTCGGGAAGGGCAGTCGCGGGCCGTGCGCCCAGGTCGCCAGAAGAGTGCGGAACAGGGCCGGAGACCTAGGGGTTTGGGAAGCAGGTGTCCCTAGGAGGGCGGGCGCCCGCATTTCCGTAAACAAAGAAACGGGGCAGCTCATCTCAGGAGAGGGGGTGGCTGTTAAGAGAATCGCCGACAATTTCCTTCATAAAAATGCGATCTGAGAGCATTTGATTTCCACTTTCACTCCCCCCATCCCCCGCCCCAACACACGCACCGTCTCTAAAGACACTCAAATTGCAGCCATATGGGGCTAAAGTAATAGGAAGCAGTTACCTTATTTACTGCAGAGGCGGCGCACGCCAACCTGGCAGCCGCAGCCTGAGCAGCGGACCGCCGAGCAATGGGATTAAGAGTAGCGTGTCTTGTCTTTTACAACTTTGTTTTGTTTGCTCCTGGGACGTGTAGGTGGGAAAGGCAATTATCTAACTTTGAAACAGGAAAGCGGTTGTATGGAGAAAAGGGAGGTGGCGAGAATTGAGTCGGTTGGGGAAGGGGGTTGATAAGAAAGGTGGGGAGCAAGGATCCTCTTTCTGTGGGTTCCTAAGACCATGCCACCAGCTGACCTGTCCTCTCGGTCTGGATCTGACCCGGCTGGAATGACTGCAAACCTCCTCCCCCTCCACGCCCACGCATGCTAGCACCCTCTCCCGGAACACAGGGCTTCCTCCCGCGCCCACCCAGCCAGAGCCCGGGAGGTGGGCTCCCATTTCTCAGACCGCCACCTCCCGCTTTGTCTCCAAACTGTCGAGGAATGAGGTTGCCCGGTGACCTGTTTTCACACCCCCTGCAACGCTGCTCTCTCACGGGTTGGGGGGCAGGGGTTGCGCCAGGCAGGGATGAGACACACTCTGCCCCGTTGGGGATTGCCTTCCTTGGCGGGACTGAGCGCGTCTGCTACTGACAAGAGCCAGGCTCCCTGCCCTCAGATCATTCTATACCTCTTCCTTCCTTCTGAATCGAGTTCCACCTTTGCCACAAGCTTTGCAGGATTCCCCGACGTTTGCAAACTCAGACTTTTCGCAAGCGATAGTTTTGTTTAGAGCAAGCATTTCCGAAATAATCGCCATCAGGCACAAAGACAGGTGGAAAATTGGGTGGGGAAGCTAAGATAATTACCTAAGACCCTATCCAGAGGAGGGGGCCGCACCTGCCAGCATCAGGGGTTCCATTTCTTCAAGTTTCAGAGGTATTTAGGCAAAGAAGGGAGAATGGGGCAGAAAGAGAGGGAGACGGAAGGAAGGAAGGATGGGAGGAAGGAAGGGAGGAAGAAGGAAGGAAGGAAGGAAAATGGAAAGAACGCATGGAGGAACGACTACAGCTATCTTTTTTGGGGAGAAACTGAAACCATCGCCCTCTGCACGCCTAGCGCAAACCCCATGATCAGTAAAGGCATCAAGGGCAAGCACAACTCCGGGAAGCGGGTTCCAGAAACCCTATCTGAAGGAAAATCACCGCTCTTCGCGGGTGCGGGAGAGCTTGCCAGGGGTGGGGGTAGGGCGCGAGGCCAGGCGGGTCAGGTCCCCCCGGCCCACTCTGGGAAGGCCCCCTCCCTCCCACTTCCACAGTGGCCCTGGAGCCAGCTCGAGGGGCTGAGGCGGCCGGTGCGGGGCTGGGGCGCTGTTGTCCTTGGCGGGCAGCGGATTCCAAGAGGAGGCGGGCGGGACAGGCAGAGGGACCCGGGCCCAGGGCGGAGGGTGGGCTTTCTCTGGGCGGGGAAACCAGACACTTACAGGCGGCTGAGGCCGACTTTATTTTTACTGCCCAAACTGTTGGAAAGTATTTAAGCTTAAACAGAAACAGCTGTATCGCTGGCACCGGCCGACGAAACTATTTGTTACCGGGAATGACTTTTTATGATTAAGGACGCGGCCGTCGGCGGCCTCCCACGGGCGGCCCGCGAGGGTCACTGGGAGATCTGAGCGTCCTCGACGCGCTGTTCGTTCAGACAGAACGGCCGGAGAGATGGGACTGTTCGACAAGCGGCCACCTTGTGAAGTTTAGGAACAAGGCCAAAACCTGAAACCCGTGTTTCCAGAGGCTGGGGCACGACTGGGAGGGAAGATGGGCGAAGCGCCCCGCTTGCCCGGCGGGTCGAGGACCTCGCGGCTGCCGCCGCCTGCGCGCGCCTCACTTTGGACAGGAGGCCAGTTTTCCGCTCTGGGCTTCCTGCCCCTCCGTGTCAGACTCCTTGGCTGCTTCTCTCTCTCTTCCTATCGTTCTCTCTCTGCCTCTCTCTTTTCCCCCCCTCTTTCTCCACCCCATCTCTGGCCAAGGGAAACTGCTTGCAGTCAGGCTGATCATCGATGTTTGAACTAAATCGTGGGTTCCAAGGAGTGGGAGTTGTGATTTGGAGCTTGAGCAATAAGAGAACAGGGTGGGAGGGAGCTGGGCCCAGAGTGAGGCTGCTGTCCCCAGCGCCGCCCCCGCCACGGGTCACCGGTAGCCTAGCTGGCGGCAGGGTCGGCGGTGCACGTGCTTGTGTGCGCACGGCAAGGCGGTCGCGGCCGGCCCTTGTCCCTTTCCAGGAGCCCGCCATCTTCGCGCGTGAGACCCTCTCGCCCAGCCCGCACTGGACCCGGCGACGTCCCCCAGCTTCCCGCGCTGGCGTTTCTCGCAGGATGTCCGCCGCCCACGTTGGGAAGAGCGGTGGACAGGAAGTGCGCGGGCCGGGCGCCGGGGTTCGGGGAAAGCCAGACGCACCCCCAGCCGCTCGCCCCATCCTCTGCCGGCTCCGCCCAGATGCCCTTAGCCCACCCAGGCCCCGAGCAGGGGGCGGCGAGGGGAAGGCGAGGTTCGGGGCCGAAGCCTGGCGGGGGCGGGCAGCTTGGGCTAAGGGCAGGGGCAGGTGGCTGCGGGCGTCGGGGATGGTCGGGGGGCAGGAAGAAGCCGCGCGACATCCTCTGTGGGGTCCTGGGCTGCAGCCGGGCTCCGGAGGGAACAGCCCGGCCTCCACCAGGTCTGTGTTCGGCTTCGGAGCCGGGGACGAGCGCTCCAGCCAGCCCGGCTCGCAGGGCCCGGAGGGTGGCCGAGGGCAGGGCCGCGCGACAGGAGCCTGAGACACATGCACATTGATTTGTTAGCGGGACCCGGCTTGGGGGGGGGGGGGACGTTGCCATGGAGACCGGGGGTCGGGTGTGCGGCTCCGGGGGAGGGGGGCGGGGGCCGGGGGAGAAGCCAGCCGATGGGCGCGCCGCAGGCTCTCGGGGTTCGGGCGCGGCCCGCGGCGCCCCAGCACCTGTGCATTGTGCATTGTGCGGCGCGGGCGGCTGGGGGAGGGGACCGCGCGAGTCCTGGGCGGTGGGGGTGGGGCGGCGGGCCGGGGTCTGCCGAGGGGCGGAGCCGGGCTGACATCGCCGCGGGGATCCCAGCGAGAGCTGTGGGGGACGCCGAACGCCGGAGGGACAACTTGGTGGCGGGGGAGGGGGGCCCCGGCGAGGACAGAGGGCGGCCTGCCCCCCTCGCCAGCCCCGCAGACTGACAGCGGCCGGGCCCGCCTTCCCCTGGCGTCACTTCCGGCGGCGCCCCCTCCCACTCGCGCGCTCGGTCTCTGGAGTCGCCTCGGACTCCGCCCCCTGGCGATTGGAACGCTGGTCACGTAGCAACGCGGGGGAGAAAGGCAGAGGGGCGTGGCTCGGAGCTCGTCCAATCAGCGTGCGGGGGCGCAGGCCTCCGGCCGCTCGGCTTTAGCAACGTCGTTAGCAACACGTGGGGCGGGAGGAAGCACTGGGCGGAGGGGAGGGGGCCGAGCGGAGGAGCGCGGGAGGGGGGCCGCGGGAGGGAGCGAGAGCGCCGGGAGGGGGAGGAGAACTGACGTCAGCGGGAGAGTATTATGGTCTGTCGTGCGCTGGCTGCTGCTTTTCTGCTCCTGGAAGCGGCCAAGGGGGGAAGCGGCGAGTCAACATGGAGCTTTCAGCGGTGGGGGAGCGGGTGTTCGCGGCCGAAGCCCTCCTGAAGCGGCGCATACGGAAAGTAGGTGCCCCCGGGCCTAGGGCCTCCGTGCGGCCGGGCCCTCCCCTCCCGGCCCGGGTTCCCTCCCCCTGCTGCAGCCCAGCTTCCCTTCCCCCAGGTCCCAGCAGCGGCCGCGGCCGTGGCGGCGGCGGCGGCGGCAGCTCTGAGCCCAGGCGCTTTCCTTAGACTTGCAGCGATGCACGGATTGCATGGGTGGGGGGCGGGGTGGGGAATGAATGCCGGTGCATGCACTTTGTGCAGCATTAGGTGCAGGGGTGATGCAGCGGGCGCGTGCCTTTTGCGGCGGGGTTTCGAGCATTCATCTGGTGCATGCATTTTCGCATGCATTTCTTGTATCCTCGTCATGCGTTTCTCCCCATGCACACACATTATCGCCTTTGCACCCGCAGGGACGCATGGAATACCTCGTGAAATGGAAGGGATGGTCGCAGAAGTAAGTAGGTTATATGCAATTCTCAACCCCAGACTGTTATTCGGGAGGTTTCTTTCTTCCTCTTTTTGCCTTTACATTGAAATACAATACAATGCAATGAGAAAAGTTACACACACACACACCCCCTCTGCTCTCACCCTGCTCCTGGGACTGATGCCCACTTCTTCCTGATTCCCTTTAGGTACAGCACATGGGAACCGGAGGAAAACATCCTGGATGCTCGCTTGCTCGCAGCCTTTGAGGAAAGGTACAGACCCTTCCAAGTCCCAGCCGCTCACTTAGAAACAAGTAGAGTGGCTTCTTTCCAGCCTGGACTAGAGTCCCACTTGCTTTCTTTACTCACGCACCCTTTCTCCTTTTCTTCTTTCTCCAGGGAAAGAGAGATGGAGCTCTATGGCCCCAAAAAGCGTGGACCCAAGCCCAAAACCTTCCTCCTCAAAGTAGGTTGGCAGTGTCCAATGGTGGAGGACCATGTTATGGAGTGATTTGTGGGAAGGGGGCTCTGAGGGCTGTGAGCCAATGGGGTGTCCACACATGTTGCCTATTTGTAATGTAGGAGGGAGTTCCCTGACAAGATGTCACCAAGTCAGTAGCAGCACCAACTGTGTCTGGGGGGACGGGCTTGGCCACACTAGAATTCCTTTACGCTCCCCCTCCCAAATGGACACAATAATCAAATGCAAAAAGTGTACTTTTTGCAAATGACTACTTCCAGCCAAATCTTCTACCTCTTCTCTCATCCTTCTACCTCTCAGCTCCAACAGCCATCCCACCCATTCATCCAGCCATCCACCCACCCACCCACCCACCCATCCATGCATCCATGTAGAAATTCCCAGGCATCATAGGGTAAAGATAGGAGGTCAGGGATAGAGGAGGAGTCCTGTGGGGGTGGACAGGGCCCTGCCCCACTCTTGAGACCATCTTCTCTCCTGCAGGCGCAGGCCAAGGCAAAGGCCAAAACTTACGAGTTTCGAAGTGACTCAGCCAGGGGCATCCGGATCCCCTACCCTGGCCGCTCGCCCCAGGACCTGGCCTCCACTTCCCGGGCCCGGGAGGGCCTTCGAAACATGGGTTTGTCCCCGCCAGCGAGCAGCACCAGCACCAGCAGCACCTGCCGCGCAGAGGCCCCTCGGGACCGGGACCGAGACCGGGATAGGGACCGGGAGCGGGATCGAGAAAGGGAGAGGGAGCGAGAGAGGGAGCGGGAACGTGAGAGGGAACGAGAGCGGGGTACCAGCAGAGTGGATGACAAGCCCAGCTCACCGGGGGACAGCTCGAAGAAGCGAGGCCCCAAGCCCCGGAAGGAGCTCCCGGACCCCTCACAGAGGCCCTTAGGCGAACCCAGCGCCGGCCTCGGAGAGTACCTCAAGGGCAGGAAGCTGGACGACACCCCTTCCGGGGCAGGAAAGTTTCCAGCCGGCCACAGTGTGATCCAGCTGGCCCGAAGACAGGACTCGGACCTGGTGCAGTGTGGTGTGACCAGCCCTAGCTCAGCTGAGGCCACGGGCAAACTGGCTGTGGACACCTTCCCGGCCAGGGTGATAAAGCACAGGGCTGCCTTCCTGGAGGCCAAAGGCCAGGGTGCCCTAGATCCCAATGGCACCCGGGTCCGACATGGCTCAGGCCCCCCCAGCTCTGGGGGGGGCCTGTACCGGGACATGGGGGCCCAGGGGGGAAGGCCCTCCCTCATCGCCAGGATCCCTGTGGCCAGAATCCTGGGGGACCCGGAGGAAGAGTCCTGGAGCCCCTCCCTGACTAACCTGGAGAAGGTGGTGGTCACGGACGTGACCTCAAACTTTTTGACCGTCACCATTAAGGAAAGTAACACGGACCAAGGCTTTTTTAAAGAGAAAAGATGAATGCTGGGTGGGTGTGTCCAGGAGGAGAGCAGGGGAGAGAGTGAGCGTGAGCTTGGCATAGTGATTTTTATTTCTGGGTGGGATGTGGCCTTTTGGCTGGTCCCGTCCCTGATGTCACCCCCACCCCACCAGCCCCTTTCATCCCTCCTTCCTCCCCCTCAGTTTTTGTTGGAAAGATTATCTCTAGAGTTATATTTTCTATTAGATGTAAATATGTTATTTAAGAAAAATATCTAAATATATATATTTCAACTCGAAGTTGTTTTATTTAAAGGAGAGAGACTCTCATTGTGCTTTAGTTGGGGCAGCCCGAATGAGCTGGGGCAGGAGGGGCCCCCTTGCCCCAGAGCTCTAGGGAAGTTGGGCCCTGGGTACAGGTTTCTGAGAGTGTCTGGAGGGGCTTGGCCTGCCCACCTCACCCCTCCTCCCTTCTCCCACAGCCCAATGCCAGACTCCTGGCACCAAGGCCCGGCCCAGATTTGCTCTCTCTTCCCATTGGCCAGGCAGGCCAACAAAAGGTTGGCTCCCCAATCAGAAAAAAGGGGGGGTGGGGTCAGTCTGTTTTCCTTTTTTCTATTTTTTTTTTTTTAAGGTAAAGAAGTCTATTAGGGAAAAAAGTATTAACTTGAATAAGCTTTTCGTGTGTGATGTTGAAGGTTAAAACGTCCCCAGCAGGCAGGGACAGGAGGTTTCTCCCCAGGACCACACCAGGAAATGCACTTTAGGGAGGGGTGTGTGTGTGGTACACGCAGATCGTGTGTATGTCATGTGGATAAAATCTCCCCGTTCCCTCGTTCCTTTCCTTACTCCGCAGAAAGAAAAGAAATCCAGCGAATCTGTTTACATTCCCGAAATGCCAGGATAAATTGGGAGGATTGCGTGTCAGTGCTGAGAGTTCGAGACAGTTGTTTTGCAAGAAAAGTGTTGGGGTGGACTTTTCCTTTTCGCGTCCTCTAGCTTTGCCAGGAGAAGAGACGGTGGCCCCCACCTCCCAGGAAGAGTTGGACAAGCCTCCCTGCCTGGGGAGGGCGGGCCGCCAGCTCTGTGGTGGACACATGGCCAGACAGGCCCACCCTGCGGGACCCACGGAGGGAGGCGCGGCGGCGGGCGCTGCTAGGAGCAGTGGCTTCGCACCCAGGGCCTCTCCACGGCCAGGCTTGGAGTGTGGCTGAGGACCACGGCTCGGAGCTCGGAGCTGGGGCTAGACTCACCCCCGCGGCTCCGGCCGGGCACGGGAAGGAGGGGCGAGGCGGGGTTTTCATCCAAGAATGCGCATCGGAACTTTTGCTTTTTCCTTTTTTTTCCCCCGTCCTTCTTAAAAGCAAAAGCTATAATTTATAGGTCTTTTCGATTCGCAGTGTTCTCTATTTGAACTCGACATTCAAACTCCGCCAAAGGGGGAGGGAGGAGCGGGAGTTGGGAGTGGGGACGGCCGCGGCGGGGAAGGCCGTGCGAGGCGGCGGGGCCTGGGACGCCCCTGCCCGGCGGACTTGACCGCTCTGCGCTCCGAGGACGCAGAATGCGCGCCCCTCTTTTGACTCAAAAGCACAAATCAGTCCCCTCCACTCCACCCCCGTCTCTTGGAGCACGGATCCCGCAGCCTCCCTGCCCTCCCCGCCCTTAAAGGGCCAGCGAAGATCTAACTTCCCATTGCTTGTTGAGGGAGGGGCGCGGGGGCCCTGCACGCCAGAGGAAGCACAGACTCGGGGGGAGCGAGGCGGGGAGTCGGGGGTGGGGGAGCTTCGCGTGGGGTGGGGGGTGCTGGGAGGGAACCCCAGCCTCGTCCTCCGCACTCCCGGCTTCTCAGCCTCTCCTCCAGACTTTCTTGCCTTTAAAGAGAGAAAAGGAGGGAAACGGTGTACTACATGATTGTGTTTGTTTTTGAATATCAAATTGCGCCTATAAAGAGAAGCCCCTGGAATGGGGATTTTTATCTACTCACATTTGTAAAACTGGTATTTTAGACTTTGTATAAAGAAGCGCCGTTGACCGAGTGTATCTATTTAAATGTCGATGCTATTTTCAGATGAAACTTCACTGAAGGGGCATGTCTGTTACCTAGTGGACGGGACTGGGGGATACGCGTCTTCACCTGGCCGCCGCCTTCCCTTCTCTCCCGCCTGTCCTTTACTCCCACCTCCCTCCCTTCCTGGGGGCTGACTTTGCCCCTTCCCTTGGACCTTCTTTCCAGCCAGCTCTGTCCCTGCCGCCCCTCCGTCCTGCTGTTTGTCCGTGGCCGTGTGTGTATGTGTCTCCTTCTCTCGCTCTTGCGACGCTGACCTGGGGGGTGGGTGGGCAGGGGCCGGGGGCCACGTGGCTGGGAGTCTGCAACCGCGCAGGGTGTGTGCGCTGTTGGGTTTATTTAATTCTAAGATTTGTACAAATCTCCAATCGATCTCCGCCTCAGCTCAAGAGTGAAGCTTCGGTACCTATCTTCTGCGGTCGTGAATGTCTGTATCCAATACCGCTTTTTACGTGTTTAAATATATACTTTGTAAATAGAGACATGTCTTGGTTTTATTCTTCTTTTTCCTTCCCTGAGCAAAGGGAAGAGGCATCCCGGGAGGAGAGGATCCGTCCCTCTTCTCTCAGTACTCATCCCGTCCTCCCGCCCCCATCCTCGCCCCCATCGCGGGGGCACCGTTCCTGCAAAGGCCCTTCCCCAACTGGGGAACCCACCTGGCTGGGATAGAGGTGGGCGTGGGAGGCCGCTGGGGCAGACTCCCCTCAGCCCGTCCGGGGGAATCCGTGGCTCTCCGCACCTACTGGCTGCACTTCTTCGGGCCCCGGGCAGAATCTGGGGATCCCGGGAGGATGCGCCTGAGGTCGGGGGTTCCACTTTCCTCTGGCGGGATCCTCCAGCGCGCCACACCCCCAGGCCGGAGGCGTCTGGTCTCCGAGGCCCCGGGGCCTCGCCGCGTTAGCCAAAGCCTCCCGGTGCCAGCCCCTCGTAGCTGTCTTGAGACCCACTCCCCAGACCCACCCAACCTTGCTAGCGCTCCCCTAAATGCAGAGCCTCGCGCCTATTGATTGAGGAATTGAATTCGCGGGTATTGCTAGGCAACTGCAAGCTCGGAGCCGGCGCAGAGCGCTGCTGATGTGATTAGTGAACCTGGAGCCGCCGCGCCGCAGCCCCGCGCACCCCCGCCCCCGAGTCCCCGCAGCCTCTCCGGCCCAGGTCTCCTGGGCGGGCCTAAACCCCAGCGCTGGGCAAGGGACGGTGCGGGAGAGCAGAGTGCGGGGTGGGGGGTGGAGAGAGAGATGTTCTTGGCCTTTTCTGGCCGCAGACTTCACAGCAGTGGGGGCGGGGTCTTGAAGCCCGCACAGGAGAGCCACTCTTCGGATCCCCAAAGAGGCCACCGCACTAAACCCATTTCTACTTCCGTAGTGCCCCGCAGACGTCACCCTGCCAGGAAGCCACGATTCAGGCTCACCCCTAACGCCCACCAGGAGGAACATGGACAGGGGTAGCTCACGCATCTCCAGCCCCTTGCTGAGGAGTCAGTGGCCCGGCCCTTGGCAGAGCTTCCCCCTTCCCCAGCTGTGACCGGTGTGGGAGGGCGCGGGAGGACAGCAGCGTCCTGCTGCCCAGGCCCAGGTTAGCGGGTCACAGAGCCTTGAGTGTCCTTCCGACGTGAGGGCCTGCGCTGCCGGCCGAGTAGGGTCGCTGGCCGCCAGGCGTCAAAGATCTCCGCCCGAGACTGCCCCACCGCAACGGGCGGTCTCTGTGCTGGCAGGGGACGTCAAGGGAAGGTGGGTGGGGTGGCCCCGCGATGGTCGCCACTTGGACGGGGCTCCCTCCTGCGTCCACTCGGACGGGGCTCCCTCCTGCGTCCACTCCTGGGCGTGTGGGGCAGTGGAATGGGCTACTGCTTAAGCGGATGGGAGGGCGCCCACCCTGCCCCTTTTTCGGGTTCGCTGGCCATCACCACCCTCGGCTTTGAGGAGCGCCCTCACGGGTTTCCATTTCCTGGGCAGAGTCCCTGGGAATCCGCCACAACTGCAGAGACCAGGCGTGCGTGGCGGCCTCCAGCCGGACTGGTTACCTTGCGTCCCGAGGACAGGGCTGGCTTGTGTGGCCACCGCGGCGGGGAACCTGGCCTCGCACAAACATTGGTTGGATTGGAAGGTTCATGCTCTTCCTAGAGTGTCGGATCGGATTCATTTTCTGTCCGTTTGATGCTGGCTTCGCACCAATCCTGATCCAGGCACTGTGCCATGCGCCCGGGCCGCTGGCGCACAGACCTGTCCCGGCCCTCTGGGGCTCCTGTGCTGGTTTCCTCTTCTCCTCTAAAAGCCCTCCAGGCCCAGAGGAGCCTCGGACCCAGCTGAAGTCCGAGACTGGCGTGGCTCGGGGCCCGGCGGGACTCCGTGCTGTCCGTCGTGGAAGGCGGCTGCCCGCAGCCTCGGGTCCTGAACGCGGCGAGAGAGGCTGCGGGCTGGGTCGGGGCTTTCCTCCTGAGACTTCGGAGGCGGAGGTGGCCGGGGTGCAGGTGGTGCGATTGAGTCTCGGGCACCCTGGAGCCGCGGCTGGCTTTTCCCTCGTCCGTCCGAAGGGCCGGCGGCCGACCTTGGTGGGACGCGCGCGCCCTCTGCAGGTGGCGGCGTCGGCCCGGGTCGCCGGCGCCCACCCCTTACCCCCGGGGGGCCGGTGGCTTTCTGGTTCCGAACCCGAGCTGAGAAAGCCTTACCTCCCCCCGACCCAAAGGTACCGCTGGGCGCCCACCGCCACGGGCGCCCCCTCTGCGTCCTCCCTGAGGCCCGGCGCTCGAGCCACGAAGGCGGAGGGGAGGAAGGAGAGGTCCAGCCGCCCGGATGACCGTCCTCCCAGCCCCTCCGCACCCATCGCTCCCGGTGCCCTCGGGCAGGTCGCGGCGGCGTGGGGTCGGGCCATTGGCAGCCCAGTCTGTTCTTCTCAGGGTCCACTGGATTAGGCGATCACATCAGCGGCGCCGAAACTAACAAAGGCCGAGCGAGCTCGGCCCGGCACCCGTCGGGCCGAATCCCTGTAGAAATGGGCTCTCCCGAAAGCCTGGCTCCACATCCGGGGCCGCGCCTGCTCCTGCTCGGCCAGCTTGCTCCTTCCTGGCGGTCCCAGCCCCTTTCTGCAGCTCTCATAAGCCAGAGGACAGGCCCGCTGGGGTCGCCCTTGCCCACTTTCTCCAAAAGGAAACAGCCAGAGCCTTGCGAAGGCAGCAAAAGAGAGCCCACCAGCAGTCTTCTTTCTCTGCAACAGTCGATTTCGAATTCGCAGGACTTCCTGGAGCGGGCTAGTGCTGGGGGTCACATTTCCATTTGCAGGGGGAACCCTTTCCTGAACCAAAACATTCAGGCCTTGGCCCCAAGTAGCTTTTCACCCAGTTACTCCAACATCTAGGCCCAGCTTCTCTCTTCACTTCAAAGAAGCTCTATTCTCCCTGGAGGCTGGAATTCATGAATAAATTCATGCTGAAGTTGGTGGAAGCCTTAAGGAGCCGGGGAAGGTTCTGTAATAAGCAAATCGCCTCTTTATTCGCGAGCTTTGGGTTAGGAGTTGCAGTAGCTGCTAACTCACAGTGACTCCCCTGGAATTTTATGGCTGCCTCCTTGTAAAGCATTATTAGCACATGTGGTGGCTTCAAGGGGTTGAGTGGCTTTCCAACACAGCATCTCTGGATACTGTGGGCGCGGGGAGAGGGAGTTTTATTTTAACTTTGCATGTCTTTTGAAGGGAGCAGTCTCAAAATGAGTTGATTATATATTGCAGCATCCCTGACCTCACCTGACAGATGCCGATAATGCCGCCCCTGCCCCCAACCCCTGCCATTGTGTTTTTTCTGTTTTTCCCATTAATTCAGTCTCTCAAACTCAGCACTACTGACGTGCTGGGAAGGATCATTTCTTTCTGTCATGGAGACTGTTCTGTGCACCTCAGGACGTCTAGCAGCACTCCTGGTATCCACCCACTAGATGCAAGTGGCATCCACCCCACAGCGTGACAAGCAAGATCTCCAGATCTGCAAGTGTTCCCTGGAATGCCAGTTGTTCTCTGTTGTGAGCCACTGGTATATGGACTCTTAAACACCCATCCTTTGCTTGGAAACATATCTTTTTCTGCACCCTCTGCAAGTGGCCTTTCCCAGTCTTTGATTTTTCTGTGCCCCAAGTATTTGGCCTATGTCCAGACGAATTATTTTGCCTCAAGAAAGGAAAAGAGCAGAGTCTACTGTGTTTCCAGGGATCACTCATGATGTACATCAGGCCAAATTTTTTTTTTAAAAATTTATTGATATACTAAGAGATAACAAAAGGACAAAAATCTTCTGACGCCATTTGCTGTCCTTCCCCTGCAAAATAAATTAACATCAGTCTAAAAGAAGAAAAAACCCTGCAACCTATGCTAGTTTTCCAAAAATGCTAGAAAACCCACAGAATCATGAGATGCACTTGAGTAAAATCTGGTCATGTAGGCACTACCTGTTCCCAACTCACCATTCCCCTTCCCCACACCATCAGGGGCTTTTTGGGGGAAGCATTTCCTTAAACTGGTTGATCCTAATTAAATGTGGGCCCTAGGCTGCTGTCCTGTTTCAACAGAGATCCTTTCCTAGGGCAATAACATATCTACTTTTGTTCTCTTTTAAGAAAGCAAACAGCCATAGTTGAAAGCAATTAGAAGTGGCATACATGAATGATTTTTTTTTTAATTAAAAAACACAAATCAAGCCAGTGATTGGCTTTGGTTCAAAGCTTGATCCTCCCCTGAAGTCTCCCCTTAGTGAAAGCTCTCGGCCCAGAGCCCTCTCCAGCTAGGTCAGAATTTCGAGTGTAACCAAAACAAGGAACACTCTTTTTTGGTACAAAATATATACATATAAAAATATGCTAACATCTCTAAGGAAGACAGACTGGCCACTGCTTCCTATTCAATACAGGAGCAAACAAAACGCGGTTAACACACCATTTCACACACACACCATTGCCACAGTTCCTGCGGGACCTTCGGGAAAAAAGCAACAATGCATCGTCAGAAGTGCCAGATACCTAGCTACACAAACACAAACACACACACAAATAGCAGCAAATAAAAATAGAAAAAGTCTACTTTTATTTATTGGTAAACATAAGACAACCAAGTCTGAGCATCTGGTGCAGTTCCCAGTGACGGCACTTGCCCTGCACACGCTCTTGAAGCACCAGGAAAAACACACAACACAGTAAGAAGGCAAAGTGGCTGGGAGTAAGGTATCTGCAGATTCAAACTTTGGGATTGAAGTAGCTGGTAAACAGAAAGGCACCGAATCAGGGTCTGGAGAGACCCGGCTGCTGGGGAGGAATCTGGCCTGCCCAGGCAGACAGGGACAGACATCCTCATTTCTCCAACAGCTCCTGGAAGCCGAGTCACCCCAAGGGCTTGGAGAGCTGTTAGTCTGGCTTTGGAGCAGTGAAGGTAGCACAGTGCTCAGCAGGAAGGAGTCAAGACTTTGCTGTCGAGCACAGGGAGGCTGGTGCCTGAGGCTCAGCGTGCCAGGATCCACGCCTCCTCCCAGGCTGCGCAGTGAGCTGGAATCTCTCCCTCTCCTGTGGGAGCAGCTCTTCCCCTTACTGTCTGCTTCCAGCTCTGGCCTAGCTATCTGGGACTCTTAGCCCTTCAATTCGCCGAGGTGGGCACCATTCCTGCTGCAGCCAATATGGCCACTGTGGGCTGGCCCCCAGCTGGCATATGGATGGCCCTCAACGAAGCCATGGACATGGGTCCCTCCCCAAAGGCACACTGTTAAAAAGATCCATTTGGCTACACCAAGGCCACCTCTTCCTATTTGGCACGGTGAGGTACTGGGGGGTCTTGCAGTCTGGTACGCCTGCCCCCCGCAAACCAGAGCCCATTCTCAAAGTCCGGGCTGCTCCATGGAATCAGGAGTGCCTCCCTATAGTCAGGCACTGGAATGTAGCCCCATGCCTGCTGGCGGACTCCATCCAATCAGAGGAACAGAAAGCACCCACCCCACCCTCTTTTATTTTTGGCATCACAAAGACCTAGTGACCAGATTGCCTGCCGCTGCCACCTCTGGGCTGCCCTGCCTTGCTGCCCACGCTGCTCTCAGAACAGAAATCCTGATACTGGTCAGAAGCCATACAAGCTAGCTCCCAGACGTGACCACCTAGAGGCAGCTCACAGTCTTGAGTTAACAGGGGCCTCAGGGCCGAGGCTGACAGATCCAGCTTCCCGGGACCCTCTACCAGGCGGGCCCCCTAGACTTTGTCCAGCTTCCCCAATGGCACAGGTCTAGTTTTTCAGCTGGAAAGGAGCCAAGCAGGGAACCCCTAAAGGTGATGGGGATTGTCAGGGAAAATGATACTCCTCAAGGAATGCCTCATCCACTTGGGCAGGGCCCCACACAGGACGTAGGGAGTTGTTGGCTGGACCCACGGCCAACACTTGCAGCACAGGCAGAGCCGGCAGACGGGCCCATGGACACCCAAGTGCCAGCACTGCTGTCCTCCAGGTCTCCGGGGCAGTCTGTGGGCCATAATTAGAATGAAGCCAGTCCTTTACTAGCAGAAGGTAGGTCCTGGGAGTGAAGGGAGGGGCTTGCCTGCCAAGGGTCCTGCCCACTGGACTCCCCTGGACCTGAGCACCTCCACTTTGGGTTTTCCTTGGGACACACTGAACTCTGGGCTTTTTAGAAATGGAACATGCTTCAGTGGGCCTGGGGCAGGAGGTGGGTCTGGGTTTGGAAGGGGACTCAGGTCAGTTCTCACTGGGACACAGGCAGGAGGGAGGGTGGCAGCCATAGCCTGCCTCTCCTGCTCCGAGGCACGGAGGCTCTTCAGGTGGAACCCAGCTGTGGGACCACCCCCGCCCCACCCACGCTGGCTTGTGGGCTATGGATGCTGCCCTGAACTGGGGCTAGATGGCCATGAAGGCAGCCTTTTAGGGCTGCTGGGCTCGCTCTACTCCAGCTGCCTGCCACTGTCTTTTCACATTAAGGCCCCAGCCAGCCCCCACCTGTCAAGGGCAAGCTCCCCACTTCATCACTGCCGGCTCAGGCAATGCCAGCCAGGACCACCCCTGCCCACCCCATCTCCCAAAAGCTGTGGCCAGATGGAGGGAACACTAGTCCCACTGGCCATGCCTCCCCACAATACTCTCTGCCCACTCCAGGGCTGAAGGCAAGGTGGGCCAGAAGTCCCCTCCTGACACCTCAGCCCCTGCAAGACAGGGACCAAAGCTGTGATTCAGTCACGCAGGCCAGGGAGGAGCAGTTCAAACTCAGCAACAACGCAGCCATGAAGAAGCCCGCTCTGTTCAAGACAGTCACCTGGAGCCACAGGTGCCACCGGGTTTCCTGAGGCAAGAGGGGAGAGCAAAGAGGCCTGCAGAGGTAGGAACAAGGTGGAGACCAACAAGGCAGTGAGGCCCCCTGCCCTATGTCCTGGGACAGAGTGGGGTGCGGGAGAAGTCCCTTCCAAGCCTGCCCATCAAGGAGGCCACCCACTCCTCCTCCCCCGACCCAGACTCTTGAGGGGGCTTGGGCTGGGAGTCACTTAGCCAAGCGACACCATAGGCAGGGAAGGGGAGTAAGACCGCGCAGCTGGTGGCGCCGGGGCTTCAGTAATGCCTCAGGTTGAAGAAGCCCACGCTGGTGGGAGACTCCTTCACTGTGACGGTGATGAGGTTGGCAGTGACGTCGGTGACAAATACGTGCTCGATGAGGCTGCGGGTGGGCTTCCAGTCCTGGCTGGTCTGAACGGACACTGACGGGTTCTGTCCAGTGCTGGGCGGCGAGGCGGAGTCGGGGTCGGAGTCCGAGCTGCTACTCTCCTCACCTGCGCTCATCTCTGGCAGTGTGGCCGCCTTGCGGGCTTCTCCGGGGGCTGTGCGGCTCTCCTGCCCACTGGGGGTAGCACTGCCCTTGACACAGTCCCTCTTGCTGGCAGGGGTGGGTGGCGCCACTGCTCTGGAAGCCAGCTTCTCACTTTTGCTTGTGTCGGTGGGCATGGTGGCCCCGCTGGCCCCAATGAGGCCACTCCCAGTGCCCTTCCCAGGGGCTGGGTTGGTGGCCGGGACACCCTTGGTGGCGGTGGCGTGGCGGGCAAGGAGACCCACCCCGGGCATGCCATTCTTGACACTCTGCAAGTCCAAGACCTGGAGGCTCAGCTCCTGGGTGGGTGCTGGCTGGGGGCCTGGGCACCCAGCAGGCACCCTGCTGGCACCATGGGTGTGCGGGGGGCCCCCTGTGTTCCCCACTTTCTGCTCCACAGCCCCACCGCTGGGGGCCTTCGGGATTTTGCTTCCTGGAGGGCTCATTCCCAGCTCCCCTTTCTGCGTCCTCACCTTCAGGTCCAGCCCGAGGCCGCACTTGTTGGTGGCCTGGGCCTTCAGCGCCAACCTGCTGGCAGCCTGGGCCTGGCTCTGGGTCATCCGGTTCATGTAGTGCACGATGGAGCTCTGCCAGCTGATGCCACCCCGGCCGGGGCTACTGGCCATGCCCTTCATTAGGCTGGCCAGGTTCTCTGGGGTGGCCATGGCACTGGGGCCGCCACAGGCCTCCTTGGCGTGGGCCTTCAGAGCTGCCAGGCCTGCAACGGGGGCGCTGAGTGGAGGGGGCAGCTTGCTGGCCGGGGCCCCCAGATCCTTCCGGGCGGTCTTCAGCACCTTGGCCAGGCTCACGGGTCTTCGGGTTGCCTTTTGCTCTGGGGGCAGGGGCTTTCGTCCCCGCTTCTTCCGGATGGGATCCTTCAGCTCGGGTTTGGCCACCAGGATCTGGGCCTTCTTCTGCGGCACTGGGTGGGTCTCGCGGCCCCGGGGACCCCTCTTAGCATCTAAGTCACTGTCATCCTCTTCATCTGAGGAAGAGGAGGATGACGTGGAGGAAGAGGAGGAACTGCTGGACTTGGATTTGGAGGGAGCATCGGGTTCCTGGAAAGATAAAGGAGAAGTTGGCTGGGTGCAGTGGCTCACGCCTGTAATCCCAGCACTTTGGGAGGCCGAAGCGGGTGGATCACCTGAGGTCAGGAGTTCAAGACCAGCCTGGCCAACATAGTGGAGCCCTGTTTCTACTAAAAATACAAAAATTAGCCGGGTGTTGTGGCGCGCACCTGTAGTCCCAGCTACTGCAGAGGCTGAGGCAGGAGAATTGCTTCAAATCGGGAGGTGGAGGCTGCAGTGAGCCAAGATTGTGCCACTGAACTCCAGCCTGGGCGACAGAGCGAGACTACGTCTCAAAAAAAAAAAAAAAAAGATAAAGGAGAAGGTGTCACACCTCCACTGCCTGTTCCCAGGGTCCAGAGCGCCATGCTGTCCCCAAGGAACACTGGGCACCTTGCAGCCATCAACTCCTGTGGCTTCCAGACCAGAGAGGCAGTCAGGAAGGAGCAACTTCTCACCGTGCTCACAGTTCCATGAGAGGCAAAATTAAAGGTAGATAGAGAGAAAAATAGGTGGCTCGTAAAAATGAAGACAGAGTTAAGGACGGACAGAGTCCACACCATGACATCCCCGTCCACCATCAGCTTTCAAGGGGGATGCAGATTTAGCTCCGGGCTGTAGAGCAGACGTTCAAAGGGAACTGTATCCAGAGCATCACAGTTTTCAGGACTCAGGAGGTTACAAGTCGTATTAAGTAGCATGCACAGCTTTGCAGCCTACACCAAGTGGGCTTCAGTATCCCCATTTCCCAGTCTGAGCCTTCCAGGATACAGGTAAATAAACCACTGTCTTCCTCGCCTTCTGGATGTCACCGCCAATGTTAAATAAGAGTGTCCTTGTGTTTTACAGGCCGCCATGCTGCCTGCTGGGTCAGAATTCTACAGCGTGTGCTTTAGGAGTCAGATCCAACACCGCCTCCCTACCACCCCGTTCTCCCAACTTCAACAGGAGTGATCTCCTCAAACCTCCTCAAACAAGGCATCAATCACTGCCTTGTGGCCACTCCTCAGTCAGCAGAACTCCTGCAGCCCCCACAATCCTGCTCAAAAGGAAGATTTTCAAGATAACGTAAGGCCAGTGTAGACCAGCCAACAAGATTCTACAGCAGGGAATCCTGTTCATTCAGGAAATCCTCCTGGAAAGGCAGGTTCAGTTAGTGACTGAGCTCGTGGCCACAACACGCGAAGGTCCAGGGACAGTGCCCGGAGGAGGGAATCAAAGCCACACCCGGGACTGAGGCCAGGCCCTCCTCCCCCATCCTGTCCTGCCTCACCTGTCCTCAGGGGAGGGAGGGGCCCTACCACGGACCCCAGGGGCGCATGCATACCTGTGGCGGGGTGAGCCCATCACTGTAGCGAGGAGGGGTGACAGGACAGTCCCGAGAAGGCCAAAGCACATCATCAGCCCACACTGCCTCTGCCCTCCTCCAAGGCCCCTCCTGGCACCCCCTGGCTATTCAGTCAGCCCTGCCTTTCGTGGCCACCTCGATTTAAGGTGCACCCGCAGGTGGGCCCGGAGTAGCCCCCAAATCTTAGGCTTTTGAGTCACATCCAGCCGGCAATCCTATGAGCACCTACTGTACGCATGCTTCCTGTTCCTTTCCGTCCCCCAAGGACCCCCTGGGAGGGAAGAGTGCTTGTCTGCAGCAGTTTGACCCTGCCACCCAGCAGAGAGGCGTGCAGGACAGGCTGAAGCAGGAAGCCCCTGGGAGGGGCGGGGAGGAACTCTCAGCCGGCTGGGGCCCCTGGCAGCAGAAGCTGAGAGACAGGAAGAAAGGGGGCTCCTGTTTTCCGAGTAGAGGGACAGACTGTTGGCAGAAGTGCCACCCCCTTCCTGAGGGCCCCAAACCCTCCCTCTGCCTGCCCCCTACGCCAAGGGGGTGCTGGGAGGTGGGGTCAGCATACCCAGCGCAGCCACCCACCTTGAGCTTGGAGCGCCGGCTGCAGGAGGACATGGCAGTGAGCTTCCTTGGCCGGCCTCTCGGCCTCTTGCCTCTCTTCCGGTTCTGCACCTCCTTCTCATGTTCCCTGAAGGCACACCACTAGTTAATGGGGGAGAAGCCCTGTGCGTACCCCTTCTACCATGTGGGACTCTATGGCTTCCAGCACCCTATTCCTGTTGGCCTGTAATAGCTTATCCTGTTTGCCGCAAACACATCATCAAATACCCAAGGCAGAGATCAGACCCCATTCTTTGCACTAGGGTCAGTAACCAGCCATCCCATTTCATTTGGCTAAGGACAAGCTGAAGACAGGAAAGCAACGCTGGGAAAACAATGACGCCCCAGTATTCTCTGACTTAAGACAGCTTCCTGCAGGTGCACTGCTGCATGGAAATTCTAGCATATTCTAACCAGAAGTGGCCTCGGTGGCCACACGGTCCAACCTCCTTACTTTCAATAGGAGAAGGAAGCCCAGGACAAGGAGATGCCACCAATCCCCTGGGCAGCTTCTGGTGCATAAAACCCTCACCCGGGCAAGGAGCACCGTGGGCCCTGTCCTCCAGCCCTCGCAGAGCCTGGCTGCTGGCACATGACTCTCCTTGTTTCCTTTTTAAAAATACCTCTCTGTTCCTAAACTCTACTCTTGAGGGAGATGACAGAGGTGCCGAGGTCTGAGGCAGGCAAGGCTCAATGCACGCACCACTCGCAGTACCCCCCCCGCCCCCAGAAGAGCCTCCACACCTCCAGGGTCATGAAGTGCTAGCAGAACCTCCAGCCCCCAGGGAAAGCCTGTATTTCAGAAAAGGGGCCCTGGTAATTATCTGGGCAAACATCATCTCATTGGGGCCTGGAAGGCAACCTCCTCAACACAGTTCTGATTAGTACCAGGCAAAGTTCATACTCTTAAGTGCTGGTCCTTAACCTGAAATCTCCTAAAAGGACAATGAAGTGTTGCATGGATCTCCTCCGCTGAAATATTAACCTGTGCACTGACTGCTGTGATCCTGTGCGTCGCCAAGGGCCATACCCCCACCCCCTCCAATACCAAGCAGGTAACCGCCAGCTCCTAGTGCCCAGAGAGAGCTAACATTTTGGTGGATGGAGAAGGCTGTCCCACCTTCTCTGTTTTCTTTCTTCCACGATGTCATCCAAGCCACCCATGGGTTTTACACTCTTCTTATCTCAGGTGTTTCTGCTCTAACCAAAACCACAATCTCTCTCAACAGTTAGGACACCGTCTTAGATCCAGAGAAGCGCACCAGCCTCTGAAGTGGGCCAAGCCATTCCCCCACCCCAAGGCTCACAGCACCCAGACAGGAACTAACAGAAGACGATGGGTTGCTGTTACGATTTTCCAAAGGGATTTAAGCAAGCACAGGCTCTTCTTTTTGCTCGCCCCACCAGAAAACTCTATTTCCCCATTATCATGACCCCTCTGGGAAGACCCAATATGTCCCGCTACAGTGGAAAAAAGGGAATGCACCTTTTGCTACCAGAGAACAAACCGTCCAGATTGACCCTGGCTGGGAAAGACTCCAGCAACCAATTCTTCTGCCTCTATCCACAGGGCAAGTCCAGCCAGGGGATCCAGGGGGAGCCGTCAGTGAAACCACCCCCCATCTTGCCATTGCTTGAACAGTACTCCCTGGCCCTTCATGCCAGGTGGGCACATCCACTGCCCTCTCCTCACCACCCCTTGCCCTTGAACATCTCAAGGAGGCCTATCTCTTAACCTAAACTTCCTACCTAAAAATAGAAATGACATCTAGAATTACAGAAACAAGTCTGGCCCAATCCGGCCTCATGGTGCTACTTGGTACTGTATGCTGCAGGCCAGAGCAAAATAAATGTTTCTTTCTTGAGAGAGACATCACAATAGGCACAACTGCGTGCTGTGTGTTCCAGCTCCCTCTCTGAGCCTTCTTGCCTGATGGCACACGCGTGCAGGGCTGGAAGGGCAGACCTGCGTCACTGTGGCAAACCTGCTCTCCTGGTTTTCTGTTAGCGCCATGTGCAAATTACTCAGCAGAAAAGGCCAAGAGAAGCTATAACATCTTTATCTGAAGCAACTGAAAAAGTTGGTTTTTGCAAGTATGGCTGTCGGAAACACCAAAGCAGCACTTACTTAGGTTCTTCTCAGGGATGGATACAGGCTGGCTAGGAGAAGGTGGGAGAGGGGCTGGCTGGGGACTTTTACAGCCAGCCACAGAGATGGCCCTGGACACAATCTTGCTAAGGGACCTCAGACCACAGCCCCAGCTCCAGCCTCCCGGCAGGCGAGCAGCGCCCAGCACGACTCCAACCAGCCACCGTCCCTCCCCCACACCCTCCCCAGTGCTGTCAGCGTCCTCACTTCTTCTGGAAGGCCAGGAGCAGCCTCGGGTCCAGGATGTTCTCCTCCGGCTCCCAGCTGTTATGTCTGCAAAGCAGAGGACAGGGCAGCATTAGACGCCAGGCTGATGATCACCGCTTTGCAAGGCAGCCCGAGGGGGCTCGCCCTCACCGCTCCTCGACTTGGGCCGATGGCAGTGGCACCGTAGCACCATGGCACTTCTCAAAGTCCAAACCCAGGTTTTGGAGGCTGGCCACCCCCCACCAAGCCAGCACTCTAACCTCAGACCCAAAGGGAAACTGCCGCTCCAACCCCCCAATTAAAACAAGGCCACAAGAGGACTCCCACAGTCTCTGCCTGGGAGAAAAACAAACCCCCATAAAACGCAAAGTTGCAGAGAGGGATTCCCCCAAACCCTGGCCCGGAGCCAGAGGAGGAAGGGAAGGCAGGTCCAGCATGCAGGGAGGGGCACAGGCGCCCAGCCCGAGATCCAGAACAATGTGGCGCGCGGGCCGGGGCACCTCGAGGGGTAGCGAAGAAAGAGCGGGGTCCGGGAAGACGCAGAAACGGGGCCGCGGGAGCAGCTGTGCAGAGAGCCCCTTCCGGGGATGCCAAACACCCTCCCTTCCATTAAAAGAAAGAAAAAAAAAAAGAAACTCTACATCCATCAATAGCAAGCTCAGGTTACAGCGGGGAGAATCTGGCCAAGAGGAGGGGGGCTTGCATCCCGCGCCTCCCTCCCGGCCGGGACGGGGGTTGGGGGGAGCGCGGCGCGGCAGCCGAGGAGGTTCTGGCGCGGGGGGCCGCCCAGCTCTGCACCCGCGGGCGTGTAAACAAAGGGCAACCTCGGGCCGGGCGGCCCCCGCCCCCCTCAGAGCCGGAGGAGCCCGCGGGGACCCCGCGAACTTCCCGCTCTGCCCGCGGGCGCCCCCAGGCCACCGGACGGCGCGGCCGAGGGGCTCCACGTCCCCACCCCCGGGCGAGGGGGCGGGAGGGGGGCGCGGCGTCGCGGGGGACTCACTTGGAGGACCAGCCGCGCCACTTGACCAGGTACTCCAGCTTGCCCTGCGGGGAGAGAAGAGGGGCCGTGAGCCAGACGGACAGCGGGCGGCGGGCGGGGGGCCCGGCGGGCCGCACGCACCTTGCGGAGCCGCTTGCTCAGGATGCACTCGGCGGCGAAGACCTGCTCGCCCACGCTGCTCAGCTCCTCCATGCTGCCCGGCAGCCAGCCCGACCGCGGCGCCCGCCGCCAGTCACCCGCCCGGACCGCCGCGCGCCCCGCCGGCAGCACACAAAGCACCGCCCCCGCCCGGCGCCGGCCCGCCCCGCGCACGCGCACCGCCGCTCCGCGCCCGCGCCCCGGCCCGCCGCCCGCCCCCGCGCGCTGCCCAAATCCCGTGCGGGCCAATCAGCGAGGGGGGGCGGGTGCGGGGCGGGGCGGGGCGCGCATTGTCCGCGGCGGGCTGGGCCTCGCGCTCCGGCGGGGGGTCCCGCGCGGGGCCCCGGGCGGGGGCGGGGGCGGGGGTGGGGGCGCGGGCGGGCCCCTGGCTGGGGGAGGAGGTGCCTAGGGACTTCGGGCCTGGGGCGCCCACCGAGTCCCGCGTGATTCCCGGGGCGCGCCCGCCCTTGCTCCCAACTCCGTTTTCCGGGCAAAAAGCCATTGTTCTGGCCCGAAGGGAGGGAAGCGGGACGGGGCGCGGCGGCTGCTTCCTGCCCCCGCCTTCGAGGGGCGCTGCTCCGGGGCACGCGGGGCCCCACCCTTCCCCCGGCTTCTTGAACTGGCTTTTCCTCGGCAGCGGGGGAGTCGCTCTGTTTTGGACGAGAGCAAAACGGGTCGGGGGCTGGGGAAGGAAAGGAAGACGAAGTCCGGGGGAGGGGCCCACAAACCCCAGCAGCCGAGGCTTTTTCCCCCAAAGGCGAGAGAGGAAAATGCTTTAACTTAAACCACCAAGCACTCTGAGAAAGAAGTAATACGAACTGCCCGGAGTTCTTATTAAACAGCTATGAAAAGTGGATCCAGCCCCCGAGTTTTAGGGCACGTGTAGGGAGAAAACCAGCTGCACCTTTTCTGAATTTGTTCCCCGATTTTGATGAAATGGAGGGGGAGGGGGCGGTTTGCAAGGCTGTTCCTAACTTCGGACTAGGTCAGTAGTGGCCCGCCAGGGCTGGGCAGCCGGCGTCCTTCGGATCAATTGTCCGCGGCAGAAAAGGGTCAGGCCATGTTATGAAAGTGGGGGTGACCCCTTGTCCTCCCTGTGATCGTCGTCAGCAGGCTACCCTTTTATTCCGGTGTTAAGATTCGAATTCCATGAAGAATCACCCTTTAAGTTATTTAGATTTTGAATCAGGACAAGTCAAACACGTAATGAAAGAGACCTGAGCCTTAGCTTCATTCGTCTCAACGCAGTCTAACTCCATGAAAATTCACTCTCTGCTTTTCTTGCTTCCTTGAACACAGCTGCAAAATTCTCTTTCTGTTGAGCAGATCCAAAAGTCGTTTCTTGTTGTAGGAGACTGTCTCAATGTAATTGTGATCATCAAAACCATATTTATAAAGGGTTCTGCAGGAGAAATGTGTTTTTTTGTTTTTACAGAAAGGCCTACTGGAGAAAATACTGAACTGTAGGAACCGATCTTTCAATTTATGGCGTGTTCTTCAGTTTCTTTGGTTAGATAGGTTACATTCATTTGATTTCCTGGAGAGTACGTGCAAATTCAGATGTTGTTTGCAAAGAGGGCAGGAGAAAGGGAAATGTCCTTGGGGGGAAGGTGTTTGTTTACTCAGGGGCAGAGGCAGTAAAGAATCCTTGTGTTGGGATAAAACTGGCCTCTGGAGTGAAGGGATCCGCTAACAGTGTCTCCGCCGGCTCCTTTTGTATCCCTGTCTTGTGCAGCTTGGCAGTAAATTGTGGAGTTGAGGGCAAAGGTGTATTTATTGTAATCCTACAAATAGCTGGATCAGTTTCACATCACGTTTCCTTGCAGAATTCATCTTGGGTCTAAGATTTTGCCCTGGAAGTTTCCAGTTTCCTCTTTGACTCATGGTATGCTGGGATACTTGCTTGATTTCTTTTTAAAGAAAAGAAGGCTTTGAAAAGGGAATGATTTCTTTGCTTAAGAAATAAATTTGCTAGAATTTGATACTAACACATTGAAAAAAATAAATCAGCGTCCAGGAAGGTTTAACATGTACATCATCTACCCAACTGCAAACAGTTTGGGTAAAATAATATTTAGATAATTCATTTGGAGAAACAAATATGACAGATTTGGCCAGAATGAAATAATCAGATACATTCTGTGAACGTGTGATCCAAAATCTGTGGCACGTTCCCTAAAAACAAAGCTGGGAATAGGCAGAAGGGAAGAATAACCCCCAGCTAATCCAACTGTGTAAAACAAGCGGACGTCTTCCGTTTTGACTGTCACATTTTAAGAATTATTAAGACAAGTTAAAACTAATTATTGTATTATTCATTCGACAGATAGTTAGTATGTACTATCATGTGGGCACTACTAGATATCCAGTAGTATAAGACCGTAGCAGCAGCTCCATCTGTGGGTGATGGAAGTGGATGGACAGAGCCTCCCTCCACTGCGTCCAGTGTGGTGGCCGTTAGGCACCTGGGACTGCTGAGCACTGGCAGTGTGGCTAGTGCCACTGAAGGCTCGAATTTTAAATTGTATTTCACTTTAATTCATTTCAGTGGGAGTAGCCACATGTAGCTGGTGGTCACTGTACTGGACACTTTGCAGGTCCACAGGAATGAGAGGGATCTGCTTTAAACATATTTTAAATGAAAGTAATACGGTTACATAAATTAATCCTGGAATATGAATAGTTTACCTACACTCACAGTTATGCTTAATTATATACAAGAATGTTTAAAACACATACAAAAAAGATATTAAAAATCCAGGCACAGAGGAAGACATTCAGGGAGTACAGACTTTGTATAGTACTGATTTCCTTTCTACGCAAGTGATAAGGACAAGTATTAACTTATTCGTGTCTGAAATGCTACTAAGAAAGCATAAGTATTTTCACGCTATGCTTGTGGATCGAAAATTACAGATGCCAAAGCAAAGAATGTCTCACTCTGAAGTCAATGGAAAAGTCAGGAATTGAGATCAATCCAGTGACCCTGGATTTGGCAGCTGTAACTAGGTAACAGTAGTTACTTCTTAACCAAATACTTTCAAACAGCTCTTAGATTTTCTAAAAGCACTGTCTCCCTACTGCCATCAGCGGTGTTGGCTAAAAGGAGGAACCAGACACCACCACCAGCCGGTCTGCATGGGATACACTCAGGATTTAGAATACATCACACATTTACATCACATTTAATATCTCATGTCGTAATTTGCCCCCAGCTCCTCTGCACATTTGCAAGACTAAGGTGTGACTTACAGGCTAGCTGTGTTAATGTCACGCCGTTTCTGTGTATGTAATATGTGAATATTACATATGCGGGACAGACCGTGTTTGTGTATCAGAACTCAAGTAAAAATAAGCACAGTTCAGGCACTTGCAGGATCCCTCAAGCTTTCAGTTTGCCTAAGGACCCCTGGGCACACGATGCACATGTCCGCCCCTGGATTCTGACCCAGGACAAGCCAGAGGCAGCCCAGGGCTCTCAGCGTTTAGAACACTTCTTACAAAGGGCAGCCTGCCCAATCCCTCGCTGTGCACATGAGGCAGGAGAATACAAACTGTATCAGGTACAGGACCGTGGAGCCTGGGCCTGCTGTTTCCCATGTTGGCCTGGGAGGGGCAAATGGGCAGGCTGTTCTGGAAGTGGTGGAGAGCCTGCTCTCAGGAGGCCTTCCAAGGTCAAAGGCTGGAGCAACCCCGTATGTTTCTCGGACTCCACTCACCCTCACCCACCAGGCCACCTAGCTCATTGCAGCACACCTAAAGACAGGCTCAGGCTGGAGGCACCCCCCTTCCCCGCCCCGATCCTGGAGGCAGGGGGTGGTTAAGGAACACAGTTATAGGAGGTGGGAAATGGACAATGAGCTCATTTATGATGACAGTCCCCTTGCAGGAGGTCTCCATTACATGAAGCTTTTATTTTAAAGAGTGTCATTTATTAATTTTGCAATCAGATCGGTCCCTGATTCCAGTTTCTTACTATTAAAACAGTGCAGCAATGACCATCTTTGTCTTCCCATGTGCAAAGTACCAGCGTATCTACAGAATAGCATGCACAGAGCTGTCTTAAAAGGGTATGTCTTCTCTATGGGAGAAAGGAACAAAAGAAGATACATGGCTCTACCTTTCTGAGTTAGCTATTGTCAAACTGCCCTCCGAGGGTCTGCACCAATTCACAGTCACAGCCCGGGTAGATGGGGTTGCCTCTGTCCCCACTTCTCAGTAACTCTAGTAAGTGCAAGTGATCCAGTGATGTCTGAGCAACCTGATGCTCAGCTGGTCCGGCAGTTCCGCGCGCATGCCACCTCGGCTTTTTCCAGGACCTTTCCCGGGTGCAGAATTTTTACAGTGCAAAACGGTTTTATGAGCGTAATTTTCCAGTGTGAAATGCAGTATTTTCACAATTTAAAAAATAACAGGCCAGGTGCAGTGACTTACGCCTGTCATCCCAGCACTTTGGGAGGCCGAGGCAGGTGGATCACAAGGTTGGGAGTTCAAGACCAGCCTGGCTAAGATGGTGAAACCCGATCTCTACTAAAAATACAAAAATTAGCCGGGAGTGGTGGCGCGTGCCTGTAATCCCAGCTACTCGGGAGGCTGAAGCAGAGAATTGCTTGAACCCAGGAGGCGGAGGTTGCAGTGAGACGAGATGGCACCACTGCACTCCAGTCTGGGCGACAGAGCGAGACTCCATCTCAAAAAGCAAAACAAAGCAAAACAAAACAAAAAAAACCAAACCAAACAAACAAAACCATACACTTTCAAAGGTCTAAAATCTAGGAGTGAAACCCTTACTTACAAACAAATAGTTCAGGGATTCTAAGTGATGAGAACAAGCGCACAGTTCCTGAGTGTGTTAACCGTTGTTCCTCTCTCCTGCTGGTGGCCTCAGCATCCTCTATAAATCCTTTGGGAACAACCCGTGGGTTTAAAGATTGGAGAACTGCATTGCAAGATCCCCTCTAAATCGAATGCTTGTTCTATTTCACTCCCTTCCTCAGATGAGTTACTTCTTGTTTGAAAGAACCCAAACACAGAAATGTTGTTTGATGTACACACAAAAGAGAGAGAGATCCTGTTGCTTTTTGGTGGGAAAGTGTAAAGATCTGTCCAAGAAATTCCTATTAAAAAAAAAAAAGACCCTTTCTCTCACTGTTGTTGGCAAAACTCTCAGTAATAGAAGAACTGCAATTGGAGTCAGGGAAGTTTAGAAGAAGGGACTGGGAAATCCTGTTTTATAGGTGAGAAGAGGGCAGCCCAGAGCGTGTCCAGGTTCCCCAGGTGAGTGAGGGTCTGAGGCTGGGCTCCCACCGGGGCAGGGCGGCACCTCACCAGTCAGGCTGTGCCTCCTCCACCACCATCCACCTTGGTGGCTGTCAACTCAGCCAGGAGAGTGGGGTACGCCCAGGTGATGAAATAAAAACGTTCAGGAGGGCTGGGTGCAGTGGCTCACGCCTGTAATCCCGGCACTTTGGGAGGCCGAGGCAGGTGGATCATGAGGTCGGGAGTTCAAGACCAGCCTGGCCAGGATGGTGAAACCCCATCTCTACTAAAAAATACAAAAACTAGCTGGTGTGGTGGCGGGTGCCTGTTATCCCAGATACTCAGGAGGCTGAGGCAGAGAATTGTTTGAACCGGGAGGCGGAGGTTGCAGTGAGCCGAGATCATGTCACTGCACCCCAGCCTGGGCGACAGAGCGAGACTCTGTCTCAGAAAAAAATAAATAAACAACAACAATAAAAAAGGTTCAGGAGGATATATACTGAAAAGCCTTCCTCCTTCCCTGTCCCCAGCAACCTAGTTCCCCACTCTGCAGGCAGCAAACGCTGTCTCCTCCAGAGGTGTGCCTGTCCTAGCAAGGGGCCTCAGAACATTTCTCATAGCTGCCCTCCTGCTCGTTTCTTTCTATCACAGGCACGGTGGCACGCCACCACAGGCTGCACTGTGCCGGGCCTTTTTTTTTTTTTTGAGCAGGGTTTTCACTCTTGTCGCCCAGGCTGGAGTGCAATGGCGCGATCTCGGCTAATTGCAACCTCCGCCTTCTGGGTTCAAGCGATTCTCCTGCTTCAACCTCCCGAATAGCTCAGATTACAGGCATGCACCGCCACACCCGGCTAATTTTGTATTTTTAGTAGAGACAGGGTTTCTCCATGTTGCTCAGCCTGGCCTCGAACTCCCGACCTCAGGTGATCCACCTGTCTCCGCCTCCCAAAGTGCTGGGATTATAGGTGTGAGCCACCACACCCAGCCATGCCAGGCCTTTTTTCTTAGCAGTATGGCCAGAAGGTCACTCTCCATCCAATGGAGAGCCTTGCTTTCTTTGCTGAACCTCTCCGCGGTATTCTGGGGTGGGATGCTGCATAGTTTATTGTTTATTTACCAGACCATGGCTGATAGATGGTGAGTTGTTTCCAGTGTTTAGCTTCTGCTGCCGTGAGTAGCATTTATTAAAAAAAAAAAGTTTCTCTATAGAAATGCTGTATTGCCCAGGCTGGAGTGCCGTGGCACGATCTTTGCTCACTGCAACCTCCACCTCCCAGGTTCCAGTGATTCTTCTGCCTCAGCCTCCCGAATATCTGGGATTACAGGCACGCGCCACCATGCCTGGCTAATTTTTATATTTTTTAGTACAGACGGGGTCTTGCCATGTTGGCCAGGCTGGTCCCGAACTCCTGAGCTCAGATGATCCACCCGCCTTGGCCTCTCAAAGTGCTGGGATTACAGGCGTGAGTCACTGCACCCAGCCATGATGCTAATTTTTTTTTTTTTTTGGAGACAGGATCTTGCTCTGTTGCCCAGGTTGGAGTGCAGTAGTGTGATCATAGCTCACCACAGCCTTGACCTCCTGGACTCATGTGATCCTCTTGCCTCAGTCTCCAAGGTAGCTGGGGTTACAAGAGGTGTGCCACGAGACCTGGCTACTATTTTTATTTTTATAGAAATTGGGGGTCTTACTGTGTTGCCCAGGCTGGTCTTGAACTCCCGGGCTCAAGAGATCCTCCTGCCTTCACCTCCCAGAGGGCTGGGGTTGCAGGTGTGAGCCACTGTGCACCGAAATGATGTTAATTTAACTCACAAGGCACAGAAGCGTTTTTGGCAGCCTCAGCTCCTATGGCCTGGCGTGTCCTCGCTGGACTCTGTGTATTTGGAAAGAATGGGCTCCTGATGCTGGCAGGGATGGCTACTGTCTTTTGAGGCACGTTTATAGGATATTCCTCCTTGAAGCTGAAACCTTGTACTTTCCATGTCCCTGCTGCATCAGCAGGAAAGGCTGCCACTGACCTCACATTCATATTTCTTTTTTTTTTATTATTATTATTATACTTTAAGTTTTAGGGTACATGTGCACAATGTGCAGGTTAGTTACATATGTATACATGTGCCATGCTGGTGTGCTGCACCCATTAACTCGTCATTTAGCATTAGGTATATCTCCTAAAGCTATCCCTCCCCATATTTCTTTTTCTTTTCTTTTTTTTTTTTTTTTTTTGAGATGGAGTCTAGCTCGGTCGCCCAGGCTGGAGTGCAGTGGTGCTAGCTCAGCTCACTGCAACCTCTGCCTCCTGGGTTCAAGTGATTCTCCTGCCTCAGCCTCCCGAGTAGCTGGGATTACAAGCGTACACCACCACGCCCAGCTAATTTTTATATTTTTAGTAATGGAGTTTCACCACGTTGGCCAGGCTGCTCTCAAACTCCTGACCTCAAGTGATCCTCCCACCTCGGCCTCCCAAAGTGCTGGGACTACAGGCATGAGCCACTGTGCCCGGCCTCACATTCATATTTCTTTGGGTTCAGTACAAGTTGCATCCTGCGGTCACTGCCTTTAGAGGCCCCTGTCCTGTGTGAATGCTGCTTATGGGGACATGTGCCCCCCAGGATGGCGAATCTCAGCCCTCTGAAGCAGGGGAAGTAAGACAAAGTAGTGAGATTGCATCCAGAGAGGAACGGGCGAGGGGAATTCAGGATTGAGGCGTGGTCATGAGTCCTTCTCACACTGCTCCTGGCAGCGCTATGAGAGGTGGTGGCACAGGACATTTGTAGGATGCCCTGGAGGAGAAGGGCGGGCAGGAACTGGGCCAGCAACGATGACAAAGCACAGTCTCCAGCCACAGGAAAGCAAAGGGAATGACAAAAGTACTAGCAGAACCCCCAGCCCAACCTAGACCACGGGGTGCTCCAGAGAAACAGCCAATAGATAGAAATATCAGCATTCAAAGAGATTTACTGAAGGCACTGGCTGATGTGATGGTGGGGTCTGGTGAGGCGAGTCCCAAACTGCAGAGCAAGCCTTCCTCAGAGGCAGCCGGGGCGACTCAGACAGGAGCTGGCGCTGCGGTCCACAGGCGGAGTTGCTTCTTTTCAATGAATTGATCAGACCCACCCAGATTATTCGGGGTAAGCTCCTTCACCTCAAGTCACAGCAGCGACTGGATTTGCGTTTGCCTGAGTACCTGGGGGCTGTGGCCTAGCCGGGGAGAACACCTTAGCCTGACGGATCATCCTTGGGCTCAGCTCCTCAGTGCTCCTGCTGGTCATGCCGGCGTCACTCACATGGCTTCGGCTTGGCTGGGGCTGGATGGCCTGGGATGGCCTTTCTTGCGTGGCTGGTGCTTGGTGCTGGTTGTTGGCGGGGCTGTCTGTCTGCAGCAGGCCAGCGTGGATCCTTTCTTCGGTGGTTCCAATGGAAGCTGGGGTCCCATGTTTGCTGACGTCCCAGGGGCCACAGCAAGTTGCATGGAAGCCATGTGAGGTAAACTCCAACCTCTTGACCAGAGGAGTAGCAAATGAGTGACCATACAGGATCTGGAAGAATTTGTGGCCACTTTGGGGGTCATTTGTACCCTCTCCAGAGGGCAAGATCAGAAAACAGTTTAGCAGCCACTGAGCCTAGCACTGCTTGGATTGTGTTAAATGAGTGGAAGATTCTTAATTTCCTAGACTTGCAGGATGGGGCACTGGCTATTCCCGTCGTGTATTTCCTCCGGCTGCCACAACAAAGTTCCATGCCCTGGGAGCCCTTCTAGGGGCTCCCAGAAGTTAATTTTCTCACAGTTCTGGAGGCTGGAAGTTTTAGATCAAGATGTGGGCAGGGTTGGTTTCTTCTCTCCTTGGCTGTAGACGGTGTCTTCTCCCTGCGTCCTCATAGGGTTGTCCCTCTGTGCACATCTGTGTCCTCATCTTATCTCTTCTTTTTTTTTTTTTTTTTTTTGAGATGGAGTCTCGCTTTGTCACCCAGGCTGGAGTGCAGTGGTGCGATCTCCGCTCACTGCAAGCTTTGCCTGCCGGGTTCACACCATTCTCCTGCCTCAGCCTCCCAAGTAGCTGGGGCTAGAGGCGCCCGCCACCATGCCCGGCTAATTTTTTTTGTATGTTTTTAGTAGAGATGGGGTTTCACTGTGTTAGCTAGGATGGTCTCGATCTCCTGATCTTATGATCCACCTGCCTCGGCCTCCCAAAGTGCTGGGATTACAGGCGTGAGCCATCACGCCCGGCCATCCTCTTCTTTTTTTTAAGACAGAGTCTTGCTTGGTTGCCCGGGCTGGAGTGCAGTGGTGCGATCTTGGCTCACTGCAAACTCCACCTCCCGGGTTCAAGTGATTCTCCTGCCTCAGCCTCCCGAGCAGCTGGGATTACAGGCATGCGCCACTACACCCGTAAAGACAGGGTTTAACCATATTGGCCAGGATGGTCTCGATCTCCTGACCTCAGGTGATCCACCCGCTTTGGCCTCCCAAAGTGCTGGGATTACAAGTGCGAGCCACCACGTCCGGCCCTCATCTCCACTTCTCATAAGGAAACCCGTCCTGTTGGGTTAGGGCCACCACAATGGCCTTATTTTAATTTAATTACCTTGTTAAAGTTCCTCTCTCCAAATGCAGTCACTTTCTGAGCTGCTGGGAGTTAGGGCCTCAACATATGGATTTGCGGGGGACACAGTCTGTCCCATAGCACTTGATCCGTCCCCACCTCCTCCCTGCTTTGTGCTGCGCTACATGGCTTACATTTGTTGGTGCCCACTGTGTGCCAGGCCCTGTGCTGAGTCCGTGTGTATGACTCCATGGAACCATTTTTCCTTCCCTGTAGCCACAAGAGATCCTTAAATCACCTCTGAGGACCATCATCAGGCAAACCAGCCCTTAGAATATTGATATGGCGTGGCCAAATCTCATCTTGAATTGTAGCTCCCATAATCTCCACGTGCCGTGGGAGGGACCCGGTGGGAGGTAATTGAATCATGGGGGTGGGGTTTTCCCATTCTGTTCTTGTGATCATGAATAAATCTCACGGGATTTGACGTTTTTATAAAGGGGAGTTCCCCTACACACACGCTCTGCCTGCTGCCATGTAAGACGTGACTTTGCTCCTCCTTCACCTTCCACCGTGATTGTGAGGCCTCCCCAGCTAGGTGGAACTGTGAGTTCATTAAACCTCTCTCCTTTATAAATTACCCTGTCTCAGGTATCTCTTCATAGCAGTATGAAAATGGACTAATATGGCTGGGCGCGGTGGCTCATGCCTGTAATCCCAGCACTTTGGGAGGCTGAGGCGGGCGGATCACGAGGTCAGGAGATCAAGACCATCCTGGCTAACACGGTGAAACTCTGTCTCTACTAAAAATACAAAAAATTAGCCAGGTGTGGTGGCGGGCACCTGTAGTCCCAGCTACTCGGGAGGCTGAGGCAGGAGAATGGCGTGAACCTGGGAGGCGGAGCTTGCAGTGAGCTGAGATCGCGCCACTGCACTCCAGCCTGGGTGACAGAGCGAGATTCTGTCTCAAAAAAAAAAAAAAAAGATATCAGTTCCCCCTAAATTGATCTAAAGATTGAACACAATCCTAATCAAAATCTCAGCATCTAAAAGGCAAGAAAGTAATGGATAAGTGAATTATAAAATATACAGGGAAATGCAAAGAACCTGGAATTACCCAAACAATCTCGAAAAAGAACTGGGTTGGAGGACTCACATGACCTTATTTCAAGACTTAACTATAAAATTACATAGTCAGTGCACTGTGACTTGGTGTAGAATAGACAAATACTATTCATGGAACAGCAAAGAAAGTCCAGAAATGGGCCCACAGGCATACATGGTTATTTTATTTCTGACAAAAGAAAATCATCGGGGACAGAAGACTTTTCAACACATGATGTTGGACAGCTGTGTCATCCATACACATAAAAATAAAAGACCCATGGCCCCAATTCACATGACACCTGGAAATTAATGTGAGTTGGCTCAGACCTAAACACAAAAGTGAAGATAATAAAGTTTCTAGAAGTAAATACGGGTTGAAATGGGAGAATTGCTTGAAGCCAGGGGTTTGAAACCAGCCTAGACAATAAAAAGTTTTTTTTAAAAAGCTAGCTGGTTGTGGGTCAGGCATGGTGGCTCACACCTGTAATCCCAGCACTTTGGGAGGCTGAGGCAGGCAGATCACTTGAGGTCAGGAGTTCTAGACCAGCCTGGCCAACATGGTGAAACCCCGTCTCTACCAAAAATATAAAAGATTAGCTGGATATAGTGGTGCGTGCCTGTAATCTCAGCTACTCGGGAGGCTGAGGCAGGAGAATCACTTGAACCCCGGAGGTGAAAATTGCAGTGAGCTGAGATCATGCCACTGCACTCCAGCCTGGGTGACAGAGTGAGACTCCGTCTCAAAACAAAAACAAAAGTTAGCTGGCTGGGGTGGTGCAACCAGCTGTAGTAGTACCTGCTACTTGGTAGGCTAAGGCAGGAAGATGCTTGAGCCCAGGAGTCTAGGAGTTTGAGGCTGCAGTGAGCCACGATTGCACTACTTACTGCATTCCAGCCTGGACGACTGAGCAAGACCCTGTCCCTAAAATATAAAAATAAAATAAAATAAAATAAATGGCCAGGTACTGTGGCTGATGCCTGTAATCCCAGCACTTTGTGGGGATGAGGTAGGCAGATCACTTGAGGCCAGGAGTTTGAGACCAGCCTGGCCAACATGGTGAAAGGCCATCTCTACTAAAAATACAAAAATTAGCAGGGCGTGGTGGTGCATGCCTGTAATCCCAGCTACTTGAGGGGCTGAGGCTCAAGAATTGCTCAGACCCGGGAGGCAGAGGTTGCAGTGAGCCGAGAATGTGCTGCTGCACTCCAGCCTGGGCGACAGAGCAAGGCTGTCTCAAAAAAAAAAAAAAAATTAAATTAAAAAATAAAAAAGCAGTAAATACAAAAGAATACCTGCAACTTTTAGGCTGGCAAAGGTCTGTTGGTTTCTAAAAAGCAAGAGTTATTTTCAAAAAATGGACAAATTAGACTTTGTCAGATTTTAAAACTTGCACTCATCAAATGATACCGTTACAAGAACATGAGCCAGGAAGCCTCAGACTGGGAGAAAATACTTGTAATACAAAGAACTTGTATGTAGAATATACAAAGGACTCTTACAAATTAAAAAAAAAAAAAACGACACAGAATTCCATGTTTTTTCTTTTTCTTTTTTTTTTTTAAGTGGGCAAAAGACTTCAGGTAGTTCACCAAAGATAATATCTTTTTTTATTTTTAATTTATTTTTTACTTTTTGAGACAGAGTTTCGCTCTGTTGCCCAGGCTAGAGTGCAATGGTGTGATCTCAGCTCATTGCAACCTCTGCCTTGTGAGTTCAAGTGATTCTCCTGCCTCAGCCTACCCAGTAGTTGGGATTACAGGCGCCTGCCTCCATGCCCAGCTAATTTTTGGGTTTGTTTTTTTTTTCTTCTGAGACAGAATCTCGCTCTGTCGCCCAGGCTGGAGTGCAGTGGTGTGATCTCGGCTCACTGCAACCTCCGCCTCCCGGATTCATGCCATTCTTCTGCCTCAGCCTCTCCAGTAGCTTGGGACTACAGGCACCCGCCACCACACCCAGCTAATTTTTTGTATTTTTAGTAGAGACTGGGTTTCACTGTGTTAGCCAGGATGGTCTCCATCTCCTGACCTTGTGATCCGCTCACCTTGGCCTCCCAAAGTGCGCTGGGATTACAGGCGTGAGCTACTGAGCCTGGCCCTCCCTGTCTCTTAATAACAGCAACAAAAAAAGTAAAAAGTAAAACATTCCATAGATAATACACGAAAATTTAGATAGAATAAAGATCACCCAGAAAAAAGGCGATATTAATATCTTATATAATTGTTCTTTTTGCATTTTTACATAGGCGATATATGTATACAATCTTTATAATTTCTTCCATCGGCATCAGCACACTAGGAGCATGTCCTCATATAAGTATACTTCCTTGTAAACATAATTTTTCCTGCTTGTGCAATTGTCATTGGATACTCGTCATGACTGAGCATTTATGTGCCAAGGACTGGGACAGCCACTTTACAAAGATGATATCATTTACTCTTTGCCTTCCATTGGTAAGCAGGTAAAATTATTAAATAATAATTTTAGAAATGAAGTCCTTTTGTTTTTGAGACAGAGTGTGGCTGTCACCCAGGCTGGAGTGCAGTGGCACAATCTTGGCTCACTGCAACCTCTCTCCCTCAAGGCTTAAGCAAGGCAGTCCTCCCACCTCAGCCTTCCTAGTAGCTGGGACTACAGGCGTGTGCCACCATGCCCAGCTAATTTTTTGTATATATATATATATATTTTTTTTTTATAGAGACAGGGTTTCTCCATGTTTCCCAGCTGGTCTCAAACTCCTGGGCTCAACCAATCCTCCCGTGTTGGCCTCCCAAAGTGTTGGGATTCTGGACAGGAGCCCCTGCGCCTGGCCTAGCAATGAAGTCTTAAGGAGATTAAATCACCTGCTGTATTAGTTTCCTGTTGCTGCTGGAACAAATGACCATAAAGTTAGTGACTTAAAACAATCCAAGGCTGGATGCGGTGGCTCACGCCTGTAATCCCAGTACTTTAGGAGGCCGAGGCAGGTGGATCACGAGATCAGGAGTTTGAGACCAGCCTGACCAACATGGTGAAACCCTGTCTCCACTAAAAATACAAAAATTAGCCAGGTGTGGTGGTGCGCACCTGTAGTCCCAGCTGCTCAGGAAGCTGAGGCAGGAGAATCGCTTGAATCGGGAGGCAGAGGTTGCAGTGAGCCGAGATTGTGCCACTGTACTCTAGCCTGGGTGACAGAGCAAGACTCAGTCTCAAAAAAAAAAAAAAAAAAAAAAAAAAAAGAAAGCAAGACAAATGTATTTTCTCACACTTTTAGAGGTCAGAAGTCTGACCCAGGTCTCATGAGGATGAAGCCGAGGTGCTGACCGAGTTGGTTCTCTCTGGAGGCTCCAAGGGACATCTGTTTCCCTGCCTTTCCCAGTTCTTTAAGGAGGTCCACATTGCTTCGCTCGTGGCGGCCCCTTCTTTCACCTTCAGAGCCAGCAATCATGTTCCGTTGATCTCTGCTCTGACCCTGAAGCTCCTGCCTCCCTCGCATAAGGCCCCCGTGGTTCCATGGGGCCCAGTGTTGTAGGTGCCACCTTGCTTTCCCCAGAGGCCGGCTACTGCCATCACCAGCAGCAGTGGGTGTCGGTGGCACAGTATTCATTGGGGAATTCTACTGCACATTTTTGTCTTAGAGAAGGAATAAGAAAAAAGTGATTCCAGCCCACAGTGAGACTGAGTGCTGGGGGTCGGCGCTCAGGCTCAGGGTTGAGGGGGAGCTGTACTGCCCCCCGGTGCAATCTGGCCCATAGATATCCTTGGCTCCGCTTGCACTGTCTGTTTGGAATATAATCCACGAACATAAAGCTCACCATTTTACAGTGTAAAATTCAATGATTTTTAGTATCTTCATAAGCTTGTGCAACCATTGTCACAATCCATTTTAGAACATTTCCACCATCCCCAAAAGAAACTCCCATACTTTCTCTCCCTTCCCCCTGTTCCTCGCAACCCTCAATCTGCTTTCTGTCTCGGCAGATTCGCCTGTTCTGGACATTTCATATAAACGGAATCTCATGTGGCCTTTTTAAAATTTTTTATTTTTATTTTGTGTAGAGATGAGATCTCCCTATGTAGGCCAGGCTGGTCTCAAATTGCTGAGCTCAAGAGATCTTCCCACCTTGGCCTCCCAAAGTGCTGGGATTCCCGGCCCTGAGCCACTGTGGCCAGCCAGTATGTGGCCTGTGGTGACTGGCCTTTTGCACTGAGCACGATGTTTTCCGTGTGCACATAGGCAGTGGCCTGCATCGGTACTTCAGCTTTTTTATGGCTGAATACAAAATCCACCTGCCTCGGCCTCCCAAAGTGCTGGGATTATAGGCGTGAGCCACCACGCCTGTATTGCATGTGGACACGTTGCGTGTATCCATTCATCTTCCAGTGGACAACTGATGTTGTTTCCACTTTTGAGCTCAGTTCTTATGAATAATGCTGCTAGGAGCACTTGTGTGCGAGTTTTTGTTGGTGTATACCCAGGAGTGGGATTGCTGGTGCCTATGGGAATTCTATGCTTTTTAGGAACTCCCAAACCATCTCCACCGTTTTCTCTTCTCACCAGCACTGCACGAGGGGCCCAATTGCTCCACATCCTCGACAACATTTGCGATTTTCTGCTTTTTTGATTCTAGCCACCCTAGTCGGTGTGAAGCAGCATCTCATGGTGGTTTTGATTTGCATTTCCCTAATCGGCACGTGTGCTTTCTTATTGGAACTGAAATGTAAGAAACGGGATGTTTTACCTAAAAGTTCAGATTTCTGTTATCTCTTGAAAAATGTGAATAAGACTGATCTCCCCGCATGGGCACTGGCCTGCTTCCTCGTTTTCCTACTTCTGTCTGTCATTCTGAATGTTGGGGCCCACCTGACCCTGGCCTCCCAGCGGATGCCCCACGTGGAGTGCAATGGGGTTGGCCAGGCACTGCCTGCTGTTGCCAACTCGGTCCCTTTGGGAGCCGTGCACTGCCATCTGTGCCACCGGTTTCTCTCTTATGGGTCCCTGGAGGGTGGGGACGTGAGTCCAAGAGGAGGTGCGAGTCTTGTCTGCGAAAACCTGCCCAGAGCCAGGGCTTTTCTGCTGGGCATCCTCGGAGCCTCTGGGGAGAGGCCAGGCCAGCGGCTGGCAGCAAGCAATGGAAATGGGGTGAACAAGTGCTTGGGGGTGGGGACGAGGCCAGAGCTTCCAGAGGCTGGCACTCTGGATTTAGATTCAGAATTTGCCGTTGAGTTGGGAGGGGTTGGAGTAGAAGATTCCACGTGGGAAAACTATCAGGACAAAGAGAACTCCAGAGGGAGTGGAGCCTGGCAGGGACCGGTGCTTGGTTGGCAGCTGTGTGACAACGTTATTACATTGCTATATATCAAAGGACTTGTTGCCTTGTAGACATACATTAAGTTGTTTTTTTTTTTTTTTTTTGAGATGGAGTCTTGCTCTGTCACCCAGGATGGAGTGCAGTGGCACGATCTCGGCTCACTGCAACCTCCGCCTCCCAGGTTCAAGCAATTCTCCTGCCTCAGCCTCCCGAGTAGCTGGGATTACAGGCGTGTGCCACCACGCCTGGTTAATTTTTGTATTTTTAGTAGAGACGGGGTTTCACCGTGTTGCCCAGGCTGGTCTTGAATTCCTGAGCTCAGGCAATCCCACTCACCTTGGCCTCCCATAGTGCTAGGATTACAGGTGTGAGCCACTGTGCCCAGTCAATATTTTTTTTTAAGAGATGGAGTCTTGCTCTGTCACCCAGGTTGCAGTGCAGTGGCGATCATAGTTCCCTGCAACCTCAAAGTCCTGGGCTCAAGTGATCTTCCTGCCTCAGTTTCCCTAGTAGCTGGGACTACAGGCTTTTTGTTTGTTTTTGTTTTGTTTTGTTTTTGAGACAGGGTCTCGCTCTGTCACTCAGGCTGCAGTGCAGTGGCGCAATCTCAGTGCACTGCAACCTCCGCCTACAGGTTCAAGTGATTGATTCTCCTGCCTCAGCCTCCTGAGTAGGGATTACAGACACATACCACCACGCTTGGCTAACTTTTGTATTTATTTTTTTAGTAGAGACAGAGTTTCACCATGTTGGCCAGGCTGGTCTCGAATTCCTGACCTCAAGTGATCTGCCCGCCTTGGCCTCCCAAAGTGCTGGGATTATAGGCGTGAGCCACCGTGCCTGGCCTACAGGCTAATTATTATTATTATTATTATTATTAATTATTATTTTGGTAGACACAGGGTGTCACTATGTTGCCCAGGCCTGTCTTGAACCTCTGGCCTAGAGCCATTCTCCCACCTGGGCCTCCCAAGTGGTTGGGATTATAGGCGTGAGCCACTGCGCCTGGCCAATGACCACGTAATTTTTCTACCACACTGTCACCCCTCTCCTGTCCTGTCTGTCCCTCTGGTGTCCAGGTTTCTGTAGAGCCTGGGGGCTCTGTCTGGGTTGGCCATGGATGTTTGGAGAGTGAGAATGGAGAGAGGAGCTCTCGGCTTTCTCAGCTGCCTTGGGTGGGGACAAGCCTGCCCACATCTCGGCTTCCCCTTCTTTGAAAAGGAGGAGATGCTCCTGGCCTGGCCCTCCAAGGGTTATGTCGGCGGGCTGGCCTCCAGCTGAAACGTGCGACTGGATAACAAAGTGCCAGGTGGTCCTCACCTTTCTGGTGCTTGTTCTCAAGTCCGGAGACACTGGTGGTTTCACTTAAGGAAGAAAAACCACCACCTCTGGACAGCAGCAGGGGCCCAGGAGCGCCCTGGGAATAGAGTGGGGCCGGCCTGGCGGAGGTTACCTGCTGGAGTGAGTGTCTCTTCTGCTTTCCTGTTTCTCCCTGGATCAAAGCAGCGGAGCCACGACCATCTGACCAACAAGACCCAAAGTCCACCCGAACAAAGGTGCATGCCAGCACTTTACCCACCACATCCAGGCCACGTGGGTTATCCACACTGCTGCCTGGGGGGCTGAGGTGTCCGCCCCGGAGCACAGCTGTGGGTGCCCTGTTGTCTCCAGCCCCTTGGGCACTGACTTGGCAGCTATGAGGTCAACAGCTGGAAAGACGGTTGCGTTTTGTGCTGACACAGCTGGGTCTCTTCAAGGCTTGCCTGAACTTGCCCTCTGCCCTCGGTCGCCCCACTGTAGTCGTGGCAGGAAACCTCCCCTGACTACTGGAAGCTGCCCAGGGCTCCCCAGAGCCCCTTTCTCCCGTCTTTGTCAATGCAAAGCTGTGTGAACCCAGACGCAGTTACAGCCAGGACAAGGCCTGCTCCTGGACAAGGCCTTCAGCCAGGCAAGCAGGAGTTCCTTTTGAGCTCACCATTTCTCAAGTGCAAGCATTTAGAAATGTCTTCAGCCCTGACTGGGTGTGGTGGCTCATGCCTGTAATCCCAGCACTTTGGGAGGCTGAGGTGGGTGGATCACCTAAGGTCAGGAGTTCAAGACCAACCTGGCCAACATGGTGAAACCCCGTCTCTACTAAAAATACAAAAATTAGCTGGACGTGGTGGCACGCACCTGTAATCCCAGCTACTCGGGAGGCTGAGTCAGGAGAATCGCTTGAACCCTGGAGGCGGAGGTTGCAGCGAGCTGAGATTACGTCATTGTACCCCAGCCTGGGCAACAAGAGCGAGACTCCATCTTAAAAAAAAAAAAAGAAAGAAAGAAATGTCTCCAGCCCTGAAGCTGGTGGCCAAGTGCCAGGAAGGGGGTGGTGAGACTGAGAGGTATGGGCTGGGGAGGGGTGTGGAGTCCTCCTCAGGCCCAAGTGAGAAGGACCAGTTTGCCTGGGGGGAGGAGATTCACCATTCCCGGATCTGGTCTTGTGTCTTCCTTCTATACTGTGTTTTCCATGTGTATAAAAGTAATATATGCTCTTGGTAAAATATTCATATTTTATGTTTTAAACATTTATGTATATTTAAATATATTTTATATATTGTTTTCTCTCTAAGATATACAGTGTCATGATAAAAATATATTTATAGCCTGTCTTTTTAATTTTTAAAAATATATTGTGTTTTCCCTATATATAAATGTAACATATGCTCATGGTTAAAAAAAGTTTACAAAATTGAGATATAACTTACATATAGTAAAGAGTACAGCTCTTAAAGAAATAGCTCAATATATCTTTTCCTTCCTTCCTTCCTTCCTTCCTTGCCTCCCTCCCTCCCTCCCTCCCTCACTCCTTCCCTCTTTCCCTCTCTCCCTCTCTCCCTCTCTCCCTCTCTCTTTCTTTGTCAGAGTTTTGCTCTGTTGCCCAGGCTGGATTGCAGTGGTGCAGTCATACCTCACTGCAACCTCTACCTCCCAGGTTCAAGCGATTCTCTGACCTCAGCCTCCTGTGTAGCTGGAACTACAGGCATGCGCCACCACATCTAATTTTTCCTTTTTCATTTTTGTAGAGATGGGCTTCACTTTGTTGCCCAGGCTGGTCTCCAACTCCTGGCCTCTGGCGATCCTCCTGCCTCAGCCTCCCAAAGTGCTGGGATGACAGGCATGAGCCCTCACACCTGCCCTAACATTTTGATGGATGAAGCCAAATTGCCCTTCCAGAAGCTTCTGCTTGTGCCCAGGCACATTGACATGAGGTGAGAGGCCTGTTATTTCCATTTCTTATCAGCAGTAGCTTTTATCAAGCTTTAAAAGATGCCACAAGATGAAAACTACAACTCCATTTGATTTATTTTCTTTCATTACGATTGAGGCTGACATCTTGGCTATTTGCATACTTCTTTTGAGAATTGTCTGAATATATTATCCAAATCATTTATCCATTGTATTAGGTTACTCATCTTTTTCTGTTGTATTTGTAAGCATTCGTTGTATATTAAAGGCGCTAAGACCAGGTATTTGGAAGGCTTGAGAAGGAAATAATTTTTTTTGTGTTTTGAGACAGCGTTTCACTCTGTTGCCCAGGCTGGAGTGCAGTGGCATGATCACGGCTCACTGCAGCTTCCCACTTCCAGGTTTAAGCGATCCTCCCACTTGTAGTTTGAGTCTCTGGGACTGCAGATGTGTGCCACCACACATGGCTAATTTTTGTATTTTTTGTAGAGACGGAGTCTTGCTATGTTGCCTAGGCTGATCTCAAACTCTTGGGCTCAAACAATTCACCTGCCTTGGCCTCCCAAAGTGTTGGAATTGCAAGTGTGAGCCACTGCGCCCGGCTGGAAATCTTTTTTTTTTTTTTTGAGATGTAGTCTCCCGCTGCCACCAAGGCTGGAATGCAGTGGCTTGATCTTGGCTCATTGCCACCTCTGCCTCCTGGGCTCAAGTGTTCCTCCCACCTCAGCCTCCCCAGTAGCTGAGACTACAGGTGGGTGCCACCGCACCTGGCTGATTTTTGTATTTTTTTTTTTAGTAGAGACAGGGTTTCACTATGTTGGCCAGGCTGGTCTCGAACTCCTGACCTCAAGTGATCTGCCTGCCTCAGCCTCCCAAAATGCTGGGATTACAGGCATGAGCCACCTTGCCCAGCCTGGAAATCATTTTATACCTACAGCAAAACGTCGGTGATTCTACTGTCCATGTGAAAACTCAACTATCAACCAAGCTGTTCTTTTGCTCCAATATCTCAATCATGCAATCACCAACTTAGATGTTCCAATTTAGTTTTAGTAAATGCTTTAGAAAAAAGTAAACCTGGAATGGGAAGGCACCATCATTTCTCTGCCTTGTGCCTGTAACCTCCTTCACTATTTACCACCCCTCTTTAGGGCCTCGAATCCTGCCTGAGCTCCATGAAGGCTGCAGTGACTTGAGTTGGCGTGAGTGGAAACCTCTGCCTCCACAGTGAAATGTCACTGACTACTGGAAATTAGGCGAATGCATTAGTGCACAGCAGAGGTGGCACGGGGAGCGGTCAATGTGTGTCAGTCTCCCCTGGCGGACGGTGGCGAGCTGAGATGAGGTTGTGTCTGCCTTTGGGAGGTGGGGGAGAGCTTGGCCGATGAAGAGGGGTGGGGGTGGCGTGGTACGGGAGCTTGGTTGAGTAGAAGGAATGGGTGAGGGGGAGGTGGACCAGGAGGATTCCTGATACAATATAAAGACCCAGCTACTGGAGCAGGGGCGCATTTGCTGACCGTGCTAATGTTGGTTCCTACCCATGTTTGTTGACCCCAAAGTTTACTTGGTGACAATATCGAGGCCAGCTGAGGACTAAAGAGAAAGGTGGTTGGTGACGGGGCTCCCAGGATGGGGCCTGGGGGATGATGGGGAACAGCTTCTATCCTTCCCTTCTCCAATGTGTTTGATGTCCTTATTCTAGGCTGGGCTGGCCTGATATTGGGCATCAGTGGCAGCTCTTTGAGCACTTTGCGTTTGGGGCTGAGGCTCTCGAGAACATTTTCTTGGGAACTTTTACTGTTCTTTCTCCTGCATGGAGAGGCTTTCCCCATCTGCTTCCAGGTGGCTTTGCAATTGAAACTCAACAACGCTGAAGCCCTTCTTCCACACAACCATGCTGCGGCCTCTCCGTTGCCTTTCCACATCCCTCCAATTAAGCCTTTGGCTTCATTTATGCCTCAACATCCTCCTTCTAGTTCCACTGTGAAATGTTATGAGATAATCCAAGGGAAATATTTTCACTTCGAGATCACCACAGGTTGCACCCTGAATCTCTGGGTTTGGTGTGGCTGAGCAGATGGGATGAAGTGCCCTGGGCACACCTAGCCTGTTCACCCCTTGGCGAACATGGTGAAACCCCCATCTCTACTAAAAATACAAAAATTAGCTGGGCGTGGTGGCACGCGCCTGTAGTCCCAGCTACTCAGGAGGCTGAGGCAGGAGAATCGCTTGAACCCGGGAGGCGGAGGTTGCAGTGAACCGAGATGGTGTCACTGCACTCCAGCCTGGGCAACGAGAGCAAAACTGTCTCAAAAAAAACAAAAACAAAAACAGGGTCATCGGGCCACCCTGGGCTGGTCGACACATGAGGATAGGCGGCTTCCTCACCAGCCTCTCATTCCTGCCACAGATCCCAGCACTCTCTAGGGTCACTCAGCACTGAGACCAGAGGTTGACCACTGTTTGTAACTGTGTTTATGCTGTTGCTTTTCTTATAGTTAAGAAGAAAGCAAACTATTTCCACTACCTGTGTCTCTATCAAAAGTGAAAAATAAAAGCAGGTGGAGGGTCTCTGGGTTTCAGGGAAAGGGCTTTCCTTCATACCGAGCAGCACACAGGAAGGCGTGGGCCAAAATCACTGGTGTCCCGGCTGGGCGCGGTGGCTCACGCTTGTCATCCCAGCACTTTGGGAGGCCGAGATGGATGAATCACCTGAGGTCAGGAGTTTGAGACCAGCCTGGCCAACATGGTGAAACCCCATCTCTACTAAAAATACAAAAATTAGTCAGGCGTGGTGGCGGGCACCTGTAACACCAGCTACTCAGGAGGCTGAGGCAGAAGAATCGCTTGAACCCGGGAGGTGGAGGTTGCAGTGAGCCGAGATGGCGCCACTGCACTCCAGCCTGCACCACAAGCGTGAAACTCTGTCTCAAAAAAACAAAAACAAAAACATGAAACAAAATCACTGGCGTCCACAGCAGCTGGGAGAGGCAAGGACGGGACCTCTGCAGAGCCTGCAGAGTGAGCACGGCCTCTCTGGATTGGACTTCTGGCCTCCACACCTGCGAGGGAACACACCTGGGTGGCTCAACGCCCTCAGTCTGTGGTGCTTTCTCAGAGCAGCCGCAGGAAACCAATCCAGCGGGTCGCCTGATCATCAACATGGACGAGAGGGAAGCAAGGACCTGTCGCCTCAGGACACTGTCAACACTTAACTGTGGTTTGAATGTTTGTGTCCCTCCAAAATTCACGTTGAAACTTAATCCCCAGTGCAACAGTACTGAGGAGTGAGAAGGCCGTAATGGCTCTGCCCTCCGGGGAGGGATTAGAGCCTCATATATTATATTATTTTATTTTGAGATGAGATTTGTATTATTTATTTATTTATTTTTTTGAGACAGAGTCTCACTCTTGTCGCCCAGGCTGGAGTGCAGTGGCGTGATCTTGGCTCACAGCAACCTCCACCTGCTGGGTTCAAGCAATTCTCCTGCCTCAGCCTCTCAAGTAGCTGGGATTACAGGTCCTGCCACCACGCCCGGCTAACTTTTTTGTACTTTTAGTAGAGACGGGGGTTTCACCATGTTGTCCAGACTGGTCTCGAACTCTTGACCTCGAGTGATCCACCCACCTTGGCCTCCCAAAGTGCTGGGAGGCGTGAGCCACCACGCGTGGCCTTGAGATGGGATTTTGCTGTGTTGCCCAAGCTGGTGTTCAATGGCACAATCTTGGCTCACTGCAACCTCCACCTCCTGGGTTCAAGTGATCCTCCCTCCTCAGCCTCCCGAGTAGCTGGGACCACAGGTGTACACCACCACACCTGGTTAATTTTTAAATTTTTTGTAGAGACAGGTTTTAGCCATGTTGCCCAGGCTGGTGTTGAGTTCCTGAGTTCAAGTGATCTGTCTGCCTCAGCCTCCCAAAGTGCTGGGATTACGGGCATAAGCCCCCGTGCCTGGCAGGATTAGAGCCTTATTATAAAAGGGCTTCCCTTCCTCCATGTGAGGACACAGCATTTTACCCCTCTGGAGGATGTGGCAACGAGGTGCCATCTGGGAAGCGGAGATCCTTGACCTTGGACTTCCCAGCTTCAGAACTGTGAGAAATAAATCTCTATTACTTATAAATCACGCAGTCTGCGGTGTTTTGTGACAGCAGCAGGAACAGATGAAAACAACACAAAATACGTAACGCTTTTGTCTTGTGTTCACAATTGCCTTTGGGTCACTGTAGCAGGACGGGGCCCCACTCAGCCTACGGAATAGCAGAGGGCCTTGCCCACTCTACAGTGCAAATACCACGTGGAGCTCCTCAGCTGAACAAAGAGAAAACTCGGCACAGAGGGAGTGAATGATTTGCCCCAGGTCTCGTGTATGATCAATGGCAAAGCTGGACGTGAAAACCAATAACGAAAAAGAAAGAGTAAGCCCTGGGTGATGATGATTAATGGGTCTCATTCTGGGTGGGCGGTGGCAGGGCCCCAGCCTCAAGTATTGCCTTCAAAAACAATCATTAGATCCAAATAGCATCTGATTGTTGTTGGAACTTTTGGTTCTTTAGAAAGGATGAACATCTTTTCCTATGCTTTACTGGCCATTTGAATTTCTTTGCAGAATTGACTGTCTCAGTTTCATATGAGAGGAGCAAACCTCTTTTGAAAACGATATAAATGGAAAACATTAATTCTTTTTCTATTCATTATTATTTTTTGAGACAGGCTGGAGTGCAGTGGTGCCATCATGGCTCACAGCAGCCTTGAACTCCCAGGCTCAAGCAATTCTCCCACCTCAGCTTCCCAAGTAGCTGGGACCACAGGTGCGCACCATCACGCCTGGCTAATTAAAAAAATTTTTTTGTAGAGATGTGGTTTCTCTACATTGTCTAGGCTGGTCTTGAACTCCTGGACTCAAGTGACCCTCCCTACTTGGCCTCCCAAAGTGCTGGGATTACAGGTGTGAGCCACTGCACTCCGCCAAAACCATTTCCATTAATTCTTTTTTTTTTTTTTTTTTTGAGAGAAAGTCTCCCTCTGTCACCCAGGCTGGAGTGCAGTGGCACCATCTCACCTGACTGCAACCTCCACCTTCCAGGTTCAAACGTTTCTCGTGCCTCAGTGTCCCGAGTAGCTGGAATTACAGCCACCCGCCACTATGCCTGGCTACTTTTTTTGTATTTTTAGTTGAGATGGGGTTTTGTCATGTTGGTCAGGTTGGTCTCAAACTCCTGGACTCAAGCGATCCTCCCCCCTCAGCCTCCCAAAGGTCTAGGATTATAGGTGTGAGCCACTGCGCCCAGCCAAAACCATTCATTCTTTATCAAAGTCCGAAGAACAACCATGTTAAGAACCAAATGAACAAGAGGCAACCTTGTGACAGCTGCAGCATTTTGGGGGTGAGCTCTCCTGTGGGCATGTGCAGCTTGAAAGACATGACCCATCCTGGACAGACACACCCGGGGCTAAACAGTTACAAATTTCAGGGAGCCGCCCCTAAGCTGTGTGTGTAGCTAACGTTTTCTTTTCTTTTTCTTTTTCTTTCTTTCTTTTTTTTTTTTTTTTTTTGAGGCAGACTCTTGCTCGATTGCCCAGGCTGGAGTGCGGTGGCGTGATCTCGGCTCACTGAAAGCTCCGCCTCCCGGGTTCAAGCAATTCTCCCACCTCAGCCTCCTGAGTAGCTGGGACTACAGGCGCCTGCCACCACGCCCGGCTAATTTCTGTATTTTTAGTAGAGACAGGGTTTCACCGTATTGGTCAGGCTGGTCTCGAACTCCTGACCTCAGATGATGCACCCACCTCGGCCTCTCAAAGTGCTGGGATTACAGGTGTGAGCCACCGCACCCGGCCTGGTAACATTTTCATTTACAACACTGGACTCGCAGAGGGGTTTCTCCGCAGGTTGGTTTGTTGAAAAGGTTGGTTCTTGCCTTTTGCTCTCCAGAATGTGTTTCTCCCGAGAGCTGGTGATTAAAAAACCCACTTCCGGCCGGGCGCGGTGGCTCACGCCTGTAATCCCAGCACTTTGGGAGGCCGAGGCGGGCGGATCACGAGGTCAGGAGATCGAGACCACGGTGAAACCCCGTCTCTACTAAAAATACAAAAAAATCAGCCGGGCGTGGTGGTGGGCGCCTGTAGTCCCAGCTTCTGGGGAGGCTGAGGCAGGAGAATGGCGTGAACCCGGGAGGCGGAGCTTGCAGTGAGCTGAGATAGTGCCACTGCAGTCTAGCCTGGGCGACAGAGCGAGACTCCATCTCAAAAAAAAAAAAAAAACCACCCACTTCCCTGATTAATTCCAGAATTGGAAATACATTCAACCTGTGTATTTTATTAAAAGGGACAGCTGGGGAGGTGTTTGTTAAGGTGTGCTCTGCTTCCCACACCAAAAGCAATCTGATGACGTTTGAATCGGATGACGGAGAGTCATTTTCCATGTCGAGTCACCAGTGTCGATTCACAAAGTTTGGTTGACGGCCCACAGCTGGGGCCCAGAAAAACCCGAAGGGGAAGTTTGCTGGGGCTCTCTGCGGTGCCCTTGGCCACCTTCTCCGTGCTTCTCCGACCAAGGAGTCCGGGCTCCTGCCGGGCTCTGGTGGGAGCTGATGGATCTCAGGTGAGGACAAGTCAGGCTCGCTTCACCCAGCCCTTCCCTCTGAGTCTCCCAACAGAAGCTTTTATTAACCACCCCAAAGATGGGACAGCTCTGTGGAAGCCACTGGGCAAACCCTGTCTGAAACATGGTCATTATCTGCCTTCCACTATTTTTTTTTTTTTTAAGATGTGGCCCCAGAATCTGTTTTCTTTTAGTTGTGGTAAGACACACATAACAGGGCCAGGCACAGTAGCTCATGCCTGTAATCCCAGCACTTTGAGAGGCTGAGACTGGCAGATCACCTGAGGTCAGGAGTTTGAGACCAGACTAGCCAACATGGTGAAACCCCGTCTCTACTAAAAATACAAAGGTTAGCTGGGCGTGGTGGTGTGAGCCTGTAATCCCAACTACTAGGGAGGCTGAGGCAGGAGAATCACTTGAACCCAGGAGGTGAAGGTTGCAGTGAGCTGAGATTGCGCCACTGCACTGCAGCCTGGGAGACAGAGGGAGGCTCTGTCTCAAAAAAAAAAAATGCACATAACATTTACTATTTTAGCCATTTAACAGTGGCACTTAGTCCATTTACAATGTTATACAGCCATCACCACCATCTAGCTCCAAAGCGTCTTTATTATACCAAAAAGAAATCCATTAGGCAGTCACTTCCCACCCTCCTCCCCCAGCCCCTGGCCACCTCCCATCTCCTTTTTGTCTATGGAGTTACCTATTCTGGATATTTCCTATAAGTGGAATCGTGTAATATGTGGCCTTTTATGTCTGAATTCTTTCACTGAGCATGTTTTTCACGGTCCATTCATATTAAAGTATGTATCAGTACTTCATTCCTTTTTTTTTTTGAGACAGCGTGTCGCTCTGTCACCCAGGTTGGAGTGCAGTGGTGCAATCATAGTTTACTGCAGCCTTGACCTCCGGGGCTCAAGAGATCCTCCCACCTCAGCCTCCCAAGTAGCTGGAACTATAGTTGTGCACAACCACACCTGGCTAATTGTTTTTTCTGCTTGTAGAAACGGGGTCTTGCTATGTTTCCCAGGTTGGTCTTGAACTCCTGGGCTCAATCAATCTTCCCACCTGTGCCTTTCAAAGTGCTGGGATTACAGGCATAAGCCACCATGCCCGGCTAAGTACTTTGTTCCTTTTCATGGCCAAATAGTATTCCATTATATAGATAGACCACATTTTGTTTGTCCATTCATCTTTGATGGACATTTGTTTTGTTTCTACCTTTTGGTGAGTGTGAATGATGCTGCTTGTTACATCTGTGTGCAAGTTTTTGTTTGAACACCTGCTGTCAAGTATTTTGGGTGTATACCCATGAGTGTAATTGCTGAGTCATATGTTTACACAGGAAATTTTAAATTTAAATTATGACTCAAATATTGATATTTCCAGATATGGTTTAATTCTAAAAGAGTTTACTTGATGAGCATTTTAAAAGACATTGGTTACTATTTTTAAAAGTTTGAGACTGGGCGCGGTTACTGTTTTTAAAAGTTTGAGACTGGGCGCGGTGGCTCACTCATGCCTGTCATCCCAGCACTTTGGGAGGCCGAGGTGGGTGGATCATCTGAGGTCAGGAGTTCAAGACCAGCCTGATAGTGAAACCCCGTCTCTACTAAAAATACAAAAATTAGCCAGGCATGATGGTGTGTGCCTGTAGTTCCAGCTACTCAGGAGGCTGAGGCAGGAGAATCGCTTGAACCTGGGAGGTGGAAGTTGCAGTGAGCCAAGATCATGCCACTGCACTCCGGCCTGGGCAACAAGAGCGAAACTCCATCTCAAAAAAAAAAAGTTTGAATAAATTATTCAAATAATTTCAATAATTCAATAAATTATTCCATGTGTAACTTACTGAGGAATTGTCAGAATTCGCATGGAAGCTGCATCGTCTTACACTCCAGCCTGCCATCTCTGAGGGCTGCAACATTTCTACCTCCTTACCAACACTTGTTATTTTCTTTTTTTTAAAAAAAATAAAAAGTTCTAGCCATCCTAGGGGGTGTGCTGTGGCATTAATTTACTTTTCTCTAACGATGGGTGGTGGGGGTGTCATCTTTCCTGGGCTGTTGGGCGTTTGCACCGCCTCCCTTGCTTGTTATCAGCTGTGGACAGTGGACAGGTCACTCTCCTCCCCTAAACCTCAGTTTCTTCTTCTGTCCAAAAAGGAACTGGCCTAGGGTCATGGCCTCCAAGTGTCTTCACCCACATGGCCTGGAAAATAATTTAAAAAAATAATAGCCCTTGACACCTTTTAAGATTGACAGCTACCATTTTTCCACCATGAAGTTTACATGGTTGCAAAGTATGTGATTTCCAGTGTACTGTAAATTTTGGCATTTAAAAAAATAAAACTGCTGTTCTCTCTATAGAAGCCAAAGCTGACATTTTATCCTGCTTCCAATATCATTGAAGAAGTCACAGTTCTTCAGTTGAAACCAAAAATCACAGAGTCCCCAAATTATAAAACCTTAACTACTTCCTGTGGACCTGGACTCTACAATAACAAGAATTTTAGCTGTGACTTTTGCTTTTCCAAGCCGGTGTCCTAGCTTTTAGGATTAGCATAATCACGTGAGGAAGCTGCCGCTAACCACCAGAGACAGAGGAATGTACATTTACTAACCTTGATTCTCTTGGGAATTTTTTTTCCCTTTAAATACTTGTTGGATTTTTGTATTTGGTGAGTCAGTCCTTCTGAAGTCTGGCTCCTTTGCAAGAAAGCTTTTTTTTTCTAAGTGCAATCTGCCTCCAGTTTTCCTTGGGCAATCCTTTTAAGTGTATCCAATGAAATAGAAATAAGGTAGCAATGTGACCCAATAAAAGGGCAGGTTCTTTTTGATCCTTTTCTTCTTTACCTCTGGGTTCTGTTTCATTTCTTCTCCAAAACCTTATTGTAATAAAAAATATTTTTATGTTTGAAAGTAATTCACTGCTCACCCAAGCATATGTCTGCAACAAGAACAGGCACATCAGTTATTCAAACTTTAAAAAATATTAACCTATGTCTCAAAAATGCTCATCAAAGTAAATTCTTTTAGAATTAGACCAGGTCTAGAAATATCAATATTTGAACCATAATTTAGATTTAAAATATTTTATTTCCTGTGACTCTAAGGCTCTCAGTATTTAAAAAATTTATTCTGGATTGAATATTAAATTGAATTGTTAAATTGATCAAACCAGCATAAATATATTAAAATTGCAGTATATGTTTATTATATACATAAAAGTTAAATTTTTGTTGGACTGCATCTCTTAATGAGATGGGTGGGATTGTATTTTTTCCCAATGGTTCAGATGTCATTGGATAAATATTATTTCTTATCTGGGACAGAGCCCAGAATCAATTCCAAACCTGTTTTTATTTTGATGGGCTTGGACCGTGAGAAAACTCATTTACGTAAATTGATCCGTGGTGATGGACAGTTCTCTTAGGGTTATGTCTCTCCACTGTTTGAACCTCTTCAGACATTGAAGCCAAAAGTCACACAGTGATCTGTCACCAAAACCAAAGCCAAAAACACAGCCTGATTGGGTTCTCCAGGCGCCAGGAGAGACTGGGGCCTTCGGGGATCGCTTTCCCGGCTCCGCGGGTGCGCGAGGGGCCCGGGTCCCTGCCCCGCCCCAGAGGTGCCCCATCCCTCCTCCAACCCCACAGGATGGAAGGGCGATCTCTTCCAGGGCGCGGTCCGGGCTAGGCACGGAGGCATCCCGGGGATGGGGGTCCCGAGGCCCAGTCCCTCCCTCGCCCTTGCGGGACCGCACCGCCGGCGGCCCAGGCGCGGGCACCCCTGACCTGGGCGGGTTGCGCGTTGGCTGCGCCGCGCCCTGGGATGCGGTACTCAGGCGCTCCGGGCGGCGGGGGGCGCGCAAGGCCCGGCGAGGGGCGGAGGGCCCGGGGGACTGCGCTGACCGTTCCTTCGCGGGGTGCGGGGCTGGAGCCCACCGCGCTCCCGGAGGCCGTCGGGCACCCAGGGTGCCCCGCAGGGCCCGGCCGCGGAGAGGGCAAAGACGTGGCAGCCGGCGAGGGGGAGGGGGCGGCACTAGCCTGCTGCGCGTGCGCCGACCCGGGTGCGACCCCCGCCGCCCGCCCTACCCGCTACGGCCCACCCCGAGGGCCTGTTCCCATCGCTTGTTCACCCGCGTCGGGGTCCCGAGTGGGTGTGTGGGGTGCGTGTGTTATGTGGCGTGTACAGGGCTGCAGCGTGTGCAGTGTGGGTGAAGGGTGTTGTTCGGGCGCGTGTGGGGTGTGTGGCTGCTTGTGGCATGAGGTGGTGCACACGGTGCCAGGTGTGTGCAGTGTGTGCGTGTGTGTTGTGTTGTGTGTCTGTGTCTGGGTGGGGGGATGGGGTGGCAAGCGCATGAGTGTGCCTGTGAGTGTGCCGGTGTGCAGCGTGCGTGGATGCCCGTCGCACATGTGCAGTGTGTGTGGCGCGTGTGCGGGATGCCGGTGTCCCGGTCCCGCCTGAGCCCCAGCTCTCGGCTTCTTGGACTGCGGTGGTGGCGGCGGTGGCGCCGGATCCGAGGAGCGCAGCGCCGCGCGTCACCATGGCAACAGATGCTCCTGCAGCCCCCGCGCCGCTGCGGTGGGGAGGGGGCCCTGCGCACCTCAGAAGGCGGGCGTGGGGGAGGGGAGGCTGCTCGTCCCAAAGAAGCCCGCGGAGGAACTGGGCTGCCCCAGCACGCACCCCTGGGAATCCTCCCTCGCCTTGACATCCCTCCTGGTGGGGCGCCGGGGCAGGGGTCGGGACGCGGTGCCCTCCTCGGTCCCTGCTGCTTGCCCGGGGAACCCGGGGACCTCACTCGGGTCCTCTGCCGGCCTGGAGCTGGGGACAGAGTAATTCCTGCTGTTTCTTTCCCCTGAGAGTCCCCCGCGCCAGGTGTTTGCAGCTCCTAGGTCGGAAGCCTCAGGCGTGGTTATTGGCTCTTAGGATCGGCTTGTGGGAGATGAACCCGCCCATACTAAAGATGGGGAGCCCAGGCCTTAAGGAGCCCAGGACGGCATCGCGAACAGACTTGTCGGTTACATGAACCTACAGGTTCTCCTGTTCCGACCCGGGACACAAGAAAAGGCTTATGGTGAACCAAGGAAGTCCCTGCCTTTGACAGAGGCCGGACGTCAGTGCAGAGGAGAGAATCTGGGCCCGTGCTCCCTGCATTCTGGAAAGAAAGGGCTTGTTTGCATAAGCAAGCAGCGCCTCTCTGGGAAGGAGCTGGCCAGGCCCCACTGGGATTGAGCCTGGAGGTGCCTGTGCTCCCCTCCCTCCTCTGCCCAGTTCCTGGCCCAGGGGTGGTGCTGCCTTTTCATCCGTTTAACCTGAGGAGGATGGGCAGGACCAGCTTTCACTCCCTCATGCATTCATTTATCCATAACCTTTATCAGGTGCAGCGATTCTGGAGTGTCTGGCCCAGGCCAGCAGCAGCGGAATCACGCAGGCTCTGGTCAGAAATGCAGAGTCTCAGGCCCACCCTAGACCTTCAGGTTAAGGAGTGTGGGAGTGGATGTGCCTGTGCCCCCCGCGCCCCAGATCTCACAAGGTGATTCTGAGGCTTGCTCAGATTTGGAAATCACTGATCCACGGTGGTCTTTGTGCTAGGGATGGGACTATTGATCCCTTCCCTCAGGGGATCCCTTCCCTCAGGGGATCCCTCCCCACCTCCCCGGAAAAACCTGGCCCTGAGGGTTCCAGTTCTCCTCTCTGAACTACCAGGGCTCACTTGGGGGTCCATCTAAGACTTCAGCAAACAAGTATCCTTGATCACTATCTCAAGGCTGGGTCTGAGCAGGACTGAAGCTTTTTCAGAGAAGAATGAGGAGGAGGAGGAGAGGGAGGAGGTGGAGGAACAGAAGGGAGTTCTCAATTCTCACTGCTTCAAAAGGTGCCTGAGGAAGTGAGGAAGGCTTCCAGGAGTGTTGAGGGGCCCAAGAGCGCCGCCTCCTGGTGACAGTATACAGAGCTGACTCCACTGGGGAGGGGCTGCCTAACCAAGCTGGCTTTCACTTTTCTTTTCTTTTCTTTTCTGTTTTTTTTTTTTTTTTTTTTTTTTTTTTTTTTTTTTTTTTTTTTTTAGACAGAGTTTTGCTCTTGTCACCCAGGCTGGAGTGCAGTGGCGCGATCTTGGCTCACTGCAACCTCCGCCTCCCAGGTTCAAGTGATTCTCCTGCTGTAGCCTCCCGAGTAGCTGGCATTACAGGCACCCACAACCACGCCCAGCTAATGTTTGTATTTTTAGTAGAGATGAGGTTTCATCACGTTGGCCAGGCTGATCTCAAACTCCTGACCTCTGGTGATCCCTCTTTCACCATGTTGGCCAGGCTGGTCTTGAACTCCTGACCTCTGGTGATCCACCTGCTTCGGCCTCCCAAAGTGCTGGGATTGCAGGAGTGAGCCACCATGCCTGTCCCCAAGCCTGCTTTCTGTGTCCCAGTGGTATGACCTGCCTTGCAAGAACCACCCCAGTCAGTACCTGGATGTTTTGTGTGTTACTGCTAGCACCTGGACTGGCTAAATTCAGAGAAAGATCTGGGTTGACAGGTTTGTGTGGATGATGTGTCTGTGTGACTCGTCCCCAGTCAGCTCCAAGTGGCTCCAATATGCAGTGCACGGCTTTGTGTCACCTGTGGTTTTCTTCCGAGTCTGTTTCAGTTGGGCCGATGGTAAAATGAGCTTTGCATAGTCAATTGCAAGGTCGGTGTTGAGCAGTTCTGAACTTGGTCATCTGATAGCCCGGGAAACACCGTGCATTAGGCAGGGAAAACTGGGGGGAATCTTTGGATGCTGTCCATGGGAGGCCAGTGCTACTCTCCAGAAACTTCTTGGGCTGGCCACATGGTTGGTGGGCAGAGGAGGCAGGCCAGAGCCTGATGACCCCCAGCAGGTTTGCCGTTGGCCAACCTCTTGTATATAGTTTGTCATGTCCCCCAGCCACCTTCATTATTACTTAGTCAACATTTCTCTTTGAATCAGCTCATTCTTTGTTACTTAATATGATTTTTTCTTGAGACAGTGTCTTGCTCTGTTGCCCAGGCTGGAGTGCAGTGGTACGATCTCGGCTGACTGCAACCTCTCATGCTCAAGCGATCCTCTCACCTCAGCCTCCTGAGTAGCTGGGACTACAGGCATGCACCACCACACTTGGCTAATTTTAAAACTTTTTGTAGAGACAAGGTCTCATTATATTGCCCAGGCTGGTCTTGAACTCCTGGGCTCAAGCGATCCTCCTGCCTCAGCCTCTCACCGTGCTGGGATTGCAGGCATGTGCCTTTGTGCCCGGCTAATTTAATTTTTTAAAAGACTCTTTTGGCTGGGTGCAGTAGCTTACTGCCTGTAATCCCAGCACTTTGGGAGGCCAAAGTGGGTGGATCACTTGAGGTCAGGATTTGGAGACCAGCGTGAAACCCCATGTCTACTAAAAATACAGATATTAGCTGGGCATGCTGATAATTACAGGTGGCAGGCACCTGTAGTCCTAGCTACTTGGGAGGCTAAGGCAGGAGGATCACCTGAGCCTGGAAAGTGGAGATTGCAGTGAGCTGAGATCACGCCACTGCACTTCAGCCTGAGTGACAGAGTAAGACTGTCTCAAAGAAAAAAAAAAAAAAGACTTTTTTAAGGACCATGAAGAGATCCCTTAAATTAGGCCAGGCATGGTGGCTCATGCCTGTAATCCCAGCACTTTGGGAGGCCGAGGTGGGCGGATCACCTGAGGTCAGGAGTTTGAGACAAGCCTGGCCAACATGCTGAAACTCTGTCTCTACTAAAGATACAAACATTAGCTGGGCATGGTGGCACATGACACGCCTGCAATCCCAGCTACTCGGGAGGCTGAGGCAGGAGAATTGCTTGAACCCAGGAGGCGGAGGTTGCAGTGAGCCAAGATTGCACCATTGCACTCCAGCCTGGGCAACAAGAGTGAAACTGTCTCAAAAAAAAAATCGCTTAAATTAATTTTAAAAAGGAAAAAGAAAAAAAACAGATGTCAATGAAAAATGAGTAGCACTAACCAAAAATTGAAGGTGATTATAAAAACAAACACAAGGCAAATCAAGCTGTGGCAACCGTCCATCCTATGCTGTTGCTTGGCTGCTGGAGCTCTGAGCCTGGTGCCTCTCTTCATGTCACAGAAGACACCTGTTAGGGGTGGGATTATGGACCAGAGACGTTCTGCTAGAGAAGCAAGAAGGCTTGGAGGTGAGTCTATAAGAGTGAATGACTTTCTCACAATTTGATACAAGGTAATTGCTGCCCTGTCTCTTCCTAACACCCAGGTCTTCCATGTAGCAGGCCCTGTTCGCAGCTGTTTGTGAATATTAACTCATGTTATCACTGAGACCACCCTATGAGACAGGTCCTGCCACTGGTCCTGGATTTACAGAGGAGGACAGGCCCAGAGAGGTTAGCAACTTGCCCAGGGCCACAGAGCAGGTGTTGGAGAGGGGGAGCTGGATTTGAACTGGGACTGTGCTGCTCAAGGTGGCACCCCTCACATTTGACACCTAGGGCTGCACAGATAGGAAAATCAGCCCCCCATGCGTGCAGCCAGGCCTCAGCCCCCATGCTCCTGACACCGGAAGCTCCATCAGCGAGTGCTCGGCCAGCCACCAGGACTCTCTTGGTGATGCCTTTGTTACACCAGACATCTGGAGCAATGGAATACTGAATGTGAGACAGACTTGGTTATTTTCCTGTCTCTCTTCTTTCTTTCTCCTCTCTGTTTCTTTTCTTCTTCTGTGGATGAGGCAATTCTCACAGCTCTGGTTGGCCCAGTCCCTGCAACGCTGATGAACAGGGCTGAGCAAATGTGGTGGTGGTGGTGGGGGGCTCAGAGGAAGGCAGGGCTTCTCTTGGAGACTGGGCAGTGGCAGTGCCGGCACTGTGAGCGCTCACCACTCCGAGGACGTGGATGTGGACTCTACCTGGTCTCCTCTGGCCAGGTGGGGCAGGCTGAGGTGGGCTGAGACTGGAATTGGGCCTGTCCAGGGAGGGTCCCCCCCTCCCCTCCCCAGCCCAGCCACAGAGCCAGAGCTTGTGCAGGTGGGTGGCTGGCCTGGGTGTCATGGGGTGTGGCTGCAGGCACTGGCATGGGGACCGGGGCAGTCCTTCCAGGAAGAACAATTGGATTGTGGGGCAGGGGGCCCACAGGCCAGGCCAAAGTCCAGGCTCTTCAGGCTGAGGCAGGACTTCAGCCCCAGGCAGCCAATCAGGCTGCTGCAGAGAGCAGGCTGGAATGGGCCCTGGAGACTCCATGGAGCTGAAGCAGGAGACCCGGGGTGGGGGCTAGGGGCTGCGGGCTTTGGAGGCAGGGAAATAGGCAGATCTGACAAACTCAGACTTCAAAGACTGTGTCTCCTGGTGTCCCAGCTGGTTTACTATGCAGGGTGGCACTGACAAACCCAGCACCTCCCAGGGCAGGATTTTAATCCTCCCAGGGGCTGCCATCCTTGAGCACCTGCTTGGGGCCAGCCTCTGTGCCAGCCTCCCCGCAATGTGTCCACCTTACTCTCAGGTACCCCAGGGAGGCAGGCATGGTCCTCATTATCCCACTTTTTCAGATGAGGAAACTGAGGCTGGGGAGGGTCAACTGCTTTGCCAATGCCACAGCATCTGGGTGGGGGGCCAGGGCTGGAACATGAGTTTATCTGACTCCAAAGCCTATGCTCTTAATGCACAGGAGAATAGGTGTGGAAGGGTCCCTCGGCTCCTGGCCACGGCCACCCCAGTCCTGTGTCAGAGCCAATCCACGCGACTTTCTTTGCGGTGTTTCCGCCTGGTTTAACGTGATTTCTTGCTGAGCACCGTGGCTTATAGATGCTGCTTCCCTATCGTTCACAAAAAGCCTCCTCATGCCTTCCCCCCTTCCTTTTAGGAAACTCACCCCTTTTCCAGGACTGGCCAGCCGTCCAACCAGGGCCCACCCCTAACGAGAATGGAGGGGTCCCTGGGGCTTGTGAAGCCTGGCAAGGAGTTAGAAATTTATCCCACGCTGGGGTCAATGGTGGGACCGTCGGGAAACCGGCAGGCTTTAGGGAAAAGTCTCCCCCGTGCTGACTGTCGCGGCTTGGCCTTTATTCCCATGGGTGCTTTGTGCCGGGGCGGGCCCCTCCCAGCTGACCGAGGCCGGGTCTGCAGGTTCCAGCGCCCGCAGAGCTCCCGCGCGCCCCCGCGTGGCTGCAGACGGCAGCGCCGCTTCGGGAGCGGGTTTTGCAGGAGGAGGGGGCCCGAAGGGGAGGAGCAGGAGCAGGGGCAGGGGCAGGGGGCCGGTTATGGGACCGGCTCGCCGGGGGCTCTGGACCTGGGCTGCGAGGCTTATTACCAGCACCATAACAGCCAAGCAGGGGTTGGCGCTGCCGGGGACAGTGGCATGCAGCCTCTGGCCTGGGATAAGCTGGGGAGGCAGGGTCCGTCCGCGACCAGCAGAGCATCGCAGCGAGACAGCCGGCCCAGGGCCTGCGGGCAGCTCCCGGCGGCTTCCTGGAAGAGCAAGCAGCACGCGTTGGTCTGGGAGGAGAGGATGGGGCAGGCTGAGGGCAGGTCTGGTGGGACAGGTGAAGCAGCGGTGCGGCTGGACTGGGAGGGAGGGGTCGTGGGAAACAGGATGGTGGGCTGGGGGAGGGGGGGCGGCAGGCAGTGGAAGGGGGCGGCCCTACCAGGCTGCGCTGAGAAGGGCCTGTGTAGGGATTCCTGGGAGGGCACAGGTGCGGGGCAGGTGTGGACATGGGGGTGGCGTGCTGATGTCAGGCTTCAGACCCTTCTCCCAGGGCTGGGAGGGGAGGGGTGGGCACTGTCCCAGGCCTGGCTGGCAGTGTGCGGATCCCAGGAGGCAGAAGAGCTTCCCCTAGTCTTCTGCCCGCTTTTCTGGCTGGGGAAGGAGGACTCTGTAAAGTCAGGGCAAGGACTGCGTCCGTTCCACAATGTGCCTTTAACTGGCCACATGTACTTTCAACACTAGCTTCAGAGGAAAGAAATGGGCCCAAGGGACTGGGCCCAGTGGCTCATGCCTGTAATCCCAGCTTTTTGGGAGGCCAAGGCTGGAGGATCGCTTGAGGCCAGGAGTTTGAGACCAGCCTGGGCAACATAGCTTGCTTTTCTTTTTTTAAATTAAAAATTAAAAAATTAGTTGGGCATGGTGGTGCACACCTGTAGTCTCAGCTACTCAGGAGGCTGAGATGGGAGGATTGCTTGAGCCCAGGAGGTCGAGGCTGCAGTGAGCTGTGATTGCACCACTGCACTCCAGCCTGGGCAACACAGTGAGAATCTGTGTAAAAAAGAAAAGAAAAGAAAAGAAAAGAAGCTAGCCACAGAAGACAGCCTAGTTCCAAATGGACTTTACCAGGCTGTGATGAAAACTTCGGACCCCCCAGCTCTTAGCAACCTGCTCAGCCCAGCAGATGCTGCTTGTGAAAGATGATTCTGCGGGCTTCTTCCCTACTTTGTGTTCGGTGACCTCACGTTGGTAGCTTGAAATGGGCCATGGTGGGAGTATTCACGCCGCAGAAATGGGTAAGGGCCAACAGCAGGGCTTTTTGAGGGGGATCTGGAGAGCAGGTTTGCTGGGACGCCACCGTGGCTGCTCCTCTGGGGAAAAGCCGTGTGAGAATATGCAGAGTCACATGATCTTTGATTTTCTGTGCTTCAATTTCCTTGTGTGTGAGTCTGAATAATGACTTTTTCTGAGTCCCTCTCTTGGTTAATGTGGAGAACAAATGGTTGTGGACTCTAGCGCCATGGAAACCTTATCACTTCCCTGCCTAGTGCTGGAAGACTTGCTTCAGGACCCAAGCCCCTGAGCACAGAGAGGCAGGCGTTGTGGCTGAAAGTACTCGGGACCAGGACCTTAAAACTGGCATTTACACACCACCAGCCACTCTTTGGTGCCCTTGGACCAGTCAGCTAACGCCTCTGGGTTCCAGCATCCTCGTCTGCCTGAGGGGTTCGGGCTGAAGGGTCCTCTGGTCCCCTTCCGGATGTGACATTTGGCATGAATGGTCCTCCCCACCACACACATCTCCACATTCCTACTTCTCTAAACCCTAAACCCGCTCCTTTCTCTTTCATTGATTTATTTTGTAGAGACAAGGTCTCACTCTTGCCCATGGTGGAGTGCAGTGGCAGGAACAAGGCTCACTGCAGCCTCCACCTCCCGGGCTCCAGCGATCCTCCCACCTCAGTCTCCCTGCCAGTAGCTGGGATTACAGGCACGCACCACCATGCCCAGCTAATTAAAAAAAAATTTCCTACAGAGACGGGGTCTAACTATATTGCCAAGGCTGGTCTTGAACTCCTGGGCTCAAGCGATCCTCCTGCGTCGGCCTCTGGAAGTACTGGGGTTCCAGGCGGAAGCCACCGCACCTGGCCTCATTCCCCTCTTGACCCATGACAAGCTCTTGGCTTTTCCTGTCTCACCAGCCCCGCCTTCTCAGTGAGTGGTGTGGTCACCATCTCTTCTCAGTCCACTCCTTCTGGCTGGGGGCTTTCATTGAGTCCCATAGCTTGTGTTGACAAGTCTCAAATTTAAATTGCCAGACTAAACTGCATCCCTGGCTGTGGACTCATCTGCACAACCTGTGCCCAGGAACAGCTGCACGTGGCCGCGTCGCCGGCATTGAGGCTGATCACGGCCGAAACAAGTCTCGGCCCCCCCGACTCCTGTCCCCAACAGTTTAGCATGTCAGCAAGTGGCTCAGGACCCAAGCATTGGACCCATCTTTCATTTTTGCATTTTCTTCACCCTCCCACATAATCTGTCCACAAACCTCGAATGTCGTGCCTCTTAAAGGTATTTGGAATCTGTGCACATTGCAGCTTCTCCACCCCGCCACTGGAATGTCCGGCTGGGTCCTGCAGCCACCTCCAAACTGGCCACTTCCTGCTCCCGTTTCTGTCCCCGGCCCAGCAGTGGGAGCCACTCATTTAATCATCAACCTCAGACCCTGTGTAACCTCAGCTTGGGGCTCCCCGCTGTGCATCCCACAACCTCCTGCCTTGGGGCTGTGGTCAGCTCCTGTTAGAGCCTCGCTCTGTGCCAACCTGCAGGCACACTGGCCTTCTGTCTCATCCCAAACACGCCGAACCTGTCCCACCGCGGGCCTGTCCCTGGCTCTTTCCCCTGCCTGGTGTGTCTGGCTTCTTCTGGTGTGTCTGTCATTCTGGTTTTCTCCCTAAATCCACCTTCTCAGAGAGGCCATTCCAGGCCGGGCAAATGACAAGGTCGCGCCTGCCTCGTCCCTGCCTGTGGCCGTCTCTTCTTTGCCATCACAAGCATCTGAGCACTCTGTGCGTGGATTCATTTGCTTTTGTGTTCTCTGCTTTCTTGCACCTTTAAATGACAGGTCCTGGACTGTCTTGTTCGCTGCATATCCTGAGCCCAGACCAGAGCGTGGCATGGAGCTGGCTCCCGTTACATATTTTCGGGATGAATGAATGACTTTCTTCTGCTTGGCCTAGGAGGCTGTGGCTGCACAGACAGACAAGGGAGCACTGTCCTCGGAGGCTCCCGGGGAGTTCCAGGAACACAGCCCCGGAGCTCTCCTCCCAAACGCACCCCATGCGTGTCCTTGGAGGTGGGCTTCCAGAGAGTTCCAGGAACGCAGCCCCGGAGCTCTCCTCCCAAATGCACCCCACGCGTGTCCTTGGAGGTGGGCTTCCAGAGAGTTCCAGGAACGCAGCCCCAGAGCTCTCCTCCTAAATGCACCCCACGCGTGTCCTCAGAGGTGGGCTTCCAGAGAGTTCCAGGAATATAGCCCTGGTGCTCTCCTACCAAACACACCTCATGCGTGTCCTAGGAGGCTCCTGGAGAGTTCCAGGAACACAGCCCCAGAGCTCTCCTCCCAAATGCACCGCAGGTGACGGTTTCCGAGCTATCCCAGTGGAGCACAGAGATGGCAGGAAGGAGGGGAGGCAGCAGCTCTGGCCAGAGGCTGAGGGAGTTCTGGCTTTTGGGGGAGGGTGGGAATTCTGGCCACTGGTCCGGGTGGTCTGCTCTGGAAAGACCTCCTCCAAGCCCAGAGCAGAGAGGCTGGAAGGGTCAGCCTCGGGATCTCAGGGGTGATGGCCTCTCTGGGGCAGCCAGGTCAGTGGGAGTCACCTGCTTGGCGGGGCCTGGCAGCTCTGTTCTGGTTGCCTAGGACTGTAGCTGGGACATCAGGGTGGAGGGTCAGGGAGCGTGGGGCCACCCTCCCGCCTCTGCCTTCTGGGTCTCTGACCTTGAGCCATGGGGCGTTATGCGACCTCAGACAGAAGAATCACGGTCCCCAGCAGTCCCATCACGAGGAGGGGCCTGCTGCTGGGCGGGAGAGCAGATCTTCCCTTGGGCAGGAGAGTAGGCCTTCCATCAGGCGGAAGAGCAGATTCTAAGGAAAGCCAGAGGACCTGTGAGGGAGAGAGGGATGGCTCCTCACCCCAGCCTCTCCACAGTAAACTCGGGGTCCTCTGTTGGTCCCCACGAGCCCCTCCTTCCTCTTTCACCGCCCCCTTGGTCCCATGGCCTTTGTCCACCACGGCCCTTCATAGCCCTGCTCAGTAGAGCCCACCCCTCTCCAGCCAGGCCCCCGCCGGGGTCGCCACCTTGTCAGTTTCCAGGTGGCCTTTGTCCCCAAGATGGGGCAGGTTCCAGTGGGGAGGTGTGTGTGTGGGAGGCTGATACAGGAAGATTCCAGAAAGGAGGCCCTCAGGTTGCTGTGGTGGGGAGTGGGGAGTGGGGATCCAGCAGCCAGGAGGTGGGCTCTGCACAGCAGGCCCGCCTGGGCCACCCTCGCTCCCTCCAGCCCCTTCTTGAGCAAGACTGCCCACTCCTCCCCCTCGCCCTCTCGTGCCGCCCGAGATGCATGAGGTGCTCGTGAGAGGTCACGTGTTGTGGGAATGTGAGAGATTCTGGTGTTCTCCAAAGCCAGGGGAGGTGGCCCCACTTGGGGCTCAAGGGTGTCCTGGTCACAGGCATGCAGGCACCCTCGTGTGCACACGTGTACACACCAGAGCAGGCGGGGATTTGGGGCACCCTGCCCTCACCTGTGTGCAGCATGGGCAGCAGAGTAGCTAGGTGCCCATCGTTGGCCTCGGGCACGATGCCCAGCAGCCGGCACATGAGCTCGTACACGTGGACGCTCTCAAAGGGCTCCACCTCCAGGCCCGCCCTGAAGCTAGGGCCCACAGCGCGGAAGATGGTCTTCATGTCCATGTCCTTGTTGTCAAAGCCGTGCTCCCCATTGTTGAACTGGACGTTAATTCTCTGCCGGGGAGCGGGCAAGGGTCCTGGGTCCTTGCTGGGAGCAACAGACCCTCTCCGCCTACCCTATCCACCCTATGAACACCCCCTTAGGAAGGAGCACCAACGTGAGGGCTGGAGGGGTTCCAAGACTCAGTTTCCCCGAATTCTGAGCCTCCAAAGATCAGTCACCCTAAAGAGTGAAGTTCAGGGAAGGTCCAGTTAAATGAACGGAGACCAGACCCTGAGTAAATGGGAGTGGAGCGGGCAGCTCCAGGCTTCGGGGCCTGCCGCCTGTGCGGTGTTGAACGCTGCCTCCCATCGGTCACTTCCTTTCCGGGGATGTCTGCTCCCTAATCTGTGCTTCGCTTCCGGCTCAGCATCCCTGTGCTGTCTGCTGAGGGGAGGTTGGGCTCCTGACTCTTTCCTACCTCTTCCATGTCACCCTTGGGGCTGGACTTCTACACTTTACCCTGGACACGTAGGACGCACACACACACACACACACACACACACACACACACACACGCCTATCACACAGTGCCTGGTCATGATGGATACAGACGTGCACACACACTCCCACTGCCTGGTGCCTGAATGTGGAGGGCACACACAGATGTGCACACACCCTACCGCATAGTGAAGGAAGTGTCCCTTCGGTGCTGACACTCCTCAAACTGGGGACCAGCTAGAAACAGGAAGTGCCTCTATGGAGATGGAAGGAGAGGCCAGACGCAGTGGCTCACCCCTGTAATTCCAGCACTTTGGGAGGCCCAGGCAGGAGGATCGCTTCAGCCCAGGAGTTTGAGACCAGCCTGGCCAACATGCAAAACCCTGTCTCTACAAAAAAATACAAACATCAGCTGGGCACAGTGGCTCACACCTGAATCCCATAACTTTGGGAGGCTGAGGCGGGTGGATCGCCTGAGGCCAGAAGTTCGAGACCAGCCTGGCCAACATGGTGAAACTCTGTCTCCACTAAAAATACAAAAAATTAGTCAGGCATGGTGGCAGGCGCCTGTAATGCCTCAGAGGGCTGAGGCAGGAGAATCGCTTGAACCCAGGAGGTGGAGGATGCAGCGAGCCAAGATGGCACCATTACCCTCCAGCCTGGATGACAAGAGTGAAACTCTGTCTCAAATGAAACAAAACAAAACAAAACACACACAAAAATTAGCCAGGCATGGTGGTGTGCACCTGTGGTCTCAGCTACTCAGGAGGCTGAGGTGGAAGGATCGCTTGAGTCTGGGAGTTTAAGGCTGCAGTGAGCTGAGATCCTGCCATTGCACTCCAGCCTGGGCAACAGAGCAAGACCCTGGTCTCAAAAAAAAAAAAAGAAGACCCAGAGCCTGGGGAGGGAGCCCCTGGAGGTGGTGCCTCCAGCAGGCGACTCACCCCATGGATGACGTAGCCAAGGTCGCTGTACATCAGCAGGGGTGTGACCCTGGGGTTGTTGGCGTAGTGGAAGGCCTCGGGGAACGCCTCCTTCTTGTAGACGTGGAGCTTGGGGTGGGCGTCCTTGAGGGCATCGTACACCTTCTCCAGCCTCCCTTCTTTAGGGAGCAGCATCCCGTTTGGTCCGTAGTCCAGGAGCTCAAACTCGATGTCCCGGAAGGTGAAGTTGGGGAACTTGTGGAATTCAACCAGGTCGCCAGCCCGTTTGTCCACGGTCGTCATGCCGTGGTCGGATGTGATGATCAGGTTGAGGCGGTCTGTGAGGTGGTTGCGCGCGATGCTCTCCCGGAGGTAGCCCACGGTCCGGTCCACCTGCCGCACCATCTCCCTCCTCTCCGGGGACTCGGGGCCGTACCTGTGGCCCGTGGAGTCCGGCTCCCCGAAGTAGAGTGTGACCAGATCCAGGTCCTCCTCTGTGAACCACGCCATCACTGTGTCGATGTTCGCTCTCCACTCCGTCTCATTTTTGTAGTTGTGTGCGATGCCTTCTTTCCGGCTCCGCGTCACAGCCACCCCTTGGTAGGTGACGTTCCCGCCCGGGTAGAAGAAGGAGCCAGCCCTCAGGCCCTGCCAGACAAGGCAGCGTGAAAGACAGGACTCCTCAGTGGGCTGCCCCTTGTCTCATGCCTGTGAACACATTTGTCCCCCACGTGCCTACTTCTCTGTTCCACCCACCCATCCCTGCTCCTAGCTGCAGCTGCGGGGCCTTTAATTTCTAAAACATCCCTGATCTCATGTTCTATGGGGGTAAAACCTGATTTTATAGAGGAAACAACAGGTGCCCACTGGACTTGAGCACTAAACAAGACATCAGTATAAAGATGTTCCCAGAGGCCGGGCGCAGTGGGTCATGCCTGTAATCCCAGCACTTTGGGAGGCCAAGGCGGGTGGATCCCGAGGTCAGGAGATGGAGACCATCCTGGCTAGCACGGTGAAACCCTGTCTCTACTGAAAATACAAAAAAATTAGCCAGGCGTGGTGGCGGGCGCCTGTAGTCCCAGTTACTTGGGAGGCTGAGGCAGGAGAATAGTGTAAACCCGGGAGGCAGAGCTTGCAGTGAGCGGAGATGGCGCCACTGCACTCCAGCCTGGGCGACAGAGCGAGACTCCGTCTCAAAAAAAAAAAAAAAATGTTCCCAGATACGCAGTGTCTGCCTCATCACTGTCCATCCCACCTGCCCGTCCACTCCCCCAGGATATTCTTTCATTGGATCAAGAGCCTTGTGATGCCAGGGTCTCTACCTTGGCTTCCTGCTCACCAGCCGGTGGAAGGAGCCCTGAGTGTGTCTATGATCCTTCTGGAGTGAGGGAACCCCGGCTTGAGTGGATAACTTGGCTCTGGGGTGGGCATGGGCTCTGACATTTATTCCAGCGTCATCTTGGAAACCTCCACTGACTTTGTTTACTGGAAGCCTCGCCTCTGGGCCAGGAAGCCCCCAGAGCATTGCAAACTGGGGGTGGGTGGGGGGGTTCCTGGGTCAATACTGTAACCCACCTCTCATTTTGTCTTTGGCCCTTTAGAATTTAGCTGTTCAGCTGTGACAGGGATGTGGAAAGGGAGAAAGTCGTCTAATTGTTAAATGCTTTCTTGTTGAGTCACAGTGATCTTCCCTGTCCGACCCTCACCCCCAATGCTGCAGGGCCCAAGGGTGCAGTTCTCCCTCCGACTAGGGGGACAGAGCAATCCCTCTTGCTCCCAGGGCCCCCCAGAGAGGACCGGGCAGGGCTGTGTCCATGGGCCGAGCCGGACGTAGCTCACTGGTTAGTCCTCACCAGCACCCACCACCTGCCCCTTTTGGGGCCCTACTTCACACCCTTCTGTGCCAGGGTAGGCCAGGAGCCCCGAGACCCTGGAGTGGGGAAGGGACCTGCCGTGGATCTCACATGGTTCCAAGCCTCACCTGGGCCTAGGTGCCCCCGTGCTCTGCGATGTCAGTATGGGCGGGGGTGACATTACCTGCCTCTGGGCTGTGATCCAGATGGGCACGCTGCCGTTGTCCCACCACCTCTGGATGCCCAGCGTGGCGTGGTAGGGCAGCTTCACCTTGCTGGTGGTGTTGTAGTACATGTTGTGAACCACCCCGTGGTTCTCGATATATTTGCCTGAGGGAGGAAGAGGTGCAGAGGGCGGCGGGATGGACCGGGGTCACAGCGAAGGCCGGACCCAGGGCTGGAAGAGGCGAAGTCAAAACAGCCCAGGTTTCCCTGTGTGCTGGGTGGGGAGTGGGCCTGGGGCAGGGCTGGGGGGAGCAGACTTCCTCCTGCACTGCCCCGTGGGAGCCAAGGTTCGAGGTCATGTCTGAGACAAATAGACACGTGTTCTTTGACCTGTTTTAGCAATCGCACTTCCACTTTCAGTTTGTCCCACAGCTGGACGGGCACACAGGCACGAATGCGTGTGCAGGGATCCTGGTGGCAGCCTTGTTTGCTTTAGCAAAAGATTGCGGGTGACCTCCACGGCCGTCAGGAAGGAACTCATTAAATAAATGATGGCCCAGCCATCAGACGAGATCCCAGGCAGGAATTTCAGTGAACTACGTGGAGCTCCAGGAGATTTTTTGAATTTATTTTTGTACAGGAAACACGTGCACATGGTACTAAGTCCAAAAGGTGCAAAAGGAGAGATGATGTGGAGAAGGTCCCTCCCGTCCTCATCTGCGATACAGAGAGCAAAAGAGGCGCTGCGCAGACGGGAGACCCGCACACCTCCGTTTGCGGTTAGAAGGGGCAGAAAGGCTGGTGTGGGGATGAGCTGCCTGTGTTGGGGTGGATGGTGTCCCACCACATTCATGCTCACTTGGAACCTTAGAACGTGGCCTTATTTAGAAATAGGGTCTTTGCAGATGTGATTAGCTAGGGTAAGGGGATGTATACCAGAGAAGTGTGGACCCGAAATTCAGCGACTGGTGTACTAGTGAGAAGAGGAAAGTTTGAATACAGACACACACACACAGGGGAAAGGCCCTGGGGAGACGTGGGGAGAGGTCGGAGTGATGCTGCCGCCAGCCCAGGAATGCCAAGGATTGCCGAGGCCCCAGGAGCCAGAAGAGGTGAGGAGGGAGCCTCTGCTGGAACCTTCCGGGTGGGTGCAGCCCTGCAATGCCCTGGGTTTGGCCTTCTGGCCTCCAGAAGCATGCGGATCCGTTTCTGTGGGTTTAAGCCAGTCTGCAGATCTTTGTTGCAGGCGCCCTGGGACACCCACGCAGGGTCTTTGGAGGATGACGCAGGTTTGGGAGGTGGCTGAGCCCCTAGGGAGGGCCAATTGCTTTTCAATTCTCTAACACCTTTTTTGTGGTACTTGGCTTTTTATTATTTTATTATTGTTTGTTTTTTTGACACAGGGTCTTGCTCTGTCACCCAGGCTGGAGTGCAGTGGTGTGATTGCAGCTCACTGCAGCCTCTACCTCCTGGACTCCAGCAATCCTCCTGCCTTGGCCTCATATATATATATATGTGTGTGTATATATATATATATATACATATATATATGTATATATATATGTATATATATATTATATGCAGTCTTGCTTTGTCACCCAGGCTGGAGTGCAGTGGTGCGATCTCAGCTCACTGCAACTTCCACCTCCTGGGTTCATGCAATTCTCCTGTCTCAGCCTCCCAAGTAGCTGGGATTACAAGCATGCACCATCATGCCTGGCTAATGTTTGTATTTTTAGTAGAGATGGGGTTTCGCCATGTTGGCCAGGCAGGTCTCGAACTCCTGACCTCCAGTGATCCGCCCGCCTCAGCCTCTCAAAGTGCTGGGATTACAGGCGTGGGCCACTGAGCCTGGCCCCATATTTGGCTTTTTAAAAACCTATGTCTGTATTGTCTACAGCCTGGGCAGATCTGTCAGGGAGGTGTTGGGTGGAAAATGGAAAGGATGGAAGGGAGAGGGAGAGGCTGACACAGCCAGCTGGAGGGGCGGGCAGGGGAGGGGAGCCATGGGAGCCAGCGGGGAGCCCGCCACACTCCCCTCCTCCTGAAGCCTTCTGGGGTTGCTGCCCTGGCTGTGGCCACGGGTTTAAGGACCCCCCTGGTCATTTTTCTTTGTCCCGGATCTGTTGCTACCAACGGTGAGGATTCCTAATGGTCCCCTTGGCTCTGTCCTGTGCCTGGAGCAAGGACCTCTCCCCTTTATCCTGCACGACACGGCTCTGTGCCATCTGGTTTCTCAGGCCCTCCCACCCCCAGGCCCCGTCACAGGGCAGTACTCACCGGTGACCAGGGTGAAGTGGCAGGGGCTGGTCATGGTGACAAAGGCGGGGGTCATGTAGCGTGCCTTCACCCCGTCTCGGGCCATGGCGTCCAGGTTGGGGGTGTCCACGTCCTGGTCGTAGTTCCAGCGGAAGCCGTCGAAGGACACCAGGAGCAGCTTGTTCTGGGAGCCCTGACTTTGTACCGGTGCTCCGGCCCCGGGAGCCAGGAGCGTGGCCAGAGCCACAGTGAGGAGGACGGCCGGGCCTCTCATGCTGGGCCTTCCAGATGGACAGGCACACAGGGTGCACAGGGCTGGCTCCTGCCGAGGAGGACAAAGTCCCAGGGTCACCCGGGCTGATCTCATCCCGTGCGCCTTTGGAATGTGGCTGTGCACATCCCCGGGTCGAACCTCGGGAGTGGGCTCCCCAGCCGTGTCAGTGCCACCCCTGGTCCCAGCCTCACGTGCGTGGGGTGGCATCAACTTGAGCATCTGCCTTTATTGCCAGCCGCGCCCTTGGTGCTCCAGGCTCCTCCCCTCCCTCCCCAGAGTGGGGACAGTGACCCAGGGCTCAGAGCACAGCAGGAGCCCATTCCACTGGGAAAGTCGTGCCCTCTCCCTCTCCCATAGCAACAGGTGGTCCCTCTGTCCCAGCTCACCCTGACCCCAGGGGACCCAGGTGAGGCTGGGGTGGGACCCCCTCTCCAGGCCTTTAGTGGTGCATGGGCCTCAGGCCTGCCTGGGTGAGGGCCTGTGGGGTGGGCTTCCCATGGTCAGGGCCAGGACCAAGCCTGGGTCACAGCATGGCCTTGTCCGGGGGGAACCCCAGGCTGGGTGCCTGTTCTCCTCCTGGTCCTGTTAAGGGGCTCCTTGAGCGTGGTGAGCAGACCGGGAACCGGATGGCTCCAGACCAGCGTCCTGTGGGCCTTCCTTCTTGGGATGCTTCCTTCTTGGGATGCTTCCTTCTTGGGAATTTCAGAGGGTGCCTGGGGCTCGGACGTTCTTGCTTGATGACAACAAGGGGTCAGAAGAGGGGGACTCCCTTGTTACCATAGGCACATGAAGGGTGGGAGAGGAACCCCTGGATTCAGTGTGCGGTTCTCCCTCCCTCTCCCCCATCTCTCCTTCCCCTTCTCTTATTTTCTCTCTCTTTCTCTGTCTCTCTCCCTCTTTCCTTCCCTGTATGTCTCTGTCTCAGTTCCTATTAAGCACGTTCTGTGTGCCAGGCATGGTTCTAGGTTCTGGGGACACAGAAGTGAATGAGACAGACAATGTTCCTCGTGGCCTCCATTCGAGTTGGGGACACAGAAGATAAAATGAACAAACAAGAAAAAAAGAGTTTCCCAAAAGAAGGGAAGGCAGGAAGACGTGATGGAGAGGCTGGCGGGGTGGGTGGGCGGCACGCAGTGGTGGCTGGTGGGGTTTCGCTGAGAGGATGGTGGAGGCCAGTGACTCTGGGGGACCATGAGCTAGGGGAGCGGGCATGGGGCAGGTGGCAGGGGTGGCAGGGCCAGTCCCGTAGGGCAGGTGGCGGTGATTCTCATGCCAGGCAGTGGAAGCCAGGCGGGGGTTTTAAGCAAGAGAGTGACATGAACTGATCTAATGCTAAAATATACTCTCCATTTGTGGGTGAAGGATAGACCAGAACGAGGGCAGAATGGACACTGGGTGCTCCCTGGAGAGGTGACTGCCTGTGTCTGAGCAAGAGCTATTGGTGGCCCGGACCAGGGTGGTGGCTGTGGGATGGGGCTGGGTTTGAGGCGGATCCTGGAGGTTTTGCTGGGAGGTGGTGCGCTGGATTGCATGGTGGGAGGTGGTGCACTGGATTGCGCGGTGGGAAGACGGAAGGGCATGGTTGGAGGTATTGTCACAATTTCAATCTGGAGCCACACACCTGCCGACAGTGGCCCCGGCCTTCCTTAAGACCTTTGGCTGGCTGCAGCAAGCAGACGCCGTCTCGAAGCGATGGCCGTGGCACTCAGATGACACCGCAGACGCCGTCCACAGCCTCCCCAGGCCAGCCAGCCTTTCCTAACCCAGGTGGGCAGGGACCACTGGTACGGATCCCCGGCTGCCCCTGCCTGGCCGACTGGAACACACTCTCAAGGAGGACTCCGTGCCAGTGACCCCTCTTCTTCATGCTTCTGTGCACCAAAAGCTGAAAACCAGGATGGAGCGACTGCCCGGTGCCTGCAACCACCGCGTGGGGTGCCTGCTCTGCAGGGCTGGGGCTCAGGGCACCCAGAGGTTTGGCTCCTCCCTGGGGAGCACAGACCTTGGGGAGGGTAAGGATCCCTGTGAGTCAGGGACACAGGTTACGATGCACGCACAGGGGGAATGCAGGCGGCCTCGGGAGAGGAGATCGGGCTTTGCTGGCACCAGCGTTGTGGGAGGCCCACAGGATGCATGGAGCCAGGAGAGAGGGCGGGAAGGCTTCAGGCAGAGGGACCAGGCATGGAGGAAGGGAGGCACCGGGGCTCCCGAGAGGGTCGACCAGGAGGAGCCTGTAGGCCGTGGCGGAATCTGGATTTTCCGCTGTGGCAGAGCTGGTTAGTTGTCCCCTAATATCTGTTCTCCCCTCTTTCCATGATAAGATGGCTGCTAGAAGAAAGACTACATTTCCCAGCATTCCTTGCAGCAAAGCAGGGCCACGTGACCACATTTTGACCAATGGGGCAAAAGGAGAATGTCTTGTAGCAGTCCCAGCCTCTTGCCGGAAGCTAGCTTTGCTTCTCTTCTTTTTTGATTTTTTCCTCCATCTGATGCCTCTGGCTGGCAAGCCACCCTAAGCCGCCTGATGAGGGGCTCCCCGGGGATGGCCGGGGTGCACAGAAGGGGCCTGGTCCCCAGCGTCCTGTGTAGCTCAGCTCCAGGCTGCATCCTCCCGGGGAGAATTCAACACACTCTGCCTCGTTGCAATTTCCATTATTTGGGTTTCCTGTCACTCTCAGCGGGACCTAGTTCAAGCTGATAATAGAATTCCAGGCCTGGGGGGCATTGCTAGGTTTAAGCAGGAGCTGGCTGTGGGGTGGGGCTCGAGAGGGCCGCCAGGGAGGCAGGGCCTGAGTGAGGAGCCGAGGCAGTGGTCCAGGGGCCTGGCCAGGCCTCGGCTGGAGTGCATTTGGGGTGTGCTTGAGGCCGGCGCAGATCTTGGTGGCTCGCAGGTCTGGGGTCCGTGGTTCTGCAGGTTCTCCTGTCGGCCCCTGGGGTTGTGCGAATTCCTGGTCCTGTTCACCCTCTTACCTGCCTGGGCCTGGTCTGGAGATGGCATGAAAGGTCTGCTCCTGCTCCTCTCAGGACATCCCAGCCATGCTTGGGTAACTCTTCCTTTGGTTTTTGGCTCTGTACCTCAATCCCGCTTTGCTGGGGAGCTCCTTGGGTCACCCCACGTATGTTTCCATTTTCTCTGCGATCTCATAGAGCACTTGGATGGAAAGGGTGTGCGGTGGTTGATTGTAGCTCGTGGCTACAGGACATTTCCTTCAGTCCGTGGGCACTGGGCAATAGCCACGATCTCACTGAAGCTTGGAGGTAGTTCTTGAGGTAGGACTTAGTACAATCCTCAGTTTACAGGTTGGAAACTGAGGCAGAGAGCGGTTAAAATCACTTGGTGACTGGAGGAGCTGAGCTGGAACCCAAGCGTTCTGGCTTCCGAGCCCCAGTGTTCAGCTTCAGCTGCTTCAAAAGGCAGCAATTTACCAGCCTTTGTTCACTTGGGATTCTATTGTCAGGCTTTGGGTCTATTGACAACATTTTATTTAAAAAATGGTGTAGTCCAGCCTGGCCAACGTGCTGAAAACACATCTCTACTAAAAATACAAAAATTAGCTGGGCATGGTGGTGCGCACCTGTAATCCCAGCTACTTGGGAGGCTGAGGCATGGGAATTGCTCGAACCTGGGAGGAGGAGATTGCAGTGAGGCAAGATCACACTACTGCACTCTAGCCTGGGCAACAGAGCGAGACTCTGTCTCAAAAAACAGAACAAAACAAACAAACAAAAATAATGCAGCTGTGAGTATCTTGACACCACTGACTTTTTCCTTTTCTTTCTTTCTTTTTTAACCTTTGCCTTCTTTCCTTGGGGTACAGTGCTTAGAGAAAGGTTATTGGACAAAGGATGGAAAAGCTACTTGGCTGTTATGATCAGATGGCTATCAGGTGACAGACCCTCTTCTCGACCTAACTCTACTCCACTAAGCCTTCAAGGCGCTGACCTTGGGCTCTGTCCTCGGCTTCTTTAGTTCGGGTTTAGCAAGAGTCCTGCTGAGTCAGTTTAGTGGAAATCCTATGTGATCACCCTCAGTATTTGATCAGATTCCTCATCCTCCACTCTCGATATCTTGTTACCCTGGCCTGCTTTCAGGAAGATTTCTGCTGAGTTGGCCGAGTAAGCATCCCGTCTCCTCAATGTCTCCTCTTAGTCATTTTCCACCCACCCGGCACACTTGCTCCTGGACTGCATGTCCTACTCGTCCTTGGTAGAGTGAGACTGAGCCCAATCTGGCTCTCCTACAGCTAAACCCCATTGTGGTAGCCCCCCTGGAATAAGGTCTTCCTACCTGTCTTTAACAAGAGTCATGAATACTTTTTTTCTTTATTTTAAAAATTATTATTGTTATTATTTTTTGAGACGGAGTCTCACTCTTTTGCCCAGGCTGGAGTGCAGTGGCATGATCTCAGCTCACTGACACCACGCCTGGCTAACTCTTGTATTTTTAGTAGAGACAGGGTTTCACCATCTTGACCAGGCTGGTCTTGAACTCCTGACCTCATGATCCACCCACCTCGGCCTTCCAAAGTGCTAGGATTACAGGCATGAGCCACCGCACCCGGCCATATGATTATTATTTTTAATAGAGATGGGGTCTTGCTATGTTGCTCAGGCTGGTCTTGAACTCCTGGACTCAAGCGATCCTCCCACTTCAGCCTCCCACAGTGTTGGGATTACAGGTGCGAGCCATGACTCCCGGCCAAATGTTTTTTCTTTAACACAGGAAAGGTTGAAGCAGTTGATAGCACCAGCAGCCACGAGTTAATGTAAATATCCCCTCTGCCCCACCCCGTGCTACCTTTATTGGGTTTTATCTTTTTATTCCTTTTCGATAGTGTCATAGGCGTGTAAAGATATCTTAAAGTATCAAGCCAGAGAAACTGGGAGATTTTCCATGTCATGATTTCTTGTCTCTAACTCCCCATGTGAGGACTTTTATTATCCTCGACCACTGATTAAGTGGGTTCTTCAGCACTGAATTTTGTGTGTGTGTGTGTGTGTGAGACAGGGTCTCGCTCTGTCGCCTAGGCTGGAGTGGAGTGGCATGATCACGGCTTGCTGTAGCCTCTATCTCCCGGGCTGAAGTGATTCTCCTACTTCAGCCTCCCGCATAGCTGGGACTACAGGCGCACACCACCACACCTGGTTAATTTCTTTTTTTCTTTTTTTTTTTTTTGAGACGGAGTCTTGCTCTGTCGCTCAGGCTGGAGTGCAGTGGTGCGATCTCGGCTCACTGCAAGCTCAGCCTCCCGGGTTCACACCATTCTCCTGCCTCAGCCTCCAGAGTAGCTGGGACTACAGGCGCCTGCCACCATGCCCAGCTAATTTTTTTGTGTGTGTTTTCAGTAGAGACGGGGTTTCACCGTGTTAGCCAGGATGGTCTCGATCTCCTGACCTCTTGATCCTCCCGTTTTGGCCTTGCAAAGTGCTGGGATTGCAGGTGTGAGCCACCGCACCCGGCCAATTTTTAAATTTTCAGTAGAGACAGGGTCTCCTTATGTTGCCCAGGCCGGTCTTGAACTCCTGGGCTCAAGTGATCCTCCCACCTCGGCCTCCCAAAGTGCTGGGATTACAAACATGAGCCACTGTGTGCAGCCCAGCGTTAACTCTTATGGTTTAATTGGTTCCTTATGTATGTTGCAATGCATATTTTTTCCTTTTTTTTCTTTCTTATTTATTTATTGAAAAACAGAGACGGGGTCTCTCTATATTGTCCAGGCTGGTCTTGAACTCCTGGGCTCAAGTGATCCTCCCACCTTGGCCTCCCAAAGTGCTGGGAATACAGGTGTGAGCCTGGCTACAATGCATATTCTTTTGAATCTATACTTTTGGAATATATTTTTTTTGATAAACATTTGTCCTTTATATCTGTCAGCTGAAATTTCCCCCATCCACTTCATGCTGAGCATGTGGAGTCTGGCCACAATGCACATTCTTCTGAATTTATACTTTTGGAATATATATATATATATTTTTTTTTTAGACAGAGTTTCCCTCTTGTTGCCCAGGCCCCAGGCTGGATCGCAGTTCACTGTAACCTCCGCCTCCCAGTTTCAAGCGATTCTCCTGCCTCAGCCTCCCAAGTAGCTGGGACTGTAGGCTTGTGCCGCCACGCCCGGCTAATTTTTGGATTTTTAGTAGAGGCGGGGTTTCACCATGTTGGCTAGGCTGGTCTCTAACTCCTGACCTCAGATGATCCACCCTCCTCCGTCTTCCAAAGTGCTGGGATTCTAGGCGTGAGCCACTGTGCCAGGCCTAGATTATATTTTTTGGGTAAACATTTGTCCTTTATATCTGTCACCTGAAATTTCCCCATACTCTTCATGCAAGCCTTCAGGTAGACGGTGAGGTCAGGCTCTCTGAAGCAGGGGCCTGCCATATTAGCTCATCATGGTATCACCAGAGCCTGGGAGAGTGTCCAGCACAGCATAGGTGCTTAATGCATCTTTGTTGCATGAGTAAATAAATTAAGAGGACAAATGCATGCAAATATCTAACATACTTTCTGTTTTGACAGAACTTTTTATTTTACGACAGTTTTAGGTTTGCAGAAAAATTGCGAAGACAATATAGAGTTCCCACGTTCCTTGCACCCAGTTTCCCCTGTTATTAATGTTGACTATTAGGGTGGTACTTTACACAATTAAGGAGCCAGCATTGATAAGTTATTATTATTATTATTTATATTTTCGAGACAGAATTTCACTCGTTGCCCAGGCTTGAGTGCAATGGTGCAATATCCACTCACTGCAACGTCTGCCTCCAGGGTTCAAGTGATTCTCCTGCCTCAGCCTCCCAAGTAGCTGGGATTACAGGTGTGCGCCACCACGCCCGGCTAATTTGTTTTTATTTTTAGTAGAGATGGGGTTTCGCCATGTTGCCCAGGGTGGTCTTGAATTCCTGACCTCAGGTGATCCACCCGTCTCAGCCTCCTAAAGTGCTGGGATTACAGGCATGAGCCACCATGCCCAACTGATAAGTTATTATTATTTGAAACAGGGTCTTGCTCTGTTGTCCAGCCTGGAGTGCGGTGGCACAATCTCTGCTCGCTGCAGCCTCAACCTCTTGGACAACGAATGCATGGTATTCGGTCCTTGGGTCTCCTCAGACTCCTCTTGGCTGTGACAATTTCTCAGCTGTTCCTTGTTTTTGATGACATTGACAGTTTTGAGGAGGGCTGGTCAGGTGTTTTGTAGAATGTCCCTCAATTAGGATTTATCTGATGTTTTCCTTATCGCCAGGCTGGGGTTATGGTTTTTGGGGAGGAGGTTTGCAGAGATAAAGAGCTGTTCCTGCCTGGCCGGGCGCAGTGACTCGCGCCTGTAATTCCAGCACTTTGGGAGGCTGTGGAGGGTGGATCACCTGAGGTCAGGAGTTCGAGAACAGCCTGGCCAACATGGTGAAACCCCGTCTCTACTAAAAATACAAAAATTAGCCGGGCATGGTGGCATGCAGCTATTTGGGAGTCTGAGGCAGGAGAATCGCTTGAACCCAGGAGGTGGAGATTGCAGTGACCCGAGATCACGCCATTGCACTCCAGCCTGGGCAGCGAGTGAAATTCCATCTCAAAAAAAACAAAAAACAAAAAACAAAAAGCAACCAAACAGGAGGCGTTCCCACCAGGTCACATCAAGGCACACGCTATCAACAGGGCTTATCACTGGTGACGTGGCCTGGGTCACGCAGCCGAGGAAAGTCACGGGTGTCTCCCTGGAGGTTGCTGTCTTTCCTGCCCTCCACCCCCTTCATACCCTGTTCTTTGGAAGGAAGGCCATGCATGCCACTCACGCTCACGGGGTGAGGGGTCACGCTTCTGGACAATGGAGTGGCTGCATAGACTACTTGGAATTCTGTGTGGGGGTTTGCCCCCCATCCCATTTATTTATTCATTCAGTGACTCGTTTATGTCAGTATGGACTGATAACTATTTTATACTTTGAGTGGTAATCCTGTATTTCTCTATTTTGCAGCTCCAATTGTTCCACTTTTGGCTGCTGGGCAGTCTTTCAGATGGCTCCTAATCTGTTTCACGTTTCCCTGCAGTGTGTGCAAATGTGTGTGTGTACGAGTGCGCGTGTCTGTGTGCAAGTGTGTGTGTGTATGCATGTATGTTTGTGCATGTGCGTGCATGCATGCATGCGCGTATGCATATATGTGTGTGAATGCGCGTGTGTATGTTTCTGTGTGCAAGTGGGTGTGTGCACGTGTGTGCATGTGTGCAAGTGTGTGTACATGTGTGCATGTGTGGATGTATGTGTTTTGAGCACTATAAGATGCTCCAGGCTTATCTTATATATTTCCTCTGCCCTAGAATCCAGCATTTCTCAAGGAGCCCTGGCTTGTTTTATTGGAGATGTTATTAGAGATCAAGATCTGGGAGGTGTGTGGGCTCCTTGTTACCTGGGTGGGGGGCAAAGCATTCGTAAAGTCGTCATTCCAGTGTCCTTGAAGCTGAGGACTCCTCACCTAAGGCAGATGGATGTGAGCTTAGAGAGGTAGGGCTGATGGCCACTGTGGGTGCAGTGGTTATGGGCAAACCAGTGTCTGTAGGGGAGAGGGCTCCTCCTTATGGACACATAGGAAAGTGTTTATTCACTGCTTTTCTTGCTTAGGGGGCTCTGGGTGCCCAGCAGGACTTGATCCCAGAGGCCTCCTTGTCCTTGGGACCGGGTGGATTTGACGCTTGCACGGGTAGAGATTGCCCCATGCAGATGAGCCATGTAGGGGGCTCGGGCCCTAGGGACCCAGCCTCTGGGCCAGGGGCTGGCCTGCCCAGGCCTGCTGGTGTCTCAGCTGGTGGCCGAGGGCCATAAGGCAGGCATTGTCCTCCACAAGGTCAGCTTTGCCGCTAACTTCCTGTTCTCATTAATAACCTGATACAAGGAATTCTATTGCAATTGTTTATGTGTCTCTCCTACAAGGCTGTGAGCAGCACTGTATCCCGAGCTCCTGGTCTGATGCCTGGCACACAGTAGGTGTTTAATAAATGATTCTTCAGTGCATAAATGAAAGAGAACGTGGGTGAAGTTAGCATGGTCAGGACCATTGCAACTGCCTTCTGACCGGTCTCCTTGCTTCTCCTTAGTCTCCAGGCAGCAGTTGGAGTGATACAGTAATGGGAATCACTCTCTTCCGTCTCTGGCCAGGGTGCAGCCCCAGACTGGTGCTTCCAGGGAGCCCTCGATGCCCTGGTGAGGGGGGTGGGCTTGGAAGCTGGGCACTTACACCTGTGGGTCGTCGCCAGTGTTGGAGTAGCGGAGGCATCGAGTCCCCTCCCCTAATTTTCCACCATGTCTAATGGTACAATATTGGGTCTCAATGGGTCTCTCCTGCCTCCAGTCCAGTGCCCTTTTGTGGGGACCATTACTGGCTTTTGGGGACCCTGAAGGAGGAATGGCCTGGTTATGCAATTTGGCTGGAGTGGAACGTCCCCGTGAGGACATGACAATGAGTCCTCCCCAGCAGGCAGATGCCAATTGCAGTGGTGACCACACTTGCCGTCTGGGAGGATTCCAGGTGAGTCCCTGGTGTGGGGGCTGGGGTGGGCTCTCCATCCTCCTATCCCTGGGACAAGTGTGTGGGGGACAGCGGGGGCCACCAGGAGCCACAGGAGACAGGCCCAGGCTCACCAGCTCTACTCTGGGACCGGCTGGGCCCCAGGAGGGCTGTGATCTTTCATGGCTATGATGTTAGGAGAGAGACAAGGACCAAGGATGGTGATTCCTTCCCAAAGGGCCACGGTCGTCCAGTGAGGCCGAGCAGGGAGGAGCTGAGAAAGGCAGCCTCCCTCCTTTCTCCCTCTGTCCACCATCAGCATCAGCTCTGTTGCCCAAGGGGGTCGTCCTCTGCAGGGGCTGGGGCTTGTAAGCAATGCCCCCCGCCCCCACCTGGCAGTGGTTACTCTCCGATTCCTGGGGCCTGCCCGACCTTCACTGCAGCAGGGTTTTATGAGCGGCCTCACCACTTTATCAATTGCTGTTGCCTTTTATTACTTCTCAGGGGCTTTATCTCAGCGGCTGCCTTGCCTCCCGGCTAAATGAGGATTAATTTTTTAACAGGATTATGTGCTGTGGGTTAGCTGTACTCTCTGGGGACGGCCAGGCGCTCCCCTCCCTCTTAGCCCCTCCCTCCCCCCAGGCCTCCCTCGCTGGTTTGCTGGGAGCAGGGGCTCCACGTGGGGACCCCAGGAGCTGGGGGCTGCATCATTCCAGACTCTGGGATGGGGGTGGGGTGTCGAGGGCCGGAACTGGACTCTGGGTGGTGGAGACATCCTTGGGCAGGGCCTGCCCTGCGGGGTGAAGTTCCTTTAGAGGTTTCGGCCACTTCTTGAAGGACGCCAAACTTGGCCACTGAGGAGCTGGGAGTGGGGAGACATGGAGCAGGAGCAGGAGCAGGGGGACATGGGGAGAGAAGGATGGGGGCCACCTTGCCAAGCCCGCCTGCCCCAGTATCTCAGAGCAGCACAGCCTGAACATGGCCAGCATCAGACTTTCTTGGTCCTTGTCCTGGAACACAATTTCAATTTTCCACCAAAGTTTGATAAAGGTGAGCCTGTTCTCACCCCTCCTGTGTCTATCGCCTGGAGGACAAAACCCAGGATCCCACCTCCAGCTCTCTGTGCCACCATCTCCTTCACAAACCAGAGGGAGGCCTCCTTCTTTGCCCATCAGGAAAGCCTCTGCGTCAGTCCAGGATGGGCCTCCAGACACCAGTCTAGGGGGCTTCTCCCTGTTGCCCCAGGCAGAGCTGAGGCCCTTGTGGCTTTCCCTTGTGATTCTTCTGTTGGGCCTCCTGTCCCCTCTGGAGTTATGAATTTGTGGGTGTGCTTACCCACCCACTGTGGGCCCCTGAAAGGGACACATTGATACTGCATTCATATCTAGGCGCGTGGGAGGTGCCAGGCCTGTTTACTGAAGGAGTGATGAATGGATGGATGAATGAATGAATGAATGAATGAATGAAGGGATGAATGCATGAGGGAGAAAGGGAGGGGGTCATTGGCTCCCTGCAGGGGCCCAGGGCTGAGTTGTTCACAGCTCCCTCTTCCCTCGGCTGAGCCCAGGACAGGCTGGCAGCTGTAGGCCTGGGATGTTTGAGCAGCAGCCTCGTGGGCAGCTGGGTTGATGGGGTGAGGTCCTGGCCAGAGGGGAAACTGTCCCTCTTTGGGTCTGGCTTCTGCTCCGGAGTTCCTGCTTTGCAGGTGTGTGCAGACCTGGCTTAGCTGATGTAATGAATGACCACATGCTGAGTGGCTTCAAGCAGCAGTCATGCATTCTGGTGTCCTGGGCGTCCTTGGCTTGTGGCTGCATCCCTCCTGCTTAGCCACCATCCTCACGAGGCCTTCTCTGTGTCTGTCTGTATGACTCCTATAAGGACACCAGCCCTTGGATGTTGGGCCTGCCTGAATAATCCAGGATGACCTCATCTCCTCATCCTTCACTTAATTCCATCTGCAAAGGCCCTCCATCCAAAAAAGGCCATATTCACACATTCTGGGAATTAGGACAGGGTCATATCATTTTGGGGGACCACGCTTCAACCTATAAAATACCCATATGCTTGACGACCCACCTTCCTCCTCTCTGGAAGCCTGTGTGCTCACACCTAGAATTTCCAGGTGTGAGTCTATGCCCATCTGTGACCGTCCTGTGTCCTGTTTTTTTTTTTTTTTTTGAGATGGAGTCTTGCCCAGGCTGGAGTGCAGTGGCGTGATCTCGGCTCACTGCCAGCTCCACCTCCTGGGTTCATGCCATTCTCCTGCCTCAGCCTCCTGAGTAGCTGGCACTACGGATGCCTGCCACCATGCCTGGCTAATGTTTTATATTTTTAGTAGAGATGGGGCTTCACCGTGTTAGCCAGGATGGTCTCGATCTCCTGACCTCGTGATCCACTGTCTCAGCCTCCCAAAGCGCTGGGATTACAGGCGTGAGCCACCACGCCCGGCCTGTCCTGTGTTTTTTTTACATTTATTTTTTGAGACAGGATCTCGCTCTGTCACCCAGGCTGGAGTACAGTGGTGAGATCACGGCTCACTGTGTAGCCTCGACCTCCTGGGCTCAAGCCATCCTCCCATCTCAGCCTCCTGAGTAGCTGAGACCACAGGTGTGCACCACCACGCCCAGCTAATTTTTAAAATGTATTTGTAGAGACAAGGTCTCCCTGTGTTGCTCAGGCTGGTCTTGTACTCCTAGGTTCGAGGGATCCTCCTGCCTCAGCCTCTCAAAATGTTGGGATTACAGGCTTGCCTGGCGTGTCCCTTGTTTATTTGTTCATGCGTACCACTCCTGGGTATACGCCCAAGAGAATCGGAAGCAGGGTCTCAAAGAGATACTTGCACACAGGTGTTCATAGCAGCTTATTCACAAAAGCAAAAATGTGGCAACAGGCTGGGCGTGGTGGCTCACGCCTGTAATCCCAGCATTTTGGGAGGCTGAGGCGGGTGGACCACCTGAGGCCAGGAGTTCGAGACCAGCCTGACCAATATGGTGAAACCCTGTCTCTACTAAAAATACAAAAATTAGCCAGGCATGATGGCAGGCACATGTAGTCCCAGCTACTTGGGAGGCTGAGGCGGGAGAATCGCTTGAACCCGGGAGGCGGAGGTTGCAGTGAGCCAAGATCACGTCACTGCATTCCAGTCTGGGCGACAAGAGGGAGAATCCGACTTAAAAAAAAAAAAGTGGAAACAACTCAAGTGTTCAATGGCCCCAGCTGCCTATGACATGACAATGAACTCCAAGGTCCTGAGGCTGATTTTGAGGAGCACCAGAATGGGGAGGCGCCTTCACCCCTGGAGAGCGGGGCACAGGCAGGGCCGGACAGAGAGGTGCAGGCTCAGTGCAGCCCCTGCCTCTGGGGTCTCCACACAGCAAGGCCTGAGTTGTAGTCTCTGGGGGCTCAGGCCCTGGTGCAGCTTGGGGGCCACTGGGCAGTAGTGGGGGGTTCTGTGGCTCTGTCCGGTCCTCTTTGTGATTTTGGGTGATGCCCTCTGTGAGCAGCAGGAGTTTAACAAGCCCTGTGCTCTGCTGGGCTCCGGATGGCACACAGAGGCTCCTCCATTCATGCTGGGGTCCCTGTAAACCTGTCGCAAGTGGAACATATCCTGTCAAAAATGCATTTACCGGCCGGGCACTGCGGCTCACGCCTGGGATCCCAGCACCTTGGGAGGCCGAGGCAGGCAGATAGCTTGAGCTCAGGAGTTTGAGACCAGCCTGGCCAACATGGTGAAACCCCGTCTCTACTAAAAATACAAAAATTAGCTGGGCGGGGTGGTGCGTGCCTGTAATCCCAGCTACTCGTGAGGCTGAGGCATGAGAATCGCTTGAACCCAGGAAGCGGAGGTTGCAGTGAGCCGAGATGGTGCCATTGCACTCCAGCCTGGGCGACACAGTGAGACTGTATCACAAAAAAAAAAAAAAAAAAAGTGCATTTAGTGTGCCTAACCGCCCGGCCAGCTCAGCCCAGCCGACCTCAGATGTGTGCTCAGGACACTCCCATTAGCCTCTAGGTGGACAAAATCAGCTCACATGAGGTCTGCTTTTTTTTTTGAGACGGACTCTCACTCTGCCACCCAGGCTGGAGTGCAGTGGTGTGATTAGAGCTCACTGCAGCTTCAAACTCCTGGGCTTAAATGATCCTCCTGCCTCAGCATCCCAAGAAGCTGGGGCTACAGGTATGTGCCACCACGCCTGGCTAATTTTAAAAAAGTTTCGTTTTGTTTTGTAGAAATGGGGTCTCGCCATGTTGCCAAGGCTGGTCTTGAACTCCTGGGCTCAAGCCATCCTCCTGCTTTGGCCTCCTAAAGTTCTGGGATTACAGGCGTGAACCATTGTCCCCGGCTCACGAGCTATTTTTCTAATCAAGTGTTGATTTTCTTGTGCAATTTGTCGAACACTGTACTGAAAGTGAACATGGTGGTGTGGGACTCAAGTGCCGTTGCTGCTGAGTTCTGGCCGCATTCTTACCATCGTGGAGTCAGAGGCCGTCGGTGGAGCCATCCTAAGGCAGGGCCATCTGTGTAGGAATCTGCTGTTTGCAGAGATTTTTGTTGGTGATCACCAGGCTTGGACTCTGAGAACCTTGGAGGAACCCAGAGGGGAGCATGCAATGCGGAGTGGGACGTTCACTGGACCAGGGAGGTCGGGCCGTGGTTAGGAACCTGGGGGAGGAAGAGCTGAGGGGGTTGGGGGTCTGAGCTTTTCTCAGTGGCTCAGCCACGACCCTGGGCTACCCCTGCCCCAGGCCTCCCTTCTGTGCCTATGAGCTGGGGGTGATCATTAGTGTCCCCTCCCCCAGCAGGTAGGGCTATACCAGGCACAAGGGGGAGGCTTGCCGCATTCCCACTGAGGACAGACCACCCGGGAAAGCACTCGGACAGCCTCGGGGAAGATGAGGGTGGGTCCAGGAGATGCCAAGGGCAGGCCCTTGGGCAGGTTTTTCAACAGTGCCTCTGCCCCGCCACCCCTGTGCCCTTGCCTGTCACCACAGGGTCTGGGAGAGGAGAGCCACATGGCTCAGCATGGCCAGGGGCAGGCTAGACTGTCATGCTGCAGAGGACCCACCGGGGCCCAGTGTGACAGCCCTCCCCCTCCCCTTGGGACTCCATGGCCTGTGCTGTCCTCCTGCCCAAGAAGTGTCCCTCTGAGGCATCTCGGGTCCTGGTCCGTCCTGCTCACCCAGGGCCAGCAGCCCCCAGGAGGCCCATGGTAAGAAGGAGGGTGAGATATAAACAATTTCCCCCTCCTCTGCCGAAGGCTCTGGCGTCAGCGTGCTTTGCATGCAGCAGCCTTTTCCCCGGGCAGCGAGGGCCTGAGTGGGCGCCTCCCCCACCGCCTCCTGGGTGTCAGCCCCACACTGCCCCACGGCTCTACCCCTGTTCAGAGCCACTCAGCCCCCGGGAAAGGTGGCTGGGTCACGAGTTGGGGATACGAGGGGGGTCAGTGCCTGCTAGTTGGCGCCAGAAAACCACCTTTGCTGGACTTGGCATTGAGGGATGGCAAGGGGGCCTCGGAGACACTCTCCTCCCTCTGCCCTGTACCCCCAGGGTACCCGCGGTCACTCAGTTCCTGACTGCCTGCTTTGGGCTGGGATCCCAGGACCCACCCTCTCCCGGCTTCTGCTGAGCCATGCCCTCCGGTGGGGGGGTCCCCTGCCTGGTGCCATGGCCTTGCGAGTGTCACTCAGAGCCCCTGCTGCACGGAGCCGCACTGTGGGTTTCCTTTCCTGTGTGGACCTGCAGAGAAGCTGCCTTGTTGCTGTCCCCTCATTGCTGGGGTATAAATCCTCGTTGTCACTATCTTCTTGGCCCTCTGCCACCAGCCATGGACTCTGGGGACACTGGGGACTCAGGCCTGGAATTTTCCCCAAGGTTTTTCCTAGGTGTGTTGGTGTAAACAGGGTCCCCTCTTGCCCCAGAGGCTGAGCTCCCATGGGCAGGGGGAGAGTGGGAGCAGCTGTCTGAGTGCCAGGCTGCGGGGACAGGGTCTGGGATTTCCTGTGGAAACGGTGAAGAGTGCCCGCCCCTGCCCTGGCTCCAGCCAGCGTCTGGTCGCCCTGGTGGGCAGGGAGTGGCAGCTGCAGAATGCACGAAGGAGGTGGGTGGGGTGGGAGTGGCTTGTGCTGACTTTGTCCAAAGGCCAGAGGTGTGGTGGGGCCCCTGGACACCGTGTGGCTAAGGGCTTCTCTGTTCACCAGGGCTGTTATCACAGAGTCTTTCCGGAGAGCCTGCAAGGGTCTGCTATCTCCAGAAACGTCTATTTTATAGGCACCTGGATGTCTACTGTGTCCTGATACGGAGGAGAGGACATGCTATGGGAGATAACGTGGCTACCTTTGGCCACGTCAGGTGGATAAGAGATGGCCAACAGGTCACTGCAGGGCCTGCTCCCCCTTACCTCCCCCATCAGGGGACAGGATCTCATGTGTGTGTGTGTGTGTGTGTGTGTGTGTGTGGCGGGGAGGGGTGTCCCTCTGGTGCAGTCCTTGGGTAGGAAAACACCTTGATGTTGGTCCCAAGGCCATCGGTGTTGGCCTCATCATCACCACCTTCAGTCTCTGGACAGCAACAGGCTCCACTGAGCAGGTGCCCTGTGACACCTGGTGCGTTGGAGGGTGGGGCTGAGCCCCGGTGAGCCAGGACCTGCCAAAAGATCAGGGGGAAGAGCATAGACCCCCCTCTACCAGCCCCGGAGCCCCACGAAGGAACATTCGGGCCGCCCCAGTTTGAGCCATGAGTTGTGTCCACGGCAGCCTCGCTTCCTTTGCTGGGCCTTGGCGGCGATAACGCCTGAATCTGTGCAGGTCTCAGGTGAGCCTTCTCCAGCTCAGCCTCTGTCACCTCATGGGTCGCCTCGGTTCCCGGGCATTGATTCAGCACCTGCTGAAGGGAAACCAGAGAGGCCAGTCCTTGCTCCTGAGGACTCAAGGGTCTGGATGTGGGTGGAAACCTACACCCCACAACGCTCCCAAACGATGAACGCAGCGCAGGGCCTAGGCTCACTCCCGGGATGTGGGGCACAGGGCCCGGAGCCCATCTGGATGAGAGAGCACCGTGCCCTCCATGGGCTGGAGGGACGGGGGGCCTTTGGTGGCCGGTGAAAGCGTTTTGCCAGCTGAGAATATTCTTTTTGCTGGCCGCGTCTAATCTGGTTTCTGGGGAAGATAAGAGGAGGCTACATCAGCAGATGCCTGTCACCGTGGACTAAGAGCTGGCTCAGGGAATCCAATTCCAGCTCAGAACCTGGGGCCCAAGGAGCCACTTGAGGCCATGTCTCTGTCTCTTTTTGGACTCGGGGACTCTGACCATGGTTGTGGACTCTCCCTAGAAAATATGCACACATAGCAATTTGCTGACCTGTCCTGGGAGCTCAAGGGAGGCCCAAGGCAGTGGGGCTGGGGGGCAGGGAGCAGAGAGGCAGGGCCGGGGCCAGGGGAAAGAGGAGAGGAGAGAGCACGGGGGTCCTGTCCCCTTGAGGCTGCCGTGCAGGGGCTGGCTGCATTCTGAGGCTGGAGGAACAGCTCTGCCTTGCAGAGAATTAGCACAGCCTGCCTGTCCGGCCGCTTCACTGTGGGTTGGCTCCCGTGCCATTGAGGATGGCGAAGGGGGAGGAAGGGTGGTGATGAGGGAGGGAGGGTCCTGATGTACCACCTGCTCCCAGATGGCCAAGGTGACCCTCCCCAGCGTCCCCGAGCTTCGCAGGCATGTAGGGGAGCCTCGGAGGGCACATCCGTTTGCTGTTTCTGCTGTTACACGTGACCACAAACTTAGCGGTTTAAAACAATGCAAATGTATTTATTTTTCCTCTTTTTTCCCCATGTAAGACAGGTAACGTGCCACTGTTCTAAAGACGTTTCACGTCCCACGCAAGAGTGTGAAAACCCCCTCATCACACATATCAGCCACAGAAGGATCAAAACAATGCCAATTTATTATTTTAGAGTTCTGGGGGTCAGAAGTCCCATGGGGCCGCGCTGGGCTAAAGCCAGGGTGTCAGCAGGGCTGGCTTCTTCTGGAGGCTGGGGGCAGATCCGTCTCCTGGCCTTTCCCGGCTTCTGAAGGCCACCGCGTTCTGGGCCTCAGTCCCAGGCTGGGGCGTCACCACACCCTCTGCTTTCGAGCCACGTCTGCTCTGACCCCCGCCTCTCTCTCACAGGGGCCCTTGTAATGCCATTGGGTTCACCTGCATGATCCTGGGGAGTCTCCCATCGCAGGACCCTCGGTCACACTGGCAATGTCCCTTTTGCCATGAAAAGTCACCCATTCACAGTCCCGGGATTAGGATGTGGGCCTTTTGGGGGGCACCATTCTGCCCACTGTGGAGGGTGTGTGGGAGCGACCAGACCTCAGGGGGGCTGTCATATTGACCTCATCCCCAGCACAAAGTCCAGGAGGGCTGGCGTGAGGTGTCCAGGATGCTGGAGCTTGGTGGGGGCTGCACAGGGACTCTGCTCAGGCACCCAGCCCCAGCGTGAGGGGCCCATGGCTGTGGGCGCAGCAGCCACAAGGGAGAAGCAATGGCCCCCTCGACTTTCCTTCCCTAAACTCGGATCCCCTGAAACAGAGAGGTGAGGCTCAGGGGTGAAGGGCAAGCAACTTCTGCAATAAGATTTCCATGATGCCTGATCATGTCTGTAAGAGAAAGGTTATGTCTTTCTTCATTTTTGTTTATTTTTTGAGACAGAGTCTTGCTCTGTCACCCAGGCTGGAGTGCAGTGGCTTGATCATAGCTCACTGCAGCCTCAACTTCCCAGCCTCAGGCAATCCTCTCTCCTAGGTCTCCCAAGTAGCTGGGACTACAGGCATGTGTCTTGGGAGGCAAATTTTTTTTTTTTTTTTAAGAGACGAGGGTCTCACCATGTTGCCCAGGCTGGTCTCGATCTCCTGGCCTCAAGCAATCCTCCTGCCTTGATATCCCAAAGTGCTGGGATTACAGGCATGAGCCACCATGCCTAGTCTCTTTTCAAAAAAAAAATTTTTTTTTTTTTTGAGTCACAGTTTCACTCTTGTTGCCCAGGCTGGAGTGCAATGGCACGGTCTTGATTCACTGCAACCTCCGCCTTCCGGGTTCAAGCAATTCTCCTGCTTCAGCCTCCTGAGTAGCCGGGATTATAGGCACCTGCCACCACATCCGGCTTATTTTGCATTTATTTTTATTTTTAGTAGAGATGTGGTTTTACCATGTTGGCCAGGCTGATCTTGAACTCCTGATCTCAGGTGATCTGCTCACCTCGGCCTCCCAAAGTGCTGGGATTACAGGCGTGAGCCACCGTGTCTGGCCTCAAAATTTTTTAATGTAAGTTTTCAAATAAACTCACACACGTGATCAGTGATCACCACACATACTTTATCGATAATCGCCACACTTGTTTCATGCATTGCTGTTGTCTTTCTCTTTGCTTTTCCCCTGTGGCTGAAGCACTTTCCATCCTGTAGCAAAAACGTTCTGAAATTTTCTTCCTATGAACTTCAGGTTGCAAGGCGCCAAGTACGGGAAACTCTGGAACACACTTGCGGTTCCCTTAGGGCAATGTTCAAATTAACAGTCATTCCTTGGCACCCGCTCAGGCCCCATCCAGAATCACATTCCCCTGATTGTTTGCTTACGTCCATCAGATGGAACACACAGGTTCCTAACAAGGCCCAAAGTTTAAGTTTTGTGGTGGCGCCTCTTGAACCTCTCTTACTCTAGATCAGGCGCCGCCCCCGACCCCCATTGCTCCTCCCACCACTTGTGATTTGTTGCAGAAACCAGATCAGCTGTCCTGCAAATGTGTGGCCTATCGCGCTGCTGTTTGCCTCTCTGTGGTGTCGCCTCGCCCCGTGTCTCCTGCAAATGGAAGCTGTGCCGCAGAAACGCCCTTAGATTCAGGCTCATCTTTCTTTGCCAGAAGCCTTCGTGGGCAGAGCTGTGAGAGCCACATGGAAGCACCTGTAATGCTAAGTGTGCCCTGTGGGTCCAGGTGGCCATCGCCCGGACCCACCCTCTGATGCTAAGTGTGCCCCGTGGGTCCAGGTGGCCATCGCCCGGGCCCACCCTGAGATGCTAAGTGTGCCCCGTGGGTCCAGGTGGCCACAGCCTGGGCCCACCCTGTGATGCTAAGTGTGCCCCGTGGGTCCAGGTGGTCATAGCCCGGATCCACCCTGTGATGCCCTAGTTTTGTCATTACTGATCTCATCCATGACCCTTGCGAGAAATACTTATGTCATGAGAGGTGGCAAAATCATGGTTTCTCTCATGATCTCATCTCCTTCACAATGAGTAGCTGAAATTGTTCTGTTAAAAACAACAACGACAAAAAAGGCTGGGCACGGTGGCTCACGCTTGTAATCCCAGAGCTTTTGTGGGCCAAGGTGAGAGAGGCCAGGAGCTTGAATCCAGCCTGGGCAACATGGCAAGACCCCATCTCTACAAAAAAATAAAACATTAGCCAGGTGTGGTGGTGCGCGCCCGTAGTCTCAGCTACTCGGGGGCTGAGGCAGAAGGATCCTTTGAGCCCAAGAGGTTAAGGCTGCAGTGAGCTGTGATTACACCACTGCACTTCAGCCTGGGCGATGGAGCGAGACCCTGTCTCTTAAATAAAACAACCAAACAGGCTGGGTGTGGTGGCTCACACCTGTAATCCCAGCACTTTGAGAGGCCGAGGTGGGTGGATCACCTGAGGTCGGGAGTTTGAGACCAGCCTGGCCAACATGGTGAAACCCCAACTCTACTAAAAATACAAAAAATTAGCAGGGCCTGGTTGCGGGCGCCTGTAATCCCAGCTACTCAGGAGTCTGAGGCAGGAGAATCACTTGAACCCAGGAGACAGAGGCTGCAGTGAGCCGAGGTTGTGCCATTGCACTCCAGCCTGGGCAATAGAGCAAGACTCCATCTCAAAAAAAAGAAACCAAACAAACAAAAACCAAAAATACTTGCTGTTGTCCACTAGAGTTATTGAGTTATCCTGAAATATAGTTTAAAAGGGAAATTCTTAATTCTTTTCTTTTAATTGACAATGTTCTGAATAGAGTTGGAGGCTTGTTTTTCCAGTGGATTACCGATGGGTTTTGGTTTGCTTTCTCTCTTTAAATCTATTTATAGCTTTTGTGTATTCATTGTGTATTCAGCAATCATACACAATGAGTACACAAAAAATCACACAACCAATACACAAAAGGTAAAAGTAGATTTAAAAAGTGAGACACCAAGGCTTGATTTTAGGCTCAATTTGTCCCCTCTTTGGCCAAAGATTTCTAATTTTTTTCCCCTCAAAACTGGTAGGCCAGGGTGCCAGGGTGCCGTCCCATCAGTGGTGGGAGGAAAGGGTAGTTGCCCCAGACAGTGGGTGAATGCCAGGGTGCCAGTGTCAGGGAGGGGAGGGGCTGGTGGGTGAATGCTAGGGTGCCAGTGTCAGGGACGGAGGGGCTGGTGGGTGAATGCCAGGGTGCCAGCATCAGGGAGGGGAGGGGCTGGTGGGTGAATGCCAGGGTGCCAGTGTCAGGGACGGAGGGGCTGGTGGGTGAATGCCAGGGTGCCAGCGTCAGGGAGGGGAGGGGCTGGTGGGTGAATGCCAGGGTGCCAGCATCAGGGAGGGGAGGGGCTGGTGGGTGAATGTCAGGGTGCCAGTGTCAGGGAGGGGAGGGGCTGGTGGGTGAATGCCAGGGTGCCAGCATCAGGGAGGGGAGGGGCTGGTGGGTGAATGCCAGGGTGCCAGCATCAGGGAGGGGAGGGGCTGGTGGGTGAATGCCAGGGTGCCAGCGTCAGGGACGGAGGGGCTGGTGGGTGAATGCCAGGGTGCCAGTGTCAGGGAGGGGAGGGGCTGGTGAGTGAATGCCAGGGTGCCAGCATCAGGGAGGGGAGGGGCTGGTGGGTGAATGCCAGGGTGCCAGCGTCAGGGACGGAGGGGCTTGTGGGTGAATGCCAGGGTGCCAGCATCAGGGAGGGGAGGGGCTGGTGGGTGAATGCCAGGGTGCCAGCATTAGGGAGGGGAGGGGCTGGTGGGTGAATGCCAGGGTGCCAGCGTCAGGGACGGAGGGGCTGGTGGGTGAATGCCAGAATGCCAGTGTCAGGGAGGGAGGGGCTTGTCGAAGAGAAACTTTCTTCAGGGCCATTGATTTCCCTGCCTTGTTTGAAGTGCCTGGATTGGGCTCTCTGAAACCAACAACATCTTATTAGAAGACAAGGACTTCTTCTCTTTTCTTTCTTTCTTTCTTTTTTTTTTTTTTTGAGACGGAGTTTCACTCTTGTTGCCCAGGCTGGAGTGCAATGGTGTGATCTCGGCTCACTGCAACTTCTGCCTCCCAGGTTCAAGTGGTTCTCCTGCCTCAGCCTCCCGAGTACCTGGGATTACAGGCATGCGCCACCATGCCTGGCTAATTTTTGTATTTTTTAGTAGAGATGGGGTTTCTCCATGTTGGTCAGGCTGGTCTCGAACTCCCGACCTCAGGTAATCCTCCCGCCTCGGCCTCCCAAAGTATTAGGATTACAGGCGTGAGCTACTGCTCCCGGCCTTTTCTTTCTTTAGAGACAGGGTCTCTCTCTGTCACCCTGACTGGAGTGCAGTGGCATGATCACGACTCACTGCAGCTTCGACCTCCCGGGTTCAAGCGATCCTCCCATCTCAGTGTCCTGAGTATCTGGGACCACCACGCCTCACTAATTTTTGTGTTTTTTTTTTTTTTTTTGTAGAGATGAGGTCTCGCCATATTGCCCAGGCCTGGCAGGTGTTTCTGATAGTCACAAAGCCCCTGCTACTGGGGAAAGAGAAAGGAAGGCCCAGCTAAGACCCAATTAAGAAAATCCCAGAACCAAGAACGAATTGACTGTTCGGCTTTGGTAATCTCCAACGTGTCCACCAGGTGGTGCTGTCCAGCCACGAATCTCCCAGCTTTGATCTCGGGCTTTGGCCGAGGGCACCTCCAGGGCTGGGGTCTCTCATCGTGTTGTCCCCACTTTATTCCAACGTCCACCCCAGGCCTGGGGGAGCCCAGGGAGGACCGAGTCTCCTGGGCCCCGCAGGGCGCACAGAGGTGAGTTTGGTGGTGCCGTCCCGACCTCGACAAGCATCCCAGCGAAGCAGGCTGAGCGCCCGGCTGGCTCCCTCAGGTCCCCTCTTCCGGGCCTTCTCCGTCCTGTTGATTTGGGTGTTTTAATGCAGGAAAGTAGGACACTGGTTGTCACCTGCCTGCTCCTACAAGGAAAATGCATGTTTGTGTGGTTATCCGTGGCCACCCCCACCAGGGCCTGCGGGGGGCCCAGTGCAGTGGAGGTGGGGAGGGGACTCGTGGGCTCCAGGATCCGTGGAGAGTGAGTGTCAGCGGGAGGGCGTCCCCCGACCTTGGTCAATGGAAGCTGCTCTTCCTGGGGGTCCTGCGGGAGGCCCGTGATGGGGGTGGGGGAGGAGGGGTAAACACCGGGCCCTGATTGGCCGCCTGTCCTTGGGTCTTTGCTGGTCCTAAGAGGGAACGGGGAGCACAGCTGGGGTCACAGCCTCAGCTGGGACTCCTGCCCTCCAGCACCTCAGCATCCTCCCTGCGGGTGCTCTCCTGGGGGCTGCTCAGGGCAGGTGGCAAGTAGGGGGCTGTGGGACCAGAGACAGGGGGTGGACATGCCCAGGGCCTGCCCTTTTGGCCTGCCGTGGAGACCCACCCAGGAGCACCTGGGGGCTGACCCTCCCCTGCAGAGAGCAGGGTGAATCCCAGCCCTGCCCTCACCTAACAGCCGGGTTCGAGGGGAGCGTAATTTATAATGAACCCCACTCCTCCCCCAACACCCGCCACAGGCAGGAGCCAGCCTCTCTCCTGACACCAAAGTCATGCTCCTGACCCTGCAGGCCACAGGGTGAGGAGGACCCAGAGGGGCAGCAGGGTGGGGGCGTTTCATAAGCCAGGGAGAGCTGCCCCTGTACATCCTCAGGCCTCACAGTGGAGTGAGGGGCGGGGGTCGCCTGCGTCCTCCACAGGAGCTCCTGTCATTCCACCTCCGGGGGTGCACTTGCCGACTTACCCCAGCCCTGGACTCACAGGCTGTGCTGCTGTCTGCCCAGGGCCTGGCGATTGCTGCGCCCATGATGGGTCCCACAGGCAGGCCCTGCCCTCCCATCGCTGGCTTCTGAGCAGGGGCTTTGGGGCTGCTGGACCTCAGAGGCAGAGCCGGGGCTTCTGGTGTCCCTATGTCTTGGATGCCTGGTGTCCTGAGGCCAGCGCCCCCCAGCTTGCACTGGGACCGTCCATGGAAGCAACTCCTCTTTCATCTCAGGCACTGGGGGTCCCAGGGCCAGGGAAGGGGCTGCGCAGCACCTCAGGAGCCCAGAAGAGCTGCCCGCCAGGGAGGAGGAGCTGGGGGGAGCAGAGGCCTGGACCAGCTGGGATGTTCCCATCGGCGTGTCCCTCCCGCCCAGGCCACGTGGGCAGGGGAGGAAGAAGGGAGGAGGAGCGGAGGGGCCCTTGTCTTCCCAGAGCCTCTCCCTTCCTCCCCTCCCCCTCCCTCTGCTCATCTCATCATGAGACAGCTGGCAAGGGCCTTCGGCTGCCCTGGAGTGCCCCTGCCCTGGCCAAGCTCTTGCCGCCCCCTTCTTCTGGAGGTGCCAGATGGGGCGGGCCCAAGGCAGTGGAGGTCTGGGCCCTGGCTCCAGCTCTGTCTCCTCCTGAGGGCCCTGGAGGAGCCAGGAGGAGGGCCTAGCAGGGCCGGGCAGATGGTGGGCCGGGAGGAGGGGCTGCCTGGGTAGACGGACCGACTGGCAAGACAGATGGTGGACCAGGCAGGGGTCCGGAGCCCGCCCCATCTGCTCCAGTCCCTGGTGGGACTTTTCTTGTCCACCTCGGGCTGAACTGGGATGGACTGTGTGGGTGGCTGTGGCCCAGGCCGGATTCTGTCACACTGGGTCCTCTGTCCCTGGGGCATGGCCAGCCGGGTGCTCATCTGGGGTCTTGAAGCCTCCTCCTGGCAGCTGGCACGTGGCTGGAGGTCATCATGTTTCGGGGGCTCCTGAGGGTCTGGGGGCCATGACTGAGCAGAGCCTGGGGCGCGTCCCGGGAATGAAGCCACCGCTGCAGATGAGGGGCTTTGTAGGTGGGTGGGTGACTGTAGCCCCTGGAGGGGCTGCCTGGGGCCCAACGCTGATAGGGCCCGGGACAGGAAGATGCTTAGTCACGTGTTTGCGCTGCAGGTGCACCCCCAGCCCAGGCGACATCAACGGCCAGCCCCACACACGTGAGGAGGGATTGTGGGCCCAGGGGCGCTCAGGATGGGGCCGGGCTGCTTCTCAGAAGAGGGGACGCTGAGCCCAAGCAGGCTGCACTCCTGCTTGGACGGAAGGTGGATGGGTGGGGTGGGAAGGGGTGGGAAACGCCCAGCCCTGATGGGCTTGCGGGAGCCTGCGGGAGGGCCTTGCGTCTAGCTAAGGCGTGGGGAGCACCTCCCGTGGCCCCGTCCTTAGACCCCCGAGGGGTGGGGCGCTGCGGGTGGATCCTGGGGGTCTGAGGGTGCCAGGAGGATTTCTCATGTTGAGTTCTAGTGTTGATGATGCTAATCCAAAAAATACCTGAACCAAAAACCAATTCCAAAGAAAATCCCGTGCAGCAATGGCTTTCGATCGGCTGCGGCTTCTGTGGAACAGCTTCGGTGTCTTTGGCGTTTGGTGTTTTCGGACAGGCTCGGAAGTCACGCTCCCCAGGCTCAGGAACCCCTCCTTTAAAGGAGGTCGGTCCGTTTCCTCAAGTCACAGGAGCAGACGCAGGGTGGGGGCGTGGGGCGTCATGGGGAACAGCAGGCGGGGTGCCAGGGTCAATGTTAAGGTCCAGGTCACTCTCCAAGGAGCCCGCTGAGGGCTCAGGGCTCAGGGCTCAGGTGGCCCTCCTGCCCGCCCCACCTCTTGCTCCCTCCAGCAATGTCTTCCTGCTGCCAGCTCTGGGAGCCGGAACGCTGCCTTCAAGGCTGGGCCCATCACGAGGACAGCTGCGCACTGTCCCCTGCTCACTTCCTGTCAGTCTCTTCCTGATTTCCTCCTTACACTCAGTTCTCTTGTCCCCTTGGCCTCTTAGTGGCTGGGTGACCTTGGGTAAGTCACTCACCGTGTCTGAGCTTCGGTTCCTTCAGCTGGGAAAAGGCAACAGAGAAGTTCCCACCTCATAGGGTCCTGCAGCAATTCACTGGGTCAAAGCCCTCAGAACCCTCTTCAGCTCAGAGTGAGCGCCTCCGGAGTGCTCGCTGCCATTATTGTTATTATTATTATTGTTATTATTATTGCTATTTTTGAGACAGGGTCTTGCTTCATCACCCAGGCTGGAGTGCGGCGGCACGATCCCAGCTCACCACAGCCTCAACCTTCCAGCCTCAGTGTTCCTCCCACCTCAGCCTCCCCAGTAGCTGGGACCACAGGTGCGCCACCACACCCGCCTAATTTTTGTATGTTTTTGTAGAGACAGGATTTTGCCATGTTGCCCAGGCTGGTCTCAAGCTCCTGAGCTCAAGTGACACATCTGCCTCAGCCTCCCAAAGTGCTGGGATTACAGGTGTGAGCCACCGTGCCCAGCCATTGCTGTTGTTTTAACTTTATTTTTAAAATTTTATTTTATCCAGGTGAAATTCTCATAATATAAAATTAACCATTTTACAGTGAACAATTCAGTGGCTTTTAGCACGTATGCAGTATCGTGCAGCCACCACTGGTACAGTTTGGATTTATGTCCCCACTCAAATCTCACGTTGAACTGTAACCCCTAGGGTTGGAGGAGGGGCCTGGAGGAGGTGATTGGATCATGGAGGCCGATTTCCTCCTTGCTGTTCTCGTGATAGTGAGTGAGTTCTCACGAGACCTGGTTGTTTAAAGGTGTGTCGCTCCCATAGCCCCTCCTCCCTCTCGCCCTCTTGCTCCAGCTATGTGGGATGTGCCTGGTTCCTCTTCACCTGCTGCCATGACCGTAAGTTTCCTGAGGCCTCCCCAGCCATGCTTCCTGCATAGCCTACAGAACTGTGAGCCAATGAAACCTCTTTTCTTTATAAATCACCCAGTCTCAGGTGGTTGTTTATAGCAATGCAAGAACGGCCTTATACAACCACCTTTATGTAGTTCCAGAACATTCCCATCACCCCAAAGGAAACCCCATACCCATTAGTGGTCAGTCTGCATCCCCGGCACCCACCCATTTGCTCTCTGTCTCTGTGGGTCTGCCTATCCTGGACATTGTGTATCAGTGGAATCATACAATATGCACCTTTTGCATCTGGATTCTTTCATCGGGCAAATGTTTTCTGGCATCTTCCGTGTGGTGACATGAGTCAGGCTTCACTCCTCTGTCTAGCTGCGTGATATTCCACTGTCTGCGCTGACCACATTTTATTGATCCTTTCTTCCTTGATGGACATTTGAGTTGTTTCCACCCTTTGGCCACCACGAATTGCGCCGCCGTGAACGCGCGAGCACAAGCTCGTATTTGAACACCTGTTTATTTTATTTTAATTACTGGAGACAGGGTCTCACTACGTTGCCAAGGCTGGCCTCAAACTCCTGGGCTCAAGTGGTCCTCCCAAGTAGCTGTGCCCCCATGCCTGGCTTTGCACACCTGTTTTACATTTTAACTTTTACCATCTGCCTCCTTTTTGTGATCCACGCATTCTCAGAAACAACCACCACAGCTGCACTGCTTGCTTGTTACGAGGCTCACGCCTCTTGGGCTGACTCCACGCCACCTCCTACCCCCCACTCCTGCAGCGCTGCAAACCTGCGCCCCTTTTGTGTGTGGAGAAACAGGCACAGAGAGCCCAGCCACTCTGCTTTCTCCCTGGGGTGCCTCTGAGCCCCTCCCTCGGGCACATCCTGGCCCTCCCGTTGTAGGGCTTCCCGTCTGGCCTTCCCGGGCTTGTGGCTGGGGTCCCATCTGGCATGGCTGCTGTGGGCATGGAAAGATGCTGGCCCCATCCCTGTGGACAGCCTTGGCCTTCCTCCTCCTGACCCCTCTCACCACCACCGTGTCCACTCCTCATCCGCCCTCGACGTCTCTCCTGCTCCTGCCTTTGCTGAGATCTTCCAGGCTCTCTTGGGAACCCTGCGGGTGCCCCGGCTCTGCAGGTGCCACTGGCTGCTGCTCACTTCTGCCCCAGGCTCTTGGCTTCGGAGAAGTTTCTGCCTGTTGTCCCTGCAGCCTGGAGAAGCTCCGTTGAGTCTGGAAGGCCAGGAGGGAGGGCCTCGTGTTCTCCCAGGAGGAGCCCGGGACCCCTTGTGCCCAGAGAACTTTTCAGAGCCATCCATTTAGGCTGGGCCACCTGGTATGCGCTCCAGTCCCCAGGGCACTGCTGGAGTTGTCACCATGACAACTAGTGCTCCCATTTGACAGCAAGGACCCGAGAGGCCCAGGGGCCCAACAAGGGTCTTGCAGAGGGGCTGGCACCTGACCCGGGTCTATGTGGGTCCCAGGTCTGAGCTTGACGGGACTGAGACCTGAAGGGGCTGCCTGGGGTACGAGGAGGAGGTGGGGGGGAGGAGGGGGGAGGAGGAAGAGGTAGAGGGAGGAGAAGGGGGAGGGGGAGGAAGGGGAGGAAGGAGGAGGAGAGGGAGGAGGAGGGGGGAAGAGGAAGAGGCAGAGGAGGAGTAGGAGGAGGAAGAAGAGGGGGAGGGGTGGAGGAGGAGTGGGAGGAAGGGGAGGTGGAGGAAGAGGGGGAGAGGAGCAGAGGGAGGAGGAAGATAGAGGAGGGGAGGAGGAGGAAGAGGGGAGGAGGAGGGGGAGGATGAGAGGGAGGAAGAAGAAGAGGAGGAGGAGGTAGGGGGAGAAGGAGGAGGAGGAAGAGGGGAGGAGGAGGGGGAGGAGGAAGGGGAGGGAAGGAGGAGGAGGCCAGGGCCCCACTGGCCCACTAGGGTCTGCAGAGGAGAGAGGAGCAATGTGGACGTCCTGCCCGTGTTCACCACTCTGACTGGTTTTATTTTTGTCTTGCCCAAGTCCCCTGGCTCTTTCTCCAGTGCCCAGTGGAAACGTGCATGTCACGTTTTTCTCAGCGAGATTCGCAAATCGAAGTGGCAGCTCTCAGTCGCTCATGAGGGCCTTTGCAATCCAGCGAGCAAAATGAAATCGGCACATGTGGCCAAGAACCTGCAGGAATGGAGGGGTGGGAGCACCCTCTCTCCTCCCTCCTGACCCCAGTGCTGGGGTGGGTGGAGAGGGATGCTTCTCCCGCTGTCGGAGAGCCACACCTATCACTCAGCAAGGGTGGGATTGGACTGGAGGCCCCCGCGTGCCTCTCCCAGGCCCCTGACCTTTAGGTGGAGAGAAACTGGGTGGGAGGTAGGGCCGGGGTGGCTTGTCCCAGTGGTGGCCAGCCTGCGCCTGGCTGTGGAGTGCCCTGGATTCCTCTGCCTGTGTGCACCGCTTCCTTCCTAGACCTGCCCCTGCCTCGGGCCTGCAGGGTCCCCATGCACCCTGTGCGTGCACCACGCCCTCCTTTGTTTGGGGTGCCCTGCTTGCCAGCTGTTCTGGAAACCCGCCCCCAGGGGGCCCCAGTGTCCAGGAGACTCGGGTATTTGGTGGTCCCTGCAGTCCTCTCGGGCCACACTGAGTCCATGCTGTCAGTGACGGCAGGTCCCTGAAGGGGGAGGCTTGTGGCCGGGGGTGTGTGTGACAGACAGCTCGGCCGCCTCCTCAGGGTGAGATGTCAATCGCTGGCCCCTGGTGTCCTCCGCTGGACCCTTTCCTGTCTGCGCTGGGTGACCCGGTATCGATCACCTGTCAGGCCTTCGCTTCTGTCTCATTTTCCTGGCTAATGGCTCTGGCCGCCATTGATCCTCTGCAGAGGCTCATTTGACCCAGCACCATCTCCCTGCACCTGGTGGCCTCCAGTGTTTCACGGCGCCAGGCCTGGGGTTACAGATGCCCCTGCTCCTGCATCCTACAGATGCCCCTCCTACCTGTGCCCCTCGCCCTCCCTCTCACCTGTGCCCTTTCCCTCCTCCACCCTCCCACCTATGCCCCCCTCCACCCTCCCACCTGTGCCCTCCCCCTCCTCCACCCTCCCACCTGTGCTCCTCTCCTCCCCAACCCTCCCACCTGTGACCCTCCCTTCCGCCACCCTCCCACCTGTGCCCTTCCCCTCCTCCACCCTCCCACCTGTGCTCCTCTCCTCCCCAACCCTCCCACCTGTGACCCTCCCTTCCGCCACCCTCCCACCTGTGCCCTTCCCCTCCTCCACCCTCCCACCTGTCACCCTCCCTTCCTCCACCTTCCCACCTGTGCCCTTCCCCTCCTCCACCCTCCCACCTATGCCCCCCCACCCTCCCACCTGTGCCCTCCCCCTCCTCCACCCTCCCACCTGTGCTCCTCTCCTCCCCCACCCTCCCACCTGTGCTCCTCTCCTCCCTCACCCTCCCACATATGCCCCCCTCCACCCTCCCACCTGTGCTCCTCTCCTCCCCCACCCTCCCACCTGTGACCCTCCCCTCCTCCACCCTCCCACCTGTGCCCTTCCCCTCCTCCACCCTCCCACCTGTGCTCCTCTCCTCCCCCACCCTCCTACCTGTGCCCCTCCCCTTCCCCACCCTCTCACCTGCACCCCTCCCCAACCCTCCCACTTGCACCCCTCCCCTCTGCCATCCTCCCACCTGCATCCCTCCTCTCCCCCACCCTCCTACCTGTGCCCCTCCCCTCCTTCATGTCTGAGACCTTTTGGGCTATAGAACAAGATACCTGAGACTGGATAATTTATGAGAAAAGGCATTTATTTTCTTGTAGTTCTGGAGGTTGGAAGTCCAAGATCAAGGTGCCGGCAGGCTGGGTGTCTGGTGAGGGCTGCTCTCTGCTCCCGGATGGTGCCTCTTGCTCTGTGCTCCCCTGGCGGGAAGTGAAGGACACAAGGTGTCCAGTGCTGTGTGAAGCCTCTTTGGTGTGGCCTTAATCCGGGCACAGGCAGGAGGGAGGAGCCCTCTGGCCCTCATCACCTCCTAAACGCCCCAGCTCTTAACACAATCCTGCTGGAGACTGTTTGCAGGTGAACTTTGGAGGGGACACACACATTCAGACTGGAGCACCCAGTCCTCCACCCCTGCCTCCACCTCCTGTCCCTCCCTGAGCCCTTCCCAACACCCCCTCCAGCTCCCCCACCCTGCCCTCCCCCTCATCCTGTCCCCCGCTCCCCAGGCCCTGTCCCCTCTTTCTAGGCCTCCTGAAGCAAGGCAGAGTGCCCGCACTCCTTTTTCAGGAGGAGACTGGCTGGGAGGAAGAACCTTCCAGAGCAAGGCATCAGGGAAGGGTGGGGGCGGGGCGTGTCATTTCCAGGGCTCCCTGTTGTCCCCGGGCGGCAGACCCCAAATGCAGACCTTCCACTCTGAGCCTGACTGTGGGAGGGGAGACGCTGCCTTATCGTTTTCAGGAACTGCCTGACTTTAGAGAAAGATCCCTCCCTCAGATGCCCCATCCCAGGGCCTGCGGTGGGGGAGGAAGTCCGGGAGACGCTGCCTGCTGGGGGGCCCTGGGCAGGTGGGGCTCCTTGTCAGGGCTACAGTCCCTGGACTGGATGCCGCCTGTCTGTGAGGCTGAGGGAACCTGTTCCAGGCCCTCTGCTGGGGTGCAGTTGGGTCCCCCAAACCTGTGAAATAGATCAAGACAGCTACCAGCACCCCAGCTTCCGTGCATCCTAAGTGACTCAGTCCCCTCCAGGCAGGCAGGATGCCCCATGTGAATGTGGACGGGTCCAGGGTGGGAGTAGGTGGGTCCAGCATGAAAGTGGGCAGGTCCAGGGTGACCATGACAGTGGGCCAGTTGGGGTGAGAGTGTGGGTGGGTCTGGGGTGAGAGTGGGCAGGTCCAGCATGAATGTGGGTGGGTCCAGGGTGATGGTGACAGTGGACAGGTCTGGGGTGAGAACGGGCATGTTCAGGGTTGGAATGGGTGGATCCAGCATGAATGTGGGCAGGTCCGTGGTGACCATGACAGTCACACTCTCACCTTGCACGTTAACTGAACCAAGGGTTGGGGTGAGGGTGTGGGTCTGAGGTGAGAGTGGGCGGGTCTGAGGTGAGAGTGGGCGGGTCCAGGGTGAGAGTGGGTGGGTCTGAGGTAAGAGTGGGCGGGTCCAGGGTGACGGTGGGTCCAGGTTGAGAGTGGGCGGGTCCAGATTGAGAGCAGGCGGGTCTGAGGTAAGAGTAGGCGGGTCCAGGGTGACAGTGGGTGGGTCCAGGTTGAGAGTGGGCGGGTCCAGATTGAGAGCAGGCAGGTCTGAGGTGAGAGTGGGCAGGTCTGAGGTGAGAGTGGGCAGGTCTGAGGTGAGAGTGGGCAGGTCTGAGGTGAGAGCAGGCAGGTCTGAGGTGAGAGCGGGCGGGTCTGAGGTGAGAGTGGGCGGGTCTGAGGTGAGAGTGGGCGGGTCCAGGATGAGAGTGGGTGGGTCTGAGGTAAGAGTGGGCAGGTCCAGGGTGACATTGGGCAGGTCTGAAGTGAGAGTGGGCAGGTTTGGGGTGCCAGTGGGGTGGGTCCAGGGCTGGAACGTAAATCCCAGCCTCCATCCTCTGGTTGTAGATGCTGCGTGGGGAACAGTTGACCCCCCTAGCTGGGTCATCATGTAATTTGTCAAATACTTAGAACCTAAGAGACGGACGCAGCCCGTGGGTGTGGTCAGCAGGGTGGCTTCACCAGGAAAGGTGGAAGGGCCTTCTTGGACAGGGACATGGGAGCTGGACAGCTGGTGGCCCAGGACAGTGAGTCTGCGCTCGACCATACGGAATCCCCTGAACGCTCATGTAACACAGCTCGTGAGTCTCACCCCCACAGCGTCTCATCCCGTGGGTCTGGGCATGGCTTGAGAATTCGAGGTTCTAACCAGCTGATGCCCCGGGCACCCTACTTTGAGAAGCACATTAACTGAGCCAAGGGCGTGTGCTCATGGGAAGTTTTCTCTTTTTAAGTAGAGACATCAGGGCTTCAGGTGTGCTTAGTTCAACTCTGCTGGAACCAAGCCAAGTCAGAGAGGGTGGAGGGGGTGTGTGGCTCTCTCCTGGAGGAGGCCTGCCACACACCCCCTCCACCCTCTCTGACTAGGCGGCCTCAAAGGTGGGCTGAGAGTCAGCAGAGCTTGGCTGAGGCCCACAGGAACCCCTGTCACCCTCTGCACATTGGCAGCACTGGCTCCCCTGCCCGCCTGCCCCAACACATCATTCCTGAGCCATTACATTAATGGGCATAAAATATTTACTTAACTCAGCTTTTTGCAAATATTCCTTCAGTTATTGTCCCTCTGCTGGGAGCATAAACTGTGCGGCAGGCACATGCTGAAAGGCTTGGGTGTTAAATAATACAATAAAAACCCTGCGAAGGCCAGACAGCTCCCCGCGTGCATGGGGCTGCCGCCTGCTTGCTGTGTCCCCGGTCACTCCACCACAACTGCCACCGCTGGAGCTGGAGGAAGAGGGTCTTGATGCAGACGGCCCAGCTTCTGCGTGGGGGCGGGGAGGGAGCAGGACACGTGGGTGTGAAATAGACAATTAAAATTACGTTCCCAAAGTTTTCCATTTACTCTTCCAGAAGCAAGTTGCAGGGAACTTTGGGAAAAATGTGAAGTGTTTAGCAATGGATCATTGCTTTCTATTTTAATATCTTTTCTTGAAATGTTTCCTCCTCTATGGGATTTTTTTTCTGACCACCATTTCACCCACCCCCACCTGCTCCTGCAGTGGCTGCTCCAGGTCCCGGTGGCTTTTCCGGCGTGCCCTGAAATGGAAAACCCGTTCTAATTGGTCCCCTGGCTTCTATGAGTTATTAATGAATGGCTGCCCCCATCCTTTCCGTGATGCTGAGGATCTGTAAATAGACAAACCCCAAACTGACACTTTTGAGGAAAACGACTTGGGTGGTGGGTTTTTGTTTTTGTTTGAGACGCAGTCTCGCTCTGTCACCCAGGCTGGAGTGCAGTGGCGTGATCTCGGCTCACTGCAACCTCCACCTCCCGGGTTCAAGTGATTCTCCTGCTTCAGCCTCCCGGGTAGCTGGGATTACAGGTGCCCGCCACCATGCCCAGCTAAGTTTTGTATTTTTAGTAGAGAGGGGGTTTCACCATGTTGGTCAGGCTGATCTCGAACTCCTGACCTCATGATCCGCCCGGCTCGGCCTCACCAAGTGCTGGGATTACAGGCTTGAGCCACCGCCTCGATGGGGGTTTTACCAGGAACTTCGGGGACTTTTCTGTTCTGACTTCAGAAGGGACCTTCCTTATCTCCACCCTCTTCACCGTGGCCAGGGGGAAGCACCTGGGTCTCTAGAGCTGAAGGTGCTGCCTAGAGTCACATGACTGTCATTGCTGGTTCCTTCCATGCCAAGGGGACTGTCTGTTTGAAACCCTGATGATGGCAGGGAGGATTGTGGGGACATAAGGAGGCAGAGGGAAGGGGTGCAGGGAGAAGGAAAGGGTGGGAGAGGTGAAACGGGAAAAGTTCCCTTGTCCCCCTCACAGGGCGTGTGACAGGGAGTGTGGCTTGCTTCTTCAGTGCCCAGCTGCTCAAACCTCTGGGGGAGCATAAGACGGGCAGGCTGTGGGGCTCTGACCCCAAGGCCATGTCTAGGGGTGAGTGTTACAGCTCGGGAGGCCCCGATGGGTGTGTGTTATGGGTGCTCTTTTAGTTTAGCCGTCTGTAGGCGGCTTGTGTTAACCAGCTCAATTAGACCCCCTTCCTTATCACAAGGACAGAGGGATTTCCTTATCCCAGGGTTTCTTGCCTTGGTGGACCGGAAGAATCGGATCTCACATGGGCTTGGAGAATGAGTGCAAAGTTTTATTGAGTAGAGAAGTAGCTCTCAGCAGATGGCGGAGCCAGAAGGGAGATGGTTTTTCCGTGGAGTCGGGCTGCCGACGTGCTCCCCTCCACGTCCTGTCCATGTCCCGGCCGCTTGGCCACTTGTCTTCTTCTGCCCATGTGTTCCTCCCGCTCTCCAGCAGCTTCTGTGTGTCTGCCCGCTGGGGTCTCGGGTTTTTATAGGCCCGGGATGGGGGCGTGGCGGGCCAGGGTGGTTTTGGAAAATGCAACATTTAGACTCCTTGCCCTAGGCCTGTGGGGGTGGGGCCCTAGCGAGGGATCATGCCCCCCTCTACCCAGCATTTCCCTAACCCCCTTCTGTATCATTTAAAGGGACCATGCCTTCCCTTCCCAGCACTTCCCTTCTGTATCAGAGGGAGATAGGTAGCAAGACAGCTAGAGACAGCGAGAGAGCGAGAGCGAGAGAGAGAGAGAGAGAGAGAGAGAGAGAGGAGAGAGGAGAGAGGAGAGAGGAGAGCGAGAGCAAGAGCGAGCACACACACTCTAGAAACCTGCTCCCAGGCACCTCTGGTCCCTCTTGGAGGAGCTTTCCCATTCCTGGCCAGCTCTCATTCCCAAAGACCTGCTCATATTTTTGACCCTGCTAAAGCAGGTGAGAGTCAGCCTGCAGTGACCATGCAGAGCCCAGCTCCTGCCCTCTTCCTCCCGCCTTGCTCTTCACCCTCAGGGGTGGGGCCGCCGTGCTGGCCCAAGCCTCTGCCCAGGCTCCTGCAGCCCAGCCTCCACCGGCTCTCCAGGGAAGAGGGCTGGCTCCAGCTCTGCCATCTCAGGCTTGGGGCTGTTTCTTGTTTCCATCATTCTTTGAACTTGAGAATCGGATATGCAGAAAGATCTTCCGAACTCGGAGAGGAAGTGTTTGTACAGCTCCAGCAGGGAGCAGACACATTTTTGAACCAGAATGACAGGGCATCCTGCCAAGGACAACAGCAGGGCTGGGCGTGTGGCCCCTGTGAGTGGGTTGCATCCTGGCTATGATCTGGGGCCCTCCCCATCCATGTGGTTTCTGGGGGGCCAGTTTGTACGGGAGCTTGGCTGATGGGCCCAAACCACATGTGAATTTCCTGCAACTGCTGTAACAAAAGACCCCACACGGGTGGCTGGAAGCAACGGGAATGTGGTCACTCAGGGTTGTGGAGGGCAGAAGCCTGAGGTCAAGGTGCCAGTGGGGCCGCGTTCTCTCTGAGGATCTCTGGGGGGTCTTTCCGTGCCTCTCCCAGATTCTGGCAGCTCCTATGATCCCTGCCTGCTGTTGTCATGGAAATGGGAGCTTCCTTGGCCTTGGTCCTCACTGCTGTCCCTCAGGGCCTGTGCTGGGAGCTGGGCCTTTCAGGTGCAGCTGTGACAGGAGCTTCCAGAGGGAACTTCCCACCCCCCAGGGGAGCAGGGCTGGGCTGGGCTGGCAACTCGGAGGCCAGGCACCAACTATCATGGTGACTCAGGGACCTCAGTAGGGGATGACACAAGTGCTTGAAAGGAGGCCTCAGGATTCCGAGATTCCACGCGGCTTCAGGCCTAGGACCTGTTAGCCCCTGTCACACGTGCGCATGTGCCACTGTATGCCCACATGCACGCGCCCACACACGTGTGCCCATCCAGCGTGTGCGCACCGAACTACCCACAGACGTGGCACAGCCTCCCGGTTTCAGAAGGTCCACATGGGTGCAGGTGCCCACACAGGCCCACGGCACGAAAGCTCTTCTCAGAAACCAGGCGGATGAATGGCCCTCCAAGCAGGGCCTGCACACTCCAAGCTGTGACTGGGGAGGGGCTGAGGGAATCTGGGGAGGTGCTGGCACCTGACTCCAGGGTGGAAAGGACACGTGCAGCGCCCCCTTCCTTGGGTGTCCAGGTGTACGTTCTGGCTCCCAGCAGGGATGGGCTGGGTGGAAGGAGCTGGCACCTGCACACGTGCACACCTGTGCGTGTGTGTGTGTATTTGTGAGAGCCCACAGGCCAGCCGCCTGCATTGTGGGTGTAGGAATTGCCACAGTGTGTGGCCACGCACGCCCTGAGTAGCTATGCATCTTCCCATCCGCAGAGTACCTCTGCCACCTCCACGGCACACGTGCGTCTCTGCTGGTGTGTTGTCCCTTAAGACACTCATGGCGTGCAGCCTCCCGATGGTGCACCTTAGTTCCTGTCTGTTGAGGGAGCAGGTCCTGAGGTTGGACAGAAGAAAGGAAGCTCCTGGGAAGGATGGTGGCAGGGTGGAGAGAGACTCCCAGTGCTCGGAGAGTCACAGTCTGTGTTAGTTACTTGTTACTGCCCTAACAAATTACTACACATTAAGTGGCTTACAATAACACAGATTTATTATCTTTATTTAAAAAAATGTTTTATAGAGACAGGTTCTCACTTCATTGCCCAGGCTGGTCTTGAATTCCTGGGCTCAAGTGATCCTCCTGCCTCAGTCTCCCAAAGTGCTGAGATTACAGGCATGAGCCACCGTGCCCAGCTACAAATTTGTCATCTTACAGTCTGGAGGTTAGACTTGGCTAAAATGAAGGTGTCGGCAGGGCTGTGTTCCTCTGTGGAGGCTCAAAGGGCAGGAAATCTGCTTCCTTGGCTTTCCCAGCTTCTCGAGGCTGCGGCACTCCTTGGCTTGTGCCCTCCATGAGCTCCATCCATCACATCATCCTGACCCCTCCCGCCTCCGTCTTCCACTTCTAAGGACGTTGGGATTGCACCCGCCCACCCGGATAATCTCCCATCTCCAGATCTTTAACTGACTCCTGTGACTGCTGCCATGCAAGGCAATGAATTCACAGAGAGTAGGGTTCACAGAAGCAGGGGTTGAGTTCTGGAGATGAGGATGTGGCCATCTGTGGGGCCATTATTCCACCCCCTCATAGCCCCTAAGAAACCCGAGAACTCTGAAAGGTCATCTCATGAAGCCCCCTATCTGCCTACCAAAATAGTGTACAGCTTGACATATAATTATGCAAATATTCTATCCTAATGAACATTTTCCTCAGGGTGTAACATATGTACGGTCAAGTGCGTACACCTTGGGCACACATAGGAAGTGATTGCAATTCTCATAACTTTCTGTAATTCTTCTCCCGAGGTTATAATGAAGAGAATGAGTCCCTGATTTGGGGTTCCTGAGATCTGCTCTAGTCCAGGGCTCCCCCTTCCTTCTTTACAGCTGGCCTGCAGGATCTGCCCTCCCTGGTCTTGAGCACATGTGCATACATGTGCATTCAGACACAGGCACACATGCACGTGCACTCAGATGCACACGTATGTGCACTCAGACACATGTACACACACGCACACATGCACACATGTACACACACACGCACACACACATGCACACGTGCTCAGATAGCTGTGCCACAGAGGTACGGCTGGGCGCATTTTCCACATGTGCACCCCTCACCCTGCCCAGGCTCCCCTGTGCCCTCCCGGACAGCATCTGCTGTGCAGAGGTGGCCATGCTCTGATTCTACCCTGGGCAGTCCTGTCCTTGGAACTCACAGCTTACAGGGCCCTGTGCCTGGACTGCCTCCCAGTTTCCTATGTCCCCCTCCAGTGTCTGGGGCTGGCTGGGGCCCTCAGAGCTGTCCCCATAGGGTGCCTTCCTTTGTACGCTGCCCAACTGTCTCTCCTGTACAAGGGACAAGGGATCAGATGCCCCAGTCGCTCTGGGACTCAGCCGATGGGCGGTCTTCTCTGGTCCTCTCCACCATCATTCAGAGTCTCCATCGGGTCCTCATACCTCGCACAGGCCCAGCCACCACTTCTGTGATACATTTGAAAATCAAATTGTTTACACACATGGGGTCCTGAAACAGTGCCCACCTCCTCTCCTGGCCTCTACCAACCTGCATCGCCTCCATCTGGACCAGGCGCCCAGAACACAGGCTCCGTCATCGTCTGATATCCTAGTGTGTCTGCAGGAGGATGGGTCCCTGCCCTTTCTGCCTGCCTAGTTCCCTTGGGGTTGGCTCATGTCCCCTTTTGTCCCTAAAGACATCCCCAACTGCCAGGTCTGCCCTGACATCTCCCACTTTGGGTCCACCTCCACGTCTGCCTCATCTCTCCACGCTGGTGAAGGCCATGTCCTTGTTCCCACAGCCCCTGCATAGCACCGGCCTCACACCCGAGGCCGCAGAATCGAACCTGGACTAAAGGTTTCTCCCTACTCCTGACTCTCCCTCCTGCATGACTCGGTAGTAAGCCATTTCCAGGAGAGAACACGTTTCATCTATCATTTATTCTTTGGCCCCACCTGTGCTCTTACCAGTGTGCTATACCACTATTAACTCAATCTATGTAGCAGCCCCCGGGAGGTAGGTGTTGTCCTCACCCCTGATTTACAGATGGGGAAACTGAGACACAGAGATGTTTCACGAGCTAGGAGGGGTAGGGCGAGATTTGAACCCAGCCATTGTGTGCGGGTGTTTCTGCCTGACCACGGGCCGCACGCAGCTCCCATGCGTGGGGCACGTTCGTGGGCAAAAATTGAAGAATGTCTTATTTATTTTCTTGGCACAGTGTCTTTTCATTGCTGTTGCTTTTAATTTCCTGCTTTCCCTAAGAAAGTCTCTGTGCCCATCTCAGAATGTCCCCTCAGCCCAGGGACAGCGGCCTGGACGGTCAGGGGCCTCCACCCCTGCACATGTGAGCTTTCCTAGGTTTGCAGCCAAAACCAGGAAGCCGCGTGCCAGGAGGAGCCGGGCTGAGCCAAGGGTGCCGGTTCCTTCTCCACAATGGAATGCAGATTTCCCATTAAAAGGCAAATCTTTATTTCAAAAGGTTGAATAGGATGCAGCTTAAAAAAAGATTTCCAGCTGGTTAAATTTAGGGCAAGGGAAGAGGTCCAATCCCAGAATACTGCCTGGCCGTGGGCCCGCAGCACAACCTTTTGCTGGGAGTTGGATACATTTGCACTTGAAGCGCCTGCCTCTTGATATTTTTTTTCCCCTTCTGAGCTAGGCAAACAAATGCGGATAGCTGTGTTGGCCAGAGTTGCAGAGTGGGGCTCACTTAAAATCATGTATTTGAGTGGGGTGGTTGCCAGTTCGAGATGGCCTGTCCCAGCTGACTGACACCTGCTTCGTGCATGAAGACAAGCAGGATGGACAGCTATGGGCTCTTCCTCCTTCCAGGATTGCCTGGTCCCTTCCTGCAGCCTGTGCTCTGGAACCCTGGCCCAGCTCTGTGTCCCACATTCACAGTTCAGGCCCCTAGAACCCCCGCCCACCAGGCCTCCTGGGGTCTGGGAAGAGACCCCGGGAATTGGAGGGCTGAGCCTGGACCCAGCTCCCTCAGGCAGGCCAGGTGACCTCGGCATCATGTGGCCTCTTTGGGCCTTTCTGACCTGGTCGTACAGCAGCAGGTAGACTGAGCCATCTCTGAGGTGGTGTCTGGCTCTGCCTCCGTTGTGGGGCCAAACCCAAGGCCGGCCTGGAAACTTTGTGGTCAGGGGAGGGCTTTGGGAACCTGGACCTGAAGGAAGCTGGGCAAGCAAAGCTGCGTGAAAGGGCCAGCCTTGGAGGCGCATGTGCATGTGTGCATGCGAGTGTGTGCATGTGCGTGTGAGTGTGCATGTGTGAGTGTGAATGTGCATGTGTGTGCATGTGTGTGCATGTGTACGTGTGTGTGTGTGCATGTGTGTGAATGCATGCGTGCATGCATGTGTACGCGTGTGCACGTGAGTGTGAATGCATGTGTGCATGCGTGTGCATGGCGTGTGTGCATGTGAGTGCATGTGCACGTGTGTGTGCATTTGCATTGTGTGTTCATGTTTGTGGGCACATGTGTGTGTTTATGTGCATGTGTGGGGCTGCGGGTGATCAGGGAGGATTCAAATTTGAGGGTCTCACGGCCTGGAGACCTCAGAAGCAAAGCTGGAGGAAGAGGAACCTGGTTAGGTGTTGGGAACACAAAGCCCCTTTAGAGCAGCCAGCTGGATTGCAGGACGGTGTGGCCTTGGTCTGAGGGTGGCCCTAGGGCCTGAGGAACTCCATGAGGCCTCCCATCCCCTCCTTCTGCTCCTTCTCTCCCTCCTCTCCAGGTTGCTAAGAAGTCCAAAGCCCTGTGAGTCCGTGTGAGTCTGTGGCCCCTCTCACACGCCCTACAGCAGAGCACAGCAGGGCTCTCCAGGTGGGCCCGGGCTCTCCCCCTCCACCCCATCCTCCTCGTCATCCCACTGGACTGGGAACTCCAGCTCCTGGGCCCCAGGCCAGCTCCTCTTCTTTCGGTCTCCAGGCTGGACAGCAGAGTAGGTGTCGGCAAACTTCGGCACCAGAGTCCAGCTTTGCAGGCTCCATGCAGCCCAGCGGCCCCACCTCAGTCCAAATCCACCCCATGATGTGTGTGAGGCAGCCTGGCTCGTAGATCCAGCCAGAAAACAGGACACCAAACACTATAGGACACAGGGCACCGGGGAGGGATGATGGACTGGGCTGCCGGTGCGGCTTGGTGGGGTCCAGGACAGTGGCTGAGGGAGGAGTGAGTGTTGTCCGGGGCTCTCTGTGCTCTGTGAGGTTTCCTGTGAGATTTGGGGGTACCTGAGATGCTGGCTTATGCAGAGCAGTGGGAGGAGGAGGTCGTGGGGGCTAAGATTCAAAGGTCAGAGGCCATGCACAGATTCTGGTGGTGGAGGTGGTGCTGGGGTTAAGACCCCCAGTCTCCCCCATTGTTTTCGAGGGTTGTGGGGGTCTGTTGCTGAGAGAGGGGACTGTTCCTCTGTAGTGATATTGATATGAGAGGCCACATGAATGTCTTTGAACAGGAGGACAAGGAGCCCCTTTGTCGGGGTCGTGGGAGGGAGGAAGGCGTCTTGGGGAGACCCAGCAGGTATGACCTGAGTATGTCAGATCCAGCGGTGGCTTTTTTTTTTTAATTAGATCTCAAATTTAATTGTGAATGTAAAATTTCCATTAATTCTTGTCACATTTTATTCTTAACCAACTATTAACTGCAGTTCTAGTCCATAAACAGTTATGACTGACGCACACATCCATTTTTCATTACTTATTTAGAAAAACCTAAATTATTCATTTATTTATATATTTATTTATACTCAGCACAGCATCACATAGCGAGGAAGAAAACAGGATCTGGGCTAGTTTTGCTGCCATTTCTCTCTTCCTTGCAAGGACAGCGCAAGGCGGGACCTTTGGGTCTGCTTTGGGGGGTTTATTCCTTGGGGAGGAGGGCTGAGGGTCACCAGATTCAGGGGCACAGGACTTGACCGGACACAGACCGAGGTGGGAAACACTAGCGGAAATCTGGCAGATGCCGGCTTTGGAGAATGAACCCAAGAAGGGAAGTGTGAGCTCCACATGGTCTGCAGATGCCGGCTTTGGAGAATGAACCCAAGAAGCGAAGTATGACCTTGACATAACCCCATCAGCGTGATTTCACCTGGGAGCTGGGGAGAGGCTCCCAGGTGTTTTTCTCCTCCTGACACCAAATGCACAGTGTCTTTTTTTTTTTTTTTAGACGGAGGCTTGCTTGCTCTGTCACCAGGCTGGAGTTCCATATGCGATCTCAGCTCACTGCAACCTCCACCTCCCAGGTTCAAGTGATTCTCTTGCCTCAACCTCCTGAGTAGCTGGGTCTACGGGCACGCACCACCACACCTGGCTAATTTTTGTACTTTTAGTAGAGATGGGGTTTCACCATGTTGGCCAGGATGGTCTCGATCTCTTGACCTCGTGATCTGCCCGCCTAAGCCTCCCAAAGTGCTGGGATTGCAGGCATGAGCCACCGCACCTGGCCAGCTGTGTCTCTTTTAATAGGAGAGTGGGCTTCCTCCCTACTCTCAACACCAGCTGGGTGTTCTCTGATTCAATTCAACTTCGCCACTACCTGGAGGTAGTGTCACACTGCACAGGCTGAAGCTTTTGCTCCAAGACTGCCCCTTCTCTAGACACCAGTTGTGAGTTTTGGCCACCTACACTTCTTTTTTTTTTTTGAGATGGAGTCTCATTCTGTCGCCCAGGCTAGAGTGCGGTGGCGCGATCTCAGCTCACTGCCAGCTCCGCCTCCCGGGTTCACGCCATTCTCCTGCCTCAGCCTCCCGAGTAGCTGGGACTACAGGTGCCCACCACCATGCCCGGCTAATTTTTTGTATTTTTTTTTTTTTTTTTTTTTAGTAGAGATGGGGTTTCACTGTGTTAGCCAGGATGGTCTTGATCTCCTGACCTCATGATCCGCCTGCCTTGGCCTCCCAAAGTGCTGGGATTACAGGCGTGAGCCACCGTGCCTGGCCTTGGCCACCTACACTTCTGACTGGCTTTACACCGGGTTTCCCACAGCCTCCTTCCTGGGTTTGAGAATTTCCTAGAACAGCTCACAGAACTCAGGAAGGTGCTTTCTCAGCTTATTATAAAGGATGCAAAAGAACGGGCCAGGTGTGGTGGCTCACATCTATAATCCCAGCATTTTGGGAGGCCGAGGAGGGTGAATTGCTTGGGGCGAGGAGTTCGAGACCAGCCTGGGCGACATGGTGAAACCCCGTCTATACTAAAAATACAAAAATTAGCCCGTCATGGTGGTGTGTGCCTGTAATTCCAGCTGCTCAGGAGGCTGAGGCAGGAGTATCACTTGAATCCGGGAGGCAGAGGTTGCAGTAAACCAAGATCGTGTCACTGTACTCCAGCCTGGGCGATAGAACGAGACTCCATCTAAAAAAAAAAAAAGAAAAATATTTAATTCAGTAAAGATCATAGTCATTACATGTTGGCATAAATATTTATGATGAAATGTATTTTTTCCAAAGCAAAAAAAAAAGTGGCATGGTTTTATATTTCTGCAAATCTCCTTAACTTCTGGCTTGATAGAAGACAGCTGGAATCTCGTAGCTGCTCCCCCAGGTGGCTTTTCCTCTTTGATACTGCACTGACACTTCACAAGTACCGGTTTCTCAAGGGTTAGTTGCAATATGGAAACGGAAAGCGTATTAATGAATGTTTTTGCTCTGTTATCCTAAAATCCCCTGGTCTGTCTTGCACTTTGAATGGATCTTTTAGCCACATATGATCTTGTATCATTGTGCCTCAGTGGTCTGGAAAAAAATGTACTACCATATCAAAACAATTTTTGCTCTGCAGTATCAAAAATCATACTTGTTAAAACCATCTCTGTTCTCATCAGCAAAGTCTGGAACTATTGGGAGGCTGTCAAGCTCTCTGTGGTGGATAACATTTCCCCAAATTCTAATTTCTCTTTGAAAGAGTAGATTTTGGCAAGGCGTGGTGGCTCATGCTTGTAATCCCAGCACTTTGGGCAGCCAAGGTGGGCGGATCACTTGAGGTCAGGGGTTCGAGACCAGCCTGGCCAACATGGTGAAACCCTGTCTCTACTAACAATACAAAAATTAGCTGGGTGTGGTGGTGGGCACCTGTAATCCCAGCTACTTGGGAGGCTGAAGTGGGAGAATTGCTTGAACCTGGGGAGCGGAGGTTGCAGTGAGTTGAGATCATGCCACTGCACTCCAGCCTGGGTGACAGATGGAGACTCTGTCTCAAAAAAAAAAAAAAAAAAAAAAAGAATAGATTTTATCATTGATAACAAAGACCATCATTTCTTTTCCCTGGAGTGACAGGCTCACTTTGTTCAACTCCCTTTTCCCTCTGCAAATGCGTGCGGCAAGGAGTGCGGTGGCTGAGGCCCTGACCCTGTCAGCCCACAGTCCTTCTGCCATTGCGTTTGGGCCGACAGCGAGAGTCCGCTCGGTGAAAGCGGCAAATTGGCTCAGTGTTAAAAATGCATGTAACTTTGACCTTGAGAACCCCTGGAGGGCTCTCAGGGACCCTCGGTGGTCCCCAGGCACACTTTGGAGCCCTCTGGCTTGAGGCAATGGGCTTGACAGCCCACTCCCCTGCTAAGGGGCTTCCTGCTCCAGGCTGGGTAGCTGAGCCTGAGGCCTGGGAGCCGCCTTCCTTGGGGGGCCCTGCAGCGTGGATGACCTGTGCTTTGTCTTCAGGGGCATTTAGGGTGAGGGGTTTTAGGCACATCCTGTACTCCGGCTCTCAGCCTTGCCGTGCTCTGAAGCCTTTGTGCCTGGTCATCGTGGTCTGGCCACTGTCTGCCACCTTTGGTCTCGCTTTGTTCAGTGTCTTCACAGCCCTCGGCGTCCTCGGATACCCCCCTGTGGCTTCCTGACCTCCCTGTCCTCCCCGGCCAGGACCCTTGGCTTAGGACCTCTGCTTGCCCACGTCCGAGGGTGCTTCCCAGGACCCTGTCCTCTGCCTGTCCCTCTGCTTAGCCAGCCTGTCGCTTTGTCCACCACGGAGTGATGATGGTGCCTGTGTCCATGTCCCCGTACTCTCTGGACGAGTCCCCCGGCAGCCCTGCCAGCGCCGGGAATCGACATGCACAGAACTCAGTCCCTCCGTGGCTCTTCCATTCCTGCCTCTGGAGTGCCCCTGCCCTCCTGTGCCCACACCTGGGTACCATCCTGACCCCTCACCTCCACTTTCAGGGGCCCCCCCAGTTCTCGTCTTCCCATCCTTGGCCCTGACCACTGTGGTCTCTCACAGGGCTACGGTCCTAGTCCCCGTTGGGCCCCTGCCCCTGGCTGTGTGCCCCCCTCTGTCTCTGCCCAGTTTCCCACCCACGGAGTCAGTCCTGGTGCTTCCTGCTCAAAGCTCCCCCGTGCTCCCAGTGGATAGAATCCAGATTCCTCAGCAAGGTGGACAGGCTCTCCCTGACTCTTCCCCAGGGTCCCCTTTGGCCCCGTCTAGGCCACATCCTCCAGCTCCCTATGCCTCATGCCACAGCCTTACCCAGGCTCCTCAGCTTGCACCAGCCTCTCCATCCCTTTCTACTTAGTGGACGCCTATGTAGCCTCCAAAATGCACCTCCTCCAGGAAGTCTTCCCCGCCTTCTCCTGCCTCGGTGAGGTGGGCTCTGCACGCTGGGTCTGCCTGTGTTGGGGCCTGGCCCACATGGTCTCCTGGGCCTGTCTGTGAAGAGCCATGGACAGTGGGGAGGTGCCATTGATCTCTGTAGAAACAGAGCCAAAAGCTGGGTCTGTCCTGAGGGGACAGGAGGGATGGCCGGTAGAATGGATGACCAGATCATTCACGGGCTGGGCCATCTGGAGACAGGGGAATGGACAGATTGTCCCCATCCCTTTGTCCTTCCTTAAGATTTTTCGCTCAGATTTATTAAGGTGCGATTTCTATAGAGTGAAACCCACTGTGCCCTAGGCTTTTAAAAATCCAATTGTCATCAATAGTCAACAGAGACATTGATAAATCCCTCTGTACCCTCTGTAGACATGTACCCTCTGTCCATCATTCAATAGCTGTTAACCCAGGGACAGACAGACGGAGCTTCCTTCTATTCCAGTGTTTGGTAAAAGTTGGTGCCTCTGTCCCCTGAGAAGCAGAAGCTGAACCCTCTGGGCCGAGCAGTTTCACACACTCACACTGCTGACGGCCTGGCTCCATCCTTTGTCCTCACGTTGGATGAGGAGGTGGCATTCCTCCTGTGTCCGTCACAGTGAGTGGCTTTGAAGGCTGGTTTGGGAGCCACATCAGGAGGCCACGTGGGCCTGGGCTGGAACCAGTGGGAGAGCTGGGATCCCTCCCCTGGCTGGACCTTGGCAGATAGCCCGGGGCAGCCTCGGGGCTCTGTGGAGGCTCTGGGGTGTCATCTGGGGGTTCAGCCTAGACAGCTGGAAGGCAGAGCTTGAGGCACAGAGTCCCACACCTTGGGGAGGGGCAGGGAAGGAGGTGGAGCCCACTCCAGGCTGAGTGATTCCTCCAGGCGGGACTGACGGCCAGGCTCTCAGGATCCCCCCCAACCCCAGACCCTGGAAAGGCCATCAGAGAGGCAAGTGGGGGAAGAATTGGCCCAAGGGCATCCTCCTCCCTCTGGGCAGAGGTTAGCTGCTCTGGCTTGTGCATTGGTGGGTGCTGAGTGGGGTTCTAGGGTGTCCCTCCTGGGGCAGGCGGAGGGAGGCACTGAAAGAGACCTGGCTGCCACTGTGTGGCCCCCACACACCTGGGGAAATGTGGGGCAGCGAGGGGCACTGTGGAGAGAGGGTTTGCTTTTCTGAGGATCCTGGGGGTCGCCCCTCCTTGCCCACTGGGCCCACTGGGGCAGCAGGGAGCCCACCCAAAGCTGTGGGTTAAGTCGGAGTGAGGACCAGAGGGAAGGAAGAGGCGACTGGACAAGGAAGGGGGAAGGAAGCCAGGTCCCCTCGGGGTGGCTCAGCCATGCGGCGTCCTCCACCAGCCAGCGGCACAATGGACGTTTCCAACCAGCGGCTGCGTCCACACATCCCGGACCAGCCCGGGTCAGCACAGCGCAGTGCAGTCCACACGCGTTTTTAATGAGCCCCCAGGTGGGGGGACCACAGGTATGCTTTGCCCCTCACATCCTGGGGATGCTCACGTGCCGGGTGTCAGACCCAGACCAGTCACTTCTGTGGGACGAGGACAGAGCATCAGAAGATGGTAGGGTGTGGTGGGGGGAAGGGCACAGCCCCCAACAGCTGACCGGGGGGGTGTTGAGAACAAGCCTTCCCTAGCTGGAGCCTGCCTGGCCTCTCCTCCCTCGGCCCCCTGTCCTGTTGCGTTAGCTTCTTGCCTTCATTTGCGTTCTTTTGGAGCATGATGAAATATGCAGAGACATTTACGTATAAATAATGAATAAGCAAAGTGTGTCCTGTGTCCACCACCGGCCGGAGGCACAGATGGCTGGCGTGGCCTTCTGGGTCCTGCCCGCCTCCCAGTTTCATTCCCTGCCTTCTCCCTCTTCCTCCAAATGGGAACAGCATCCTGAGTGTGGTGTTTTCTATTCTTTGCTTTTATAGTTTTATCTGCTGTTTCTGACTCTAAATCACATGTGGTTCAGTTGTATATTTCTGAGCTTTATTTGGATGGAATTCCAGTGTGTAATTCTTCTTGCTTTTTTTTTTTTTTTTGACTCTGTGTCGTTTCTGAGATGGGCAAATGTGCAGATGTGTGGCTGTGGCCCACTTTTTCAGTGCTGTGTGGAATTCCAGCGTCTGAATGCACAGCAGCCCTCGGTTCTCCAGGTGGAGGATGTGATTTTAATCAGTTTGAGCATCACTGCTGTGAATGTCCACGTCTCCTGGTGCACATGGGCAAGACTTCTAAAACATTTGCCAAGAAGGAGAGTTGTCGGGTCTCAGGGAAGCACATTTTCAGCTTCGTCAGGTGAGGCCGAACGGTTTCCTAAGTGGCTGCAGCGGTGACAAGTCCACCAATCGTGTCTGATGGATCCTGAACCCACATCCTGGCCAATACCAGATATTACCCCATTTACCCCATTAAAGATGGTTTGAGTATTGGATGCCTATGCAGTGGTTTCTCATTGCGGCTTCAATGTCTGTATCTCTGGGTGCTAATGAGGTTGAATACGGATCCACATTTTCATCGGCTAGACACTTCCTTGTATGAAATGCCTTTTTTTGGTCTTTTGTTTATTTTCCGATTGTCTCGTGTGTTTTTTAACATTGATTTTTATGAGTCCTAAATGCATTCTGAATACAAACTTTATCAGTTATGCATGCCGCAACCATCTCTGGGTTTCTGACTTGTTTTTCCACTTTCTGTTTGTTTTGTATGTGTTTTTTTTTTTTTTTTTTTTGAGACAGAGTCTTGCTCTGTCAGTTTACAGGCGTGAGCCACCGTGCCCAGCCTTTTGTTGTTGTTGTTCTTGTTGTTTTTTGAGATGGAGTCTTGCTCTGTCGCCCAGGCTGGAGTGCAGTGGCATGATCTCGGCTCACTGCAAGCTCCGCCTCTCGGGTTCACGCCATTCTCCTGCCTCAGCCTCCCGAGTAGCTGGGACTACAGGCGCCTGCCACCTTGCCCGGCTAATTTTTTGTATTTTTAGTAGAGACGGGGTTTCACCGTGTTCGCCAGGATGATCTCGATCTCCTGACCTCGTGATCTGCCCGCCTTGGCCTCCCAAAGTGCTGGGATTACAGGCATGAGCCACCGTGCCCAGCCTTTGTAGTTGTTTTGTATTGTTTTTTGGTTTGAGATGGAGTCATGTTCAGTCGCCCAGGCTGGAGTGCAGTGGCACGATCTCCATTCACTGCAGCCTCCGCCTCCTGGGTGCAAGTGATTCTCCTGCCTCAGCCTCCCAAGTAGCTGGGATTACAGGCGCCCACCACCACGCCCAGCTAATTTTTTTTTTCTTTTTTAGTAGAGACAGGGTTTCATCATGTTGGCCAGGCTGGTCTCGAACTCCTGACCTCAGATTATCCGCCTGCCTCAGCCTCCCAAAGCACTGGGATTGCAAGTGTGAGCCACCCCGCCTGGCCTTGAATAGGTTTTTAAAAAATTTAAGCAGTTACATTTTCTCAATTATTTCTTTTATGGCTTGTGTGATTTTTAAAAAAGACCTTCTTATGGACCACAAGATCATAAATCATTTCTTTGAAAAAATTTTAAACTTGTGGGGGGTATCACATTTTATTTTAGAGTATAGATAACCTGACTCCAAGCACCGTTTCCCGCGATGCCGCCTGCAGCGTGAACTTGGTCATGACCAAGCTCACATCAGTGCATGGGGCTGCCCTGGCTCTGTTCTGTCCCATGGGTCTCTCTGCCAGTCCAGTGCTGCCTACTGCCGCTGTCTTTAGTGTGTCTTTATAGTGTCTTAGGGGCTGGCAGGGCAGTGCCCTCACCCCCTGGTGCTCTTCGTCAGGGCGTCTCTGCTATGTCTGGGCCTTCAGTGGTCTGCATGGGTCTTTGGGCTCACCCTCTCCAGTTCCACAGTTCCTTTCCATGTGTAGAAATGTGTGTGGCTCACCTTGGGCCAGGAGGTGAGGGTTGGAGGCAACACTGGCTGAGCTCTGCCTCCGGGAGGCGACTGACCCCTGCGGCATCTGGGCAGCCCCAGGGCATCTCTGGGCCCAGAGCCACCATGCTTTCTGAATGAGCACCTGTTGTCTGGGCACGAGGGCAGAACGGAGTTTCCTTCCTTCTCCTCACTTTCAGCTTTCTACCTCTTTCCTTCCTCCTTCAACCCTGTCTCCTCTTTCTGGTTGGATTTCTGTTTTCACGTTTCAGCAGGTCCTTTCTCCTTCTCTCTCCCTCTTTCCCTCTCTCCCTCTTTCTCTCTGTGTCTCTCTCCTTCTCTCTGTGTCTCTCTCCTCCTGACCCCTCTCTTCCTCCCTCCCTTCCTCTCTCTCCCCACTCCTTTCTGGCTCACATGTCCTGGGTTCCTGCTTGAAGCAGAACACTGCGTTTAGCCTTAGATCTGAGCTTTGCAAACCCCAGGAATGTTCTCATCCCCTCTCAGGAGCTGTGCATTCCTGGGGCCTGTTGAGTGCCGTGGGGGTCCTCAGCTGCAGAGCTTCAGTCAGGGTCTCATGTGTCTCCTGTCCAAAGTCAGTCCTGCCAACTGAGCCGGCGGTGCTTGGGAAACCCCAATCTGTGATTTCTGAAGGAGCCACAATGACTCGGTGAGGGGCTGGCCAGGTGGAAGCCACAGGGTTGGAGGCAAACCTGGTTCTCTGCTTTTCGGCTGTCCCAGAAACAAGCCCACCTCCCTCTCAGGACAGACATCGGCAAACAGAAGCCAACCAGCGCCTGCTTCCTGCTGCCAGCAGAACTCCTGGGTGTGTCCACGACTGGATGAGATGAGGCGGCTCCTGGACCTGCCCTGGAGATGCTGAGTCTCATTCCCAGCCACCAGGGGTCCCGCTGTCTCCCCTCTGAGCAGCTTGTGGGTGGCCATGGCAGGACTCCCCCAGAGGCTGGTGCACCCCTCTGGGCCCAGGCGAGCGGGTGCGGAGGAGCCGCTGGGCTCTGGCCTCTGCCTCTCCCTCCACCCCAAGCAGAGTCACCGGGAAGGGGCTGAAGGATCTCCTTGTTCATGGAGGGTGACCCATTTGTCCTAGTTTGCCTGGGACTCTCCTGACTTGAGTACTGAAAGTCCTGCATCCCAGGTTGCCCCTTGGTCCTGGGTAAACTGGGATGGTGGCCACCCTGGGGTTACATCAGCATGGTGCAATGGAAGCAATGCCTTGTCATTATTCATTAATTCATTCGACAAATGTTTCTTTGATGCTCAACCTGGGTCAGTAACGCCCTCAGCATCTCACCTGTCTGCTTTAATGTGTCCACACCCAGCGCTCGTCCCGCTTTCAGCTCTCAGAGCCCCCTGCCTGGGGCAGGGTGGGATTCTGATGGACCTGCCATGCCTGCCAACCCCCAGATGGCCCTGCAGGGGAGAAGTGAAGCCACGTTCTCACCAGCACAGGATTTCGGGGCCCTTCCTGTCCCTGGGTCTTAACCAGGACTTTAAAGTTTTGATGATTTATGCCCTGTTAGAGAGTGTGGGTCAGTTCCCACTCTAGAAAAGTCTGGCATCAGTGAGCAAGCAGAGGGGATAACAGAGTGGCAACCATAGCAACAGAGCTGGAGGTGTCTCTGCAGAGGCTAGGGCAGGGCAGGGCAGGGCAGAGAACAGCTGGTCCCCTTGTCCCTGCCTTGGGCCTGGATGGGGCCAGCACATCAAAGCTTCCCCAACCTGTGGGGGAAGCGCACTCCCTTGTTGAGCTGTGGGGGTTGGGGTGGGTATGCTGGGGTGAACCTGGCCCTTCTGAGTGATAGAAAGCTGGGTGCGCGAGGAGATTACAGAGTGTGTGCTGAGCATCTACTATGTGACAGGGATCATGCAAGGGGTTGTGCAGGTAAACAGGACCACGAGAGGCCACAGAACTGTAGGCATCGGCAACCCAGCATATGCAGCACATTGCTGGGCCTGTGCCGGGGGAGGTCCATAGCATGTTCGAGACTCAGAGGCAGGAGGGGGTCTGGCTGCTCAGGGGGCCCGGCAGTGCAGCCCGGGAAGTGGGTTCAAGCTGGTGCGATTCCTAGCAAGGATTCCCGGGCTTTCTCCCACTGCAGGCAGAGTGTACATCCCCTTCCCTACTGACACTGGGCTCCAGGGCCTGACTGTTGACCAGCGGGATGGCAGTGGACAAGATGCACACAGAGCTCACGTGGCTGGCTTGGTTCTTGAGTTCCCAGTGACAGATGCCTGGAGAAAAGCAGGCCTCAGGCAGCCACTGCTCCTTCAGCCTGGGCTTCAGAATGAACACACGAGGGACAGGCCTGGGCCCAGCCTGGTCTGGAGGAAGCTCTCCTGGAACGCAGCTGCAGCAGAGTGGTGGGTGGAGCCCGCTCTAACCAGCAGAGCTCGGACCCGCCTGCAGGCTCGCTAGATAGGAATGAATACCTTCCCCAGTGACATGGCGGGAGTTTTCTTACCTAGTGTTAACTCTGCAGTTGCTGACTAATACACTGCATCAAGAGGCTGGGGAGCTTTAGAAGTAGATGTGGCAGTTGAGGGGACTCAGGGGAGTGGGGAAGGGCATGAGACCTGCAAAGGGGCAGCAGTGAGAGGTGTGGACTGAGTGTGCAGGGTTCAAAGTGGAGGTGAGGGGGTTCAAGATGGAGGGGTTCAAGGTGGAGGGGGCTCAGGGAGGGGGTGGAGAGGGTTCAAGCTGGAGGGGTTCAAGGAGTGGGTGGAGGGGATTCAAGGACATGGAGGAGAGATTCCAGGTCACACGGAGGTGACGGAGGTGGACTGGCACTCGAGCCAGGCTGGGGAAGTCCGCGATGGTTTCAGAGGAGACACCCTACCCCAGGGCACAGACCTCTTCCCTTATTACCGACCTTTCACCTGAGCTTGTTCCTAAATTGCCACAGCACCTGGGAAAGAAACACGCCTTCAGAGGTAGCTGCAGGTGCCCCTAGCTCCTCACCAGAACCCTGAGTGCCCACTGGAGAGGCCAGCTCCCGGGGCACGCGCTGAGTCATTCCAGGCTCCAAGCTTTAACTTGGCCTTGGGTGCCTTGGCCCTGGACTTGCTCTGCATGGTCCCAGCCAAGCGGTCCCCGGAGCCCCTGCCTCCTGGATCCCCAGGCTAAGGAGCTGCTGGGCCCAGAGGCAGCCGCAGGATCAATGCATTGCTCAGAGGAAAGCAGGAGGGACCTGGAACTTGGAAGTGGCCTGTGGAGCCATATGGGGAGGGGAAGCCAGCAGGGACGCACTTGGATCGTGGTCCGGGCAAGTATTTGGGGTCAGTGGGCTGGCCGAGGGTGGGAGGCTGCAGGGAGGCCTGCCTGGGAAAATGGCATTGCTCTGTTAGGAAAAGGCTGGGGTTGAGGAAGGAGGGGAAGCAGCATCTTTTATGAAGGGATCCAACCTGAGCATCATTAATCCAACAAAAACAACCATCACAGTGAAAGGGTTCCAAGTAGACACAGCACACATCCCCATCAACATGTTAATGAGGGCTCATTAACTGCAAGTGAGCCCTGCACAGCCCGGGGAGGCGGCAGCCGCAGGGAGGACCTCTCTGGAACCTTCTGTCTGCCCCTGAGGACTTGAACAAGCGCCCATCTGCTGGGACTCCCCTGACGCCCAGCCTTCTGCTCAGGAGCCCTGCGGGTCCCCTCCTGTTAGGTCTTGTTTTGGTGGCTTAGTTTCTGTGGGTGCTGGGGTCTGGACGGCTATCATGCAGGGGGCACCCGTCACCACGTAAAATCCGCAGGAACGTTTGCTGAAGCGGCAGTAAGGAATCGGGACCCTTGTGAGCTGTTCAGAGCAGCCATTCCTGGGGCACGGCAAGGCCTGTAAGCCATGCCTCTTGCTAAGCCATGTTCCTGGGTGAAGGCAACATCTATTTAGAGGGGAAATAGAAAGAACACAGTCTTTCTGCCCTTTCCATTTAGATATTAGCTATAAGATTAACTGCACTCAAAGCACAACTAAACAAGAAACCGATGCAGCCGGCACAGGCTGCTTTCTAATGATTATTATTGCTGTTAGTGCCACGAAACCTGTAATTGTCACAGGTGCACTCCAGAGGCTTTTGGGCAGCCTGGAAGGTGCTGGCAACAGCCACTCACATGCAGGTCGGCAAAGCGGTGCTGCCGGGAGGCCCACAGAGCTGGCTTGGTGCCGGCTTCAGGTGAAGGAGGGAATTTTGCCAACCTCCCTGGGATTGTGCTCTGGCCTTCAAGGCCACTGGGTGAGAGGAGGAGAGGGGTCAGGAGGGCCCTGCCCCAGCTCTGCCAACCCACGGCAGCCCTCCGTGGGGAACTGCCCACCGGTGCCTGGCCAGGTGATAGGAGGCGTAAGGGCTGGCCCCACGGTGGCAAGGGCGCTGGTGCCATTTGCTCTCAGAGCTTTCTCGTGGGCCCAGGCTGAGGCTGGCCTCCTGCTGAGGCCGTGCCTGTTCAGCCTCTCCCCTGCCCTACATGGGTCCCCTCCCTCACTCCACTCCTGGGAACCCTGTCCTTGGAAATTCCACCGAACAAGAATCCCCAGCTTGGGGGCTCCTTCTAGGGCGTCCCACTGAAGACACCTGCCGGTACCACTCATAAGGTCTGTGATATGGTTTGGATCTGTGTCCCCACCCAAATCTCCTGTCAAATTGTAATCCCCAATGTTGGAAGAGGGGCCTGGTGGGAGGTGATCGGGTCATGTGTTGTGGGTATTTCCCCCTTGCTGTTTGCGTGACAGTGAGTGAGTTCTCATGAGACCTAGTTGTTTAAAAGTGTGTAGCGTGTCCCCTCCTCTCTCTTCCTCCTGCTCCAGCCATGTTGACGTGCCCTCTTTCGCTTTGCCTTCTGACACGATTGTAAGTTTCCTGAGGCCTCCCCAGCCATGCTTCCTATACAACCTGCAGAACCGTGAGCCAATGAAACCCCTTTTCTTTATAAATTACCCAGTCTCAGGTATTTCTTTATAGTAGTGTGAGAATGGACTGATACGGTCAGTCCTTGTAGGCATTTTCAAGTGGCAGCTCTCAGCTGCCCTCCTCCAGGTAGCAGGGCAGATGCTTTCTTAGGGAGAAGGATGGCAACAACAGGAATCACACAGAGAAGGGATGGTGAGGCGCCGTGGTGATGCCCCCGGACGGCTGCCGTTCATGGCTTGTGTGCCGTCCTCCTGCCCTGGGTTTGCAACTGCCCCCTCCCTCCGAGGATCCAGTGTGGCAGAAGTTTGCTTTCTTTTTCCACCCGAGTGCAGTTTATTTTCATAATAAAAAGATCGAAGTCAATATAATTTTAATAGGCACTACCAGGAAGATGTATTTAAATTGGTGATACAGATGGACTTCTTTTATGAGGCAACATTCACATCATGTAACATGTAACCATTTTAACGTGAACAATTCAGTGGCTTTCTGTAATTCACGATGTCATTAACCGTCGCCTCTATCTAGTTCCAAAACTTATCACCCCGAATGGAAACCCCATCATCATTAAGCAGTCACTCCCTCTCCTCTCTCTCTCCATCCCCCGGCAGCCACCCGTCTCCTTTCTCTGTGGCTTTGCCTATCTGGACATTTCATACAGTGGAATCATGTGACGTGTGGCCTTTTGGGTCCGCTGCATTCTTTCACTTAGTGTGAAAGTTTCAGGTTCGCCCACATTGTAGCATGCATCAGTGCTTCATTCTGCTCCATGGCTGAATGAGACTCTGTTGTATGGATGGACCTCATTGTGTTTACCCATTTGTTTGGTGATAGACATTTGCTGTCACTGTTTGGCTATTGTGACTAATGCTGCTATGAGCATTTGTGTACAGATGATGTGTGAATGTCAGTTCAATTTTTTTTTTTTTGGATAGAGTCTCCTTCTATTGCCCAGGCTGGGGTGCAGTGGTGCCATCTCAGCTCACTGCAACCTCCGCCTCCCAGCTTCAAGTGATTCGCCTGCCTCAGCCTCCCAGGTGGCTGGGATTACAGGCACACACCAGCACAGCCAGCTAATTTTTATATTTTGAGTAGAGACGGGATTTCACCATGTTGGCCAGGCTAATCTTGAACTCGTGACCTCAGGTGATCCACCCACCTAGGCCTCCCAAAGTGCTGGGATTACAGGCATGAGCCACCACGCCCAGCCTCGATTCTTTTAGGTATATACTAGGAGTGGCATTGATGGATCATATGGTAACTCTACGTTTAGCTTTTTGAGGATTTGCCAGACCACTTTCCAAAGCAGATGCAACATTTTATATCCCCTCCAGCAGTGATGAGGGTTCTGATTTCTCTGTCTCCTCGGCAGCACTTACTTTCTAGTTTTTAATCATAGCCATGCTAGTGGGTATGCAGTGGTATCTCATTGTGGCTTTGCTCTGCATTCTCCTGATGACTGAGGGCTCTGAGCACCTCCACGTGCCCGTTGGCCCTCTGTGGATCTTCCTGGGAGCTGTTGGGTTTGCTCCACTGCTTCTCTTTTCTCAGTGGCTTCTGCTTGCTGCTGACCCCAAGGGCTTTGCTTTGACTCCCCTGGACCCTCAGGTGTCCACCACTGCCTGAAGACCTCAGCCCTGGCTGATTTAGCTGCATTTGCAGGAGGTGGTGCCTTCTTGCACCATCCACCCCCGAGGCTGGCCTGCTCAAGGTCTGATGTTCACTCCAATTCCCAGCTTGTCCCATCAGCAGCCGGCAGTGGGTGCTTGGATAGGGTTTCCCCAGAAGACCCGAGATAAGGATAGGGTGCAAGTAATTTGTCGGGGGACGCAAAACCTGTTAGTGGGGGAGAGGGGCATGGGACGGGCCGGGGAGGGCAGCCTATCCAGGAGGATTATCCGGACAGCCGCCGGAGTGTGGCTTATGTCTTGGGGTTATCCCATCAGGAGGCAAAGGAGCTGGGAGTTCCCACACCAGCCCTACCAGCCTCTGAGGGCTGCTCCCTTGGGATGTGAACACCCTGGTGCTTCCAGCCTGCTGCCTGGGATGCAAGGTGGGGAGGATGGGGACAAAGTGGCTCGAAAAGCCAGAGAAAGCCCTCAGACAAAGAAGCACAGGTGCTGGCATTCAGAAGGCATTGCAAGGGTGAGGGGACAGGACAGGCAGGCACAGTGTCTGCTGCTCAGGGAAGCAGGTGCCAAAGACAGCGACGTGGGTGGAGCCACAGAAGAGATGTGTTCTTGCCCCTATGCTGTGAGTTTGAGGACCTGAATCCAGTGTAAGTCACTGCTGCCCCAGCCCTGCCCACTGGTGTCCAGGGGACGTTCTGCCTGAGGCCTGTCCAGTCCATGAGCCCAGAAGAGTCAGGTTTGGCTTGTACTAGGGTCTCAAATTCCTCCTGCAGCCCTAAGTCTCATGGGGTGAGATGTCATGGCTGGGTCAAAGCTGACCCAAGAGGCACTGGCCACGCCTCTGTGGCCAAGCTTGTGGATGAGGGAGCCACACTGTCTGCTGTGGAATCCTTCTGCCAGGAGGCCGGGCCCATCCTTTGACTTCTGTGCAGCCTGGGAACCCCAGGGGAAACGTCTCCCTAGTGGGGTTCAGATGTTGACATATTGATGAGCTGAGCTTGGAGGGGGCTGGAAGGCAGCTTGCAAGAAGGGCAGTGGGACCCCTGAAATAACATTCTTAGCAAGTAGGGGACGTGGGATGCTGGTTAGAGCCACAACAGTGCTTGAGTGTGGCTGGATCAGTGCTTCTGGGGACTGCATGAGGTTCCACTTGAACCCACATGACCAAGCCCTGTCTTGGGGTGCCCTGGGCTCTGAGGTAGCAATTGAGTAAAACCAAAAATTCTGCATCACTAGAGGCCCATGCTCCACTGCTGGGGAGTCTTGGAAAGCGTGGTGTACAAGGGACAGGGAGGCAGACACCTGCCCTTCCCCTATAGAAGCCAGAGGGGCCCTGCTGCATGCCCCCCTGTCAGGGACCCTTCTCTTATACCTGGGGGGATTAGATAAGGCCAAGGTCATCACTAGAGTCTCCTGGGGTCACCTCGTTGCTATCCCTCTCTGAATCTGTTCCCCCAGCTTTCTCCTTGATTTTTAGGAGCTTCCCACTATTCTTCTGATGAAACTACCTTTTATTTTTGGGTTCAGGTCTTGCCTCAGCCACTTGAATGATGGTGGGTGGATGGCATGGTCTCTCTTCTTCAGTTTTGCTATCTTGTGTCTGGGTGTGGGTTTCTTTTGGTTTGTCCTTCTTGGGGTTTGTTTGGTTTCTTGAAAACATGGCTTGATGTTTTTCATAAGTTATAGGAAATTCTCAGTGGTTGCTTCTTCAATTTTGCTTTTGCCTATGGGCTCTCTCCCTCCTGGAATTCAGCTTCATGCCAGCCCTTCTCACTGTGTCTGTGGGTCTCCTGTTCTTCTTCTGTTTTGTTGTTTTTTTCCTTCTTTTCTGCCCTTTGGATTCTCCAGGTTTCACTCTGCATGTTTTCTGCAGACCTACTTTCCAGTGTACTAATTCTCTCTTCAGTTATGTCTAATTGCTTTAAAACTTATCCACGGAGTCCTCTATTTCAGTCAGTACATTTTTCAGTTCTGAAATTTTTATTTATATGTTCTTTTTCAAGTCTATGCATTTTTAAAGTAATTCCAACATCTGTAGCTCGTGCAAATCTGCTGATGCTGCTGTCAGATTGGGCACCAGCCATTCTACCTGTTGTCTTCCCCAACCTATTCCCACCAACCACAATCACTCCCTGTGCTTCCTCTAGAAGCATTTTCCAACTTCTCTCTGTAGAACAGTGGAGAAGTCCCAGTTACAGATGCCACTAATCCCTCCTGTGTGTTTTCCCCAGGACTGCGAGAAGAGCCCACTACCACTTGGCTGGCAGTAGAGTCTGGTTTGACCGTGAGCTCCATGAGGGCTCCAAGGTGTGGATTGGGGGAGGACTGGAATCAGGCCCAGACAGCCCCATGGCTTCTCTGTCTCTTGGCCTCACTGAAAGGTTGGTCTTTTGGTAGCACCCCAGGAATACCTGGGAGCTGGGACATTTTGGGGGCAAGGTGAAGCCTAATTTCTCTTCCCCCTTCCTATCCTTCTCAGATCTTTTCTGTCCAAACCTCTCCTCTTGGGGGACTGAGTGGAAATACCAGCCACCCAGTGTGCTGGGCCAGAGCTACAGAGCTACATGGGGTTTCTCTCTTCCAACCCCACCCTATCCCACCTACAGGTCCTGTTTGCTCTTCCTCTCAAACATTTCCAGAGCCCAAGCCCTTCTTACTGTTTCCCTGCAGCAATTGTGGTCTGTATCCCCCCATCCTTTCCACCTGGTGCTGGGTAAAGGGTGAAACCTCCTAAGTGCTGGCCCTGCCGCACAGCTTGGCCCCCAAACAGCAGAGACAGTGGCTGCGCTGCAGCTGCTCCAACCCTGATCCTCCTCCAACCCTGATCCTCCTCCAGCACAGCCTGCTCCCAAGCCAGATGTGGGTGTTTGGCTCTGTGAGCGAGGGCCTGGCTTCTGCAGGATGCCCACACCACCATGCTCAGAGGCAGCAAGGACAGCCATGGCCCCAGCCCATCCTTGTGGGCTCCAGCCTGTACCTGGGTTCCTCACTCTCGCCCACCTCCCACACTCCACCTGACATCACTGTCCCTTTCCCACAGTCTCCCTTGTGGACTTCAAGCTCCTCACAGAGATGGCTTAACTAGCTCCTCGGTTGTGGTGCGACATCAAATCGCTGTAGAAAAGTCCCTTCATATGTGTGCCTGTGTATGGTACATGTATGTGTGACACGCACATGTATGAATACGTATATATGCAATTGTATCTACATGTAATATGCACGCATGTGTATTTGCACCTATACATGCATTTGTGGGTGTGTATATGCATGTGTACATGTATATGTATGTGCATGCATGTGTGTATATGTAAAAGTATGCATATATCTATGTGTAGAGATATACATGTGTGTTCATGTTTGTATAAACACATATGCACCTATGTACATTTATGTGTATGTGTCCATCTATGTGTGTGCCTGTGTACATGCATATGCATTCATCTATCAATGTGTGTATGTGTTTATGTGCATATGTGTGTATGTGTGCAAGTACGTATATGTGTGAGTTTCTATCTACGTACTTGTAGATATATGTGTACCTGTATATGTGCTGATACACCTATCTCTATGTATTTGCATGTGTATAGGTACATGTGCATCCATGTGTGTCTGTGTGTCTATGTGAGCATCTACGCATGCACTGCATGTAGGTGTATGTGTGCATCCATGTGTGTCTGTGCATTTGCATAAGCATGTGGGCATCTAGGCCTGTGTATGCGTGCATGCAGGTGCACACACACAGTCTCCTGGGGGCTCTGCTTCACTCACAAATGCTGGTGGCTGTGCCTCCCTGTCATTTAGGTCTCAACTCCAGTGTCCTCTGCTTAGGCCTCCCGACAACCTAAAGATGCCCAGCAGCCCTGCGGTGGCCAGTTACTTCCACCAGAAGTGACTTCTCTTCTCTGCAGAGCCCACACAGGCACCTACAATGACATCATTACTTGTTTCGTTTGTGTGCTCTGCGTGTCTCCCACCAGGGGCACCGTGGACCCACGACCCAGCAGGGCCTGGTGCTGGGAGGGGCCTGAGGCTGGCCCATTGGGTATCTCCACTTGCCAGGGGAGATGTGTGGAGCCTTTGAGTGGTGGAGCAGCGGCTCTGGGGGCTGACCTGCCTCTGACTCGATTCCATAGTCCCCAGACCTATGCAGTGTCAGTCTGTCTGTGCTCCTCCATGACTCAGGACCGTGCCTCTCCCCTCCATGGAGGATGCATGTGGCCTGTCAGCATCCTCTGAAATGGCTCTCCGGATGCCACTGAGACAGAAGCAATTTCCAGGCCCCCAATGAGGCTGGCGCAGCTGTCTCGCCCAGAAAGCATGGCCATTTGTGTCTGCTTCATTCCCGAGGGGCCTCACATTGGGAACATGGCTCTGAGCCTGGATGGAGGAGGGAGCTGTGGGTGTGGGCTGGGCTACTGTCCCCCACCAACCCCCCTGCAGCCCCCATGGACACCCTGCTCTGCTCCCTCCCGGTGGGGTGAGAAGGGAGGTAAACACCGTGGGGGCAGCTGGAGCCTGCAGTTGGAGAGTTGGAGAGAGAAATACCTTTTATTCCCTCCCTTCCCTGCCAGGAGGACCTCCTGGAGCCAACTGCTCCGACTCCTGAAATAAATTAGCATTCAGAGGGTCTGGCGGCTGAGATGTTGCTCTACCGCACAGGGAAGGAATACAGAAGCACCCGTGGAAGATTACTTTGTAGAAAAGCATGAAAGCTCTGGGAAAGGGCCTTGACGCTTCTGCTGCTAATAAATTTCAGCCGGTGCAGCAAGATAATAATGGGATGAGCGTGTGTGCGCGTGCGCACGTGTGTCTTCTGGAGTTTCAGGGACTGAAGTGGCTCCTGCTGGGCTGGGGTGGGTGTGAGTCTTTGGCAGGCCGGGTGCTGGGCAGCTGGGGCCAGACACGTGCCTGGCTGGGCTGCCCTGGATGACTCCTCAGCTGCCCGGTCCTCTCTGGGTTCACAGCTCCAGTTTTAGTCTTCATCACCATTGATTTGTGTCTCAGGAACCTCCCAGGGATTTTCAACTTGCAGAGATGGCTGGCGGTGGCAGGCGCCAACTGCCACCTTCACCCTGCAGGTGAAGGAGGCTGCTTCATTTTGAGGCTGTGTTGAACCTCAGATTGCAGCTGAGAGTGGCCTTTCCTCCCCCCATGAAGAGACTGAGATCCCTAAGTGCATTCTGGAAGGGACAGCTGCCTCCTTATCCTTCAAATGCACGGCAGCCAGGAGGAGCCTGCTTTCCCTGGGGCTCCTACTGGGCAGGACCTGCAACAAGGGGCTTTGCCACCAACCCTGTCTCCCCCTTGGTGACCTAACCCCATTGATTTCCCCCAATCTGCATCTGATGAGAGGTGCACAGCAGTCACTACTCCAGCAGCTGGGCCAGTGAATGCAGAGGGAAGTGGGAGGGTGGAGCCTGAACCCCCGGCCAGGACGACCAGCACATGGGCAGGCCTTGCCAGCTCATAGGAAAACTCACCCCTGTGGCTGGAGGCAGCACCCGAAACTCAGGACAGTGATGAGCAAGGGGCAGCCACAGCACAGGTTGTAGGAACACAGTGGACCTGGCTGGGTGTGTCAATAATTCATATGGGCAGAGAAGTCACCTGCAGTCCCCACAGCTTCTCCCCAGGAGCCCACTGGCCACTGTGACCCAAGTTTCTCTGGTCACCCTGAGTGTACTTGTCGTGAGGATGGGGACAATGTTTGAATTCCCTCCTGGGGACCCACCAGATGAGCAAGTAGCTGCCACTGTCTTCCTCTGAAGGCACAGGCTGGCCCCATCTCACCTCTTGTCCAGGGTCTCCGGCAGCTGCCTGCTGGAAGGCTCCTGGACGTCTGGCTTCTGTCTTCAGTCCCCTGGTGCCCTGGACCCTCCTCACCACTCAGCCTTGCTGCTGCACTGAGTCACACAGTTTGTAGCCTCAGTGCCTCCAGCTCAGTCCTCGCAGCCAATAAATGTTTGTTGAATAACTGAGTGAACTTCTGGCTGGCAGCGTCCCTACATGGCTTCCCCGTCCCCACGTGCATCTTGTCACCGTTTGATCTTCTTCACCCTGGGCAGCGTTGGCCCAGGACCTCTGTGTGGGACATGGGCCTGGTTCTTTCCTCCGTTTGAAATCCTGCACATCCCTCAGAACCCTATTCAAATGTCACCTCCTCCAGGAAGCCTTCTGTGTGCCTCTAACTAAAGGTTATCCTTCCATTCCTGGGCTCCTGGAACTTGGCGCTGTTTCGTAGCCTTGCCAGTGGCCAGAAGCTTTTCCCTGGAGCCTGGGCCTGTCCATTGATTTCTTCATCTGTCAACCTGCCTGGAGGGCAGGTGGGCAGGTCATAAGCATTCATTGCAACAATTAAAGGAAAGCACGAGTGGGGTGATCTTGTGCTCCCTGATGGTTAAGCAGGACCCAGCTCCATCTCAGACTCCCAGGGACCCGCCAGCAGCCCGGGGTCCTGAGAAGCGCACATGCATCCAACCAGGCAGCGTGTCTTCAGTTTCCCCATTCCCTCCTTAGGCCCATCCAACCGGGATTCTGAGACCTGATCCACCCTCATCCTGCAAGGTCCGTCAAGAATGAGGACCAGCTTTCCTGGGGTCCCCTCCAGGTGGGAAGAAGCCGTCTCCAATATGCTGTCTGCCTGGAAAGTGCCCCCGTGCTGAGCCCAGGTAAGCCAGGGTGCCGTCATCCCGCACATCTGGAAATGAGCTTCCTGAGGCGTGGGGGCCTGGGCTGAAGGAGGACCAGTGGCCTGTGGGCTGGCCGGATGATGGCATGCCCTCAAAATGGCAGCAGCTGGCTCAGTGACACAGCAGGAGCAAGAGCAGCTTGGTGGGGGGAAGGGAGAATCTGTCTCGGGGCATTTGCCAAGTCAGCAGAAAGAGTGTTTGGGATCAGAGGGGAGGAGGTGGAGGGGAGCGAGTCCCCAGGCTGGCGTGTGTGCGTTGGACAGCACAGCTGCAGTTGGCTGGGGCTCACTGCTGCTCCTCTCACTCAGGTGCTCCTCCCACTCAGGTGTCCCTCCCTGCTCAGGTGCTCCTTCCTGTTTAGGTGCTCTTCCCAATCAGGCTGATCCACCCTCTCAGGTGTTCCCCCTGCTTAGATGTTCCTCCCACTCAGGTGCTCCTTGCTGCTGAGGCTGTTCCTCCCTGCTCAGGTGCTCCTTTCTTCTCAGGCTGCCAGGAGAGAATTCAGAGACCTTACAGTTGTCCCTCTCTAAGCATGACAGCTGCTGCCTTTTCTTTCTTGCTAAGTAGGAATAACGGGCAAGTGTCCCTTGTGGCCTCATCAAGGGGTCTTTTTTTTTGAGAGAAAGATGGATTTTGAAATTCCCTCTATTTCTGTCCCAGGTGGCAGGTGACCATTTACGAGAACACTGCTGTGTTGATGTTTTGAAGCTGTCTCAAATCTGACCTGATCTCTCTGTCTCCTTTCCTTCGGGTACCCACTGCTGGTCTGTGCCTGCTGCATGCCTTTCAGAAGCAGGGGCACTGGCAGGACCGTAGGGGCCATCTCTCCATGGTCTCCTGGCCTCCAGCCTTGTCCCCCACATCATGCCCTGCACTGCACTAGGCTGGCGTGTTTAGCATGGGAACCCGCTCATGCCTCTCCCCTGTTGTAACCAGCTGCCAGTGCTCCTGGTTGCCCAGGACTATCTCTATGCTGCCAGGCACAGCTGGCAGGTTCCAGGTCTGTGGGCCAGGTCTGATTCTGCAACGCCCCCGAGTGCTGGCCCTGAGTGTGCCTCCATCCGCCTCTGTGCCTTGTTCGTGCCGTGCCCTCTGCCTGGACTGCCCTCTCTTCTTCTCTGCCCCTGGCCCATGGTGCATATCTTTTAAGACCAAGCTGAGGACTCCCCTTGCCCAAGAAGCATTTCCTGAGCTTCTGGTTGGGCCAAGTGTCCGGGGGCCTTGTCTTCCCACCCATGGCCCATCTGTCTTCGTTTATCTCATCAGCATCCTGAGGCCAAAGGCTGTTTTATTCCTCTCTGTACCACGAGCTCCTGGCACATATCTGCTCTCCACAGAGGCTTGCCACACCGACCCAGGGAGGCTGAGCGGAGCCGTTCTCCAGCAGTGAGAGTGTGTGGCTGCGTCCCATGTTAGAGTCGTCTGTGAGGAGCAGGCATGGGAATGGCCCACACCATGAGGCCTCCCTCCGAAACGGTTGCCTTGACCCAATTCACCAGGCCAGAGGTCACCCTGGGGTTTGGGCAGGAGGTGTATCAGTCAGTCCTGTTAACTGCTGTGACAAGCAGTCCCCACCTCCTGCAACATAGCACACCACATGCACGCTTGCTCTCTTCTCACAGTGTCCTTCACAAGACAGGCTCAGCCGCTCCTCCTTCTGTGACAGTGTCCTCTCCAAGATGGGGATGTGGACCCTCATCCTGGAAGAGACACCACACTTTTTCAATTCCACTCCTTTGGCTAGAACCAGACACGTAGTTCCGTCCTCATGCAGTGGGGGTGGAGTGTGATATGGTTTGGCTGTGTCCCCACCCAAATCTCATCTTGAATTATAGCTCCCATAATTCCCATGTGTTGTGGGAGGAAACTGGTGGGAGATAATTGAATCATGGGGGTGGTTCCCCCATACTGTTCTCATGGTAGAGAGTAAGTCTGATGAGATGCGATGGTTTTATGAGGGGAAACCTCTTTTGCTTGGCTCTCATTCTCTCTCTCTCTCTCTTTTTTTTTTTTTTTGAGATGGAGTTTTGCTCTTGTTGCCCAGGCTGGAGTGCAATGGCATGATCTCACTGCAACCTCTGCCTCCTGGTTTCAAGCGATTCTCCCGCCTCAGCCTCCGGAGTAGCTGGGATTATAGGTGTCTGCCACCACACCGGCTAATTTTTTGTATTTTTAGTAGAGACGGGCTTTCACCATGTTGACCAGGCTGGTCTCGAACTCCCAACCTCAGGTGATTTACCCATCTCAGCCTCCCAAAGTGCTGGGATTACAGGCATGAGCCACCACACCCAGCCTCATTCTCTCTTTTCTGCCACCATGTAAAACGTGTTTGTGACCCTCCACCATGATTGTGATGCCTCCCTAGCTACGTGGAACTTTGAGTCTATTAAACTTATTTTTCTTTATAAAGTACCCAGCCTTGGCTATGTCTTTATCAGCAGCATGAAAACGGACTAATATGGGTGGGGAGTGCAGTTCCCCCTGGTTACCCACCTTGGGGGCCAGGGAGCCCCATGTCTGTTGGGGCCAGCTTGTTGTCCCTGTCACAGGGGTTTGGGACCAACTATGTGGCTTTGTGCACATGACCTGCTAGCTCTGTGCCCCGAATTTCCTGGCCTTTAAATGGACACGATACACCTCCTGTGGAGATTAACACGCTGTCATCAGTAAAGAGCCTCTCGCGGCCAGGCACCTGTTACCTGTTCAGCCTTTGGTAGTTACTCTGAGTCTACAGTGATGAGAGCTCCCGGGGATGTAATTTGGATAAAGCAGCAGCAATGGCCCCCTGCACTGCTGACCCTCCAGTCCCTTGTCCTGGAGAAAGCTTCCTTTTACTACCATTCATTTTTTCTTTTTCTTTTTTTTTTTGAGATGGAGTCTTGCTCCGTCACCCAGGCTGGAGTGTAGTGGCACAATCTCAGCTCACTGCAACCTCTGCCTCCTGGATTCAAGTGATTCTCCTGCCTCAGCCTCCTGAGTAGCTGGGATTAAAGCTGTGTACCACCACACCTGGCTGATTTTTATTTATTATTATTATTATTTATTTATTTTTTTATTTTTTTTAGTAGAGACAGGGTTTTGCCATGTTGGCCAGGCTGGTCTCGAACTCCTGACCTCAGGTGATCTACTCGTCTTGGCCTTCCAAAGTGCTGGGATTATAGGCATGAGCCACCGCGCCAGGCCCTTTTCCTACCATTTCTGAAGTCTGGGGCTGGCAGCCAGAGGCTTCACGTGAGCCACTGTTGGCCTCGTGCACACACTTGGCGCGGATCCCGTGGGGCTGTGGAGCAGCCGCTTTTTATGCCCATGCAACTGTGCAGAGTCCTCAGATAACACATCCCAAAGCCTGTCAGAGCCAGAGGCACAAGGCCCCACTTATACTTGGGCAAAGAGAGGCCAGGGGTCTTGCCCAAGTCACTGGCAAAGCCGCAGCTCAGACCCCGGCGTCGGTTTCCAGGCCCCTCCTCTCTGCTCCGCTCCTCTCCAGGCCCCTCCTCTCTGCTCCGCTCCTCTCCAGGCCCCTCCCAGGTAAGGAGATTTCGTGCAGCTCTGGCCCCATCTCGGTGAAATGATAAAAGTTTGTGTAGAATGTGTCCCGTGTGCTCTTCTGGCAAAAGCTATTGGAAAATGACAAGTAAGAGAGATAAAAAGGGGATGTAAAAGGGACATAAAAATTCTGATAGAGTCTCGAGAGCTCAGGACAAATCTTGCTTCTCCTTTGCCGATTTGAAGAGAGTGAAACAGAGATTTGTGGGCGGGTGTGGGGCTTGCATAGGGCCCTGTCTAACCTGTTTGTTCACCTGAAGACTCAAATATCTGAATCTGAATGCCGGATCAAGGAGTGTCAGGATTTCCCAGCCGAAAGATGGAAGCAACCCCAGTGTCCATAGACAGATGAATGGTTAAACAAACTATGATCTTTCCAGAAAATAATAGAATTCAGCCTTAAAAATGGAAGGAAATTCTGACACGTGCTCTAACGTGGATGAACCCTGAGGACATTATGCTAAGTGAAATAAGCCAGTCACAAAAGGACAAATCCTGTGTGATTCCACTTATAGAAGGTCCCTCCTTGTGGACAGAGGAGAACAGTGGTCTCCAGGGACCGGGGGGAGGAGGGAGTAAGAGGTGTCATCTAATGGGGACAGAATTGTAGTTTGGGAAGATGGAAGAGTTCTATGGACAGGTGGTGGCTATACAACAATGGCCAGGTAATGCCACTGAACCGTGCACTTACAAATGGTGAGAGTAGGCCGGGCGCGGTGGCTCACGCCTATAATCCCAGCACTTTGAGAGGCCGAGGCGGGTGGATCACCTGAGGTCAGGAGTTCGAGACCAGCCTGGCCAACATAGTGAAACCCCATCTCTACTAAAAATACAAAAAATTAGCCAGGTGAGGTGGTGGGCGCCTGTAGTCCCAGCTACTCGGGAGCCTGAGGCAGGAGAATGGCGTGAACCCCGGGGGGCGGAGCCTGCAGTGAGCTGAGATAACACCACTGCACTCCAGCCTGGGCGACAGAGCGAGACTCCATCTCAAAAAAAAAAAAAATACAAAAATTAGCCAGGCATGGTGGCACGTGCCTGTAATCCCAGCTACTCGGGAGGTTGAGGCAGGAGAATTGCTTGAATCTGGAAAGTGGAGGTTGCAGTGAGCTGAGATTGCGCCACTGCACTCTAGCCTGGGCAACAGAGTGAGGCTCCATCTCAAAAAAAAAAAAAGGTAAGAATGGTAAATTTAACGTTGTGTTTTACCACACTTAAAAAAAGCAGAGTATTCCCAACTGTTCTGTGTCTTTCCCATCCCTTCTCCCACCCGAGCAGAGGTGTTTCCAGTAGTGCAGGAACCCCAAAGACAAACACGGAGGCTTTTTGGGGCTGGCGAGGCCTGCTCGTCGGGACCTGCCTTCCTTGGTAGTCAGCGTCTTTCCCTCTTCCCTGGTCCTTTCTGGATTTCAAGTTTCACGCCTCAGTTCTCTCCCAAGCTTTATACTCAACACGAAGATTGGGCTTCAAGGGAATTTTGTATTGTTCTACGTAAATTCAAACTTACAAAAGATCCTTGGGGGATTGATTGGCCAATGTTATCACATCACCCCACCCCCGCCCCAAGATTTACTGCGTTATTAACTTCTAGTAGGATAACTTCCAATGCAATTTAATATGAACTGTGTCCATGCACAGCAACTCAACTTTCCTTGTTGGCTGAGGGTCAGGGGGGCCAAATACATCCTTGATTGACAGCAAGTTACACACAAGTAGTATTCTGTCTGCAGATGAAACTAGAGCTGTGTCAATATTTTGGGAGGTCTGGGCGAAGTGGCAAAGAATGAGGAACAGGTATGTGGGGGCACAAGGTGTCTGCAGAATCTTCTCTGGGGGAAACACCCTGTGATGTTTGCATCTCAGAAGTCCTTGGCAAGGTCAGACCCCCTATAAAGGACTTGGGAGGAGAACAGCCTCAGCCCAGGATGACTTCATTGTGGAGACAGAAACGAATTCTTCTCTAAGTGGGAAGAAGCTCTTTGGCTGCATTAAGAGTCTGAAATCTGATGAAAAGGCGAATAGATTCATTCTTCCTGGCATCAGTCACCTGGGACTTCATCAGACTCAAACCGATTAGGAAAATTCACATTGAAAGCATCATTTATAATGGACCCAAATCATAGAAAACATTTGGCTTGGAGGAAGGTAGAAATAGCATTTCTACCTAAGCCATAATCTTTCACCATCTCCCCTTCCTCCTTTGCGGTGTTGACAGCCATGTCTCCTCCCCAAGACTAATCATTAGACTAATTAGTGGCTAATCAATGTTTAATTAAAACCTAGCCATTAATTATAGGAAATGCCAGGGTAACCAGGGAATAAAACGTGGTTGCAGGAGGGATCAGATTTCCTTAAATTTGGCTGATGACTTAAACAGCGACGTTTCCTTCCTGTGTTTGTCATTCCTTGTTTGTACTTTGGTGTGGGAGGGTCTGGAGGTCTGGAGCGGGGAGAAGAGAGACAGTGAACAGCCGGCTGGATTGCTCTGAGATTTCAGCTTCAGGCCTGTTACCTGGTTTCCTCAGCCACTCCACAGATGCCTTCCCCACGGTTCTGCCGTTTCTCTTCCCATGCCACAAAGTTAATCTATTTTTCCTCTACAAACTTTTTATTGGGTTTCTACATAATTGCATTTAGACTAACACCCAGACTTGTTACCATGAACTTCAAGGTTCTGGATTGATGGTTCTTAACCCCGACTGCGTGTTAGAATCACCAACAGACAGTAAAAAGATTCTAATACAAGGACAGACAAATAGACTAATGAAGACAGCAGAGAGCCCAGGCATGGAACCAGCACAAGAGGGTGTATATGACTGGCACATGACAAAGGCGGTCCCGTTAAGGAGGGCATGGCAGATCTTTGCAACCTATGGGTCCAGCAACCTGTGGTGCTGGATCCATCAAATAGCCACCTTAGAATAAACAGGAAGCAGCCGGGCGCGGTGGCTCACACCTGTAATCCCAGCACTTTGGGAGGCTGAGGTGGGCGGATCACAAGGTCAGGAGATTGAGACCATCCTGGCTAACATGGTGAAACCCTGTCTCTACTAGAAATACAAAAAATTAGCCAGGTGTGGTGGTGGGCGCCTGTAGTCCCAGCTACTCAGGAGGCTGAGGCAGGAGAATGGTGTGAACCCAGGAGGCAGAGCTTGCAGTGAGCAGAGATTGCACCACCGCACTCCAGCCTGGAGTGAGTGAGACTCCGACTCAAAAAAAAAAAGAATAAACAGGAAGCTTGATCCCTACCTCACACTGTATCAAAAAAAAATCTGTCTTCTAGAAGATAACACAGAAGATGTAGAATATCTTCATGATTCAAAGAATATTAACCACAAGGGGAAATATTAACAAATCAGATTATATTAAGAATAAGAGCAATGGGCACAATCAAAGGGTACAATTAAGAGAGCAAAAAGGCAAGGACCAAGTGGAAGAAGATATTGGCAACATATGTCACCAAAAAAGGGCTCACAGAAAAATGGGAAAAAGACTTGAACAAGCACTTCACCAAGTGCTTTACTAGTCATCAGGTAGAACCAGATACTGCCATCTAGACACTGGAATGGCTACAGTGAATAGGTTGCCAGTCCTAAGGGTTGCTAGAAATATAGAATGATTGGGGCATCCCTATATTGCTGGTAGGAATGTAAATGGGAACAATCACTTTGGAAGACTGTTTAGCAGAATCTACTAAAGGTGAACATACACCTGCCCCAGAACCCAGCTACTCTATCCCTAGATATCACCTGCCAGAAATGCAAGCCCAGATGCACTGAAATGTGTGCATGAGTGTGACCACAGCAGCACTGTTTTTCACAACTTCAAGCTTGAAGTAACCCAGGCCAAGCAACACAGTAGTGTGGCCAAATAAATTGTGAAATCACACAATTATGATTCTAAACAGAACTACACTCTATGAACACTAAACACTAAACAGCACATCTATACTCTATGAACCTCACCAAATAATGTAGAATCAAAGAATCCAGGCATTCCACTCATGTGAAGTTCAGAAATGGGCAAGATGGAAATCTTTTTTTTTTAACCTTTTTTAAAAAAAATCTTCAACTTTTATTTTAAGTTCATGGGTACATGTGCAGGATGTGTAGGTTTGTTACATAGGTAGATGTGTGCTGTGGTAGTTTGCTGCACAGCTCGTCCCATCACCTAAGTATTAAGCCCAGAATCCATTAGCTATTCTTCCTGATGCTCTCCCTCCCCCTGCCCAACAGGCCTCAGTGTGTGTTATTCCCCCAACCCTGTGTCCATGTGTTCTCATCATTCAGCTCCTACTTATAAGAACATGTTGTGTTTGGTTTTCTGTTCCTGTGTTAGTTTACTAAGGATAATGGCTTCCAGCTCCATCCACATCCCAGCAAAGGACATGTTCTCATTCCTTTTTTTGGCTGCATAATATTCCATGGTATATATGTATCATGTTTTCTTTATCCAATCTGTGATTGATGGGCATTTGGGTTGATACCATGTCTTTGCAATTGTGAATAGTACTGCAGTGGGCATACACGTGCATGTATCTTTATAATAGAACGATTTATATTCCTTTGGGTATATACTCAGTAATGGGATTGCTGGGTCAACTGGTATTTCTGCCTCTAGATCTTTGAGGAATCACCACGTCATCTTCTTATTTACACTCTCACCAACAGGGTAAAAACATTCCTTTTCCTCCATAACCTCGCCAGCATCTGTTGTTTCTTGACTTTAATAATTGCCATTCTGACTGGTGTGAGAAGAAGTCTTGTTGTGGTTTTGATTTGCATGTCTCTAATGTTCAGTGATGTTGAGCTTTTTTTCATATGCTTCTTGACCACATGTATGTTTTCTTTTGAGATGTGTCTGTTCATATCTCTTGCCTACTTTTTAATGGGGTTGATTTTTTCTTGTAAATGTGTTTAAGTTCCTTATAGACTCTGGCTATCAGACCTTTGTCAGATGGATAGATAGCAAATTTTTCTCCCATTCTGTAGGTTGTGTGTTCACTCTGATGATAGTTTCTTTTGCTGTGCAGAGCTCTTTAATTAGATCCCATTTGTCAATTTTTGCTTGTGTTGCGATTGCTTTCGGTGTTTTTGTCATGAAATCTTTGCCCCTGCCTATGTCCTGAATGGTATTGCCTAGATTTTTGATTTTTGATTTTTTTTATTTTAGATGAAATCTCATTCTGTCTCCCAGGCTGGAACGCAGTGGTGTTATCTTGGCTTACTGCAACCTCTGCCTTCCAGGGTCAAGTGATTCTCCAGCCTCAGCCTCCTGAGTAGCTGGGATTACAGGCGCCCGCCACCATGCCCTGTTCATTTTTATATTTTTAGTAGAGATGGGGTTTCACCATGTTGGCCAGGCTGGTCTTGAGCTCCTGACCTCACATGATCTGCCCGCCTCAGCCTCCCAAAGTGCTGGGATTATAGGCTTGAGCCACTGTACTCAGCATAGATTTTGATGGAAATCTTGATAGTGGTTCCCTTTAGGGAGGAGAAAGGTGGGAGGCTGGGGGGAAGGGGAGGGAAGAGGGGCCCTCCAGGGATCTGTGTATTCTATTTCTCCATCTCAGTGGTGGTTGCCTGGATTGTCCACTCTGACTATTCATTGAGCCTATACTAATTATTTGTGTACTTTTGAGCATATGTATTATTTTCTTAAACAAAGCAGTAACAAATATAAAGTCTGATCCCAGGCCAGAATCACTGGATCAGTCTCTGGGGAGTGGGGAGGGTCCAGCATGGGAGGTTTCGTGGTGTCTGGGGTGTGGCTCTGATGTATGTCAGGGTCACCACCTGCCCTGGCCTATGCACAGCCCTCCCTTCTTCCCACTCTCGCTCCCCACCTGCCTATCTCCTTGACCTTTCTGTTCCTTGAACTTGCCAGGTGCTTTCCCGCCCCAGTCTTTTGCACCTGCTGTTCTTTGGGCTCTGAGTGCTCTTTCCTAGCTGGATCCAAGTCACCCCCTTAAAGCAACCTTCCCTGCCCTATCTATCCACAACAGGCCGCTTGACCCAGATACCCTCTGGTACATCATCCTGTTTATTTCATTTATTATTCTAGAGACAATGCCTGTGTTCACCAAATTCTATTTCTTTTTCCGGGAAGATTTAAAGGAGGACTCTATTTTCCAGTCTCCCTTGCAGTGAGGTCAGGGTTAGGGGGTTGTAGACGGAAGCAATGCCTTCCACTTCCAGATGTTGTCACGGGCCCCCGCGTGGTCCACACTCCCTGTTCCTGTGCGGTGACCAAGGCGGCCACTCACGTCAGTAGGAAGGGCTCAGGGATGTGAGGAGCCTGGGTCTTGGTGTGACCACTAGGAGGAGCATTGCCAAGAAGAGCTGCCCGGACCACACTCGACTGTGATATAAACAAGAAACAAACCTTTCCGCAAACCTATGAGATGTGAGTGTGTTTTCTACTGCAGCAGAACCTACACTATCCCAGTGCAGGAAGCGCTCATTGCAAATGGAGGTTATCTTGTTGAGTAAGTGACTTGCCTGTAGGCTTCCTGTCTGTGTCTTTGTCTAGAATATAAGCTCTTGTTTCTGTGTTTTCAGGGCCGATGAATGAGCACGTGCCTGGCACACAGTAGGGGCTCAGCAAAATTCTCCTGAGGCGATGACAGTGCAGCACTCGGTGCTGTGCCAAAGGGATGATGGAGGCAGAGATACTGGCCTCAGGGGAGGAGGCAGTGGAATGGAGAGGGACCATTTGCATCTTAGCTCTGCACAAGCGACAGCTTCACTGTTCTGAGCTGCAGTTTCTCCATTAGTAATCAGTGCCTATTCCAGGCAGGCAGGATACTGGCCACGGTGATGGGTAGAATTATCCATGGGTGCAGGTGTGATGGAGTGCACATGCAGGAAGAGAGAGAAAGAGAGAGGGAGAGAGGGAGGGGTGGAGGAGGAGGAGACAGGGAGGGAGAGAGGGAGAGAGATGGCGGGAGAGAGGGAGAGAGGGAGGGGTGGAGGAGGAAGAGACAGGGAGGGAGAGAGGGAGGGGTGGAGGGGGAGGAGACAGGGAGGGAGAGAGAGATGGGGGAGAGAGGGAGAGAGGGAAGGGTGGAGGAGGAGGAGACAGGGAGGGAGGGAGAAATGGAGGAGGGGACCATTTCACTTGGTTAAATTAGGAAATGGGGAACAGAGTGACTCCATGCTTCCTTCTAAGTCATCCTCTGTTTTCTTTCTTTTATGGGCACTGCAAGTCCTTCCCTTTTATAGTAGCAAATTCTCCTGGACTTAAAAAAACCACGAGTAAAGTAAGTCCTGTGCTGCTTGTGTTGGGGCCACTGAAACTCAAGGGCCTCATTTGTCATTCTTACAGAAGAACAGACTGTTCTCAGCCAGTGTCTCTCTCTCCACTAAAGTGAGCCTGGGGTCGTTTCGTCTTGAGGGACTCTGTCCTGAAGATGCCCTCTGTGTCTCCAGGAGGGCCCAGGGCCATACTGGGCCTTCTCCTTGGTGTTACTCTGATGCATTTGCCTGAGAGAGCTTAAGCCTTCTTTAAAAACGGAGGGAAACATCCGTGTTCATTGCTTGGCAGATGCCTGGGACCTGCATTGTAACCTCTGCATTCTTTCCTGTAGTTTAAGGCTGATTTTTTGTGGTGACCCACTGCATTTCACAGCAGAAGCCTGTTGGGTGCTCCAGGTGTCCAGCTCTGTTCTTCATTTTTGAGACAGAGTCTTGCTCTGTTACCCAGGCTGGAGAGCAACGGCACGATCTTGGCTCACTGCAACCTCTGCCTCCCAGATTCAAGCGATTCTCCTGCCTCAGCCTCCTGAGTAGCTGGGACTACAGTTGCCTGCCACCATGCTTGGCTAATTGTTGTATTTTTAGTAGAGACAGGGTTTCACCATGTTGGCCAGGCTGGCCTTGAACTCCCGACCTCAGGTGATCCACCTGCCTTGGCCTCCCAAAGTGCTAGGATTACAGGCGTGAGCCACTGTGCACAGCTCCAGCTCTGTTCTTTATGCTCACTTCTAGAATCCAGCCTCAGAGTTGATGTGTGTGGCTGGGATGTTGATAACATGCTGGGAGTGTGTGGGGGTGGGGTGGGGGACTTGGATGCTTAAAGACCTGCTGCAATCTCCCCCTTAGCTGGTAGGACAGGCCACTGAGGATCAGCTCAGAGGAGAAGGCTTCCATTTGCCGTGTGGCTGCTTCCTCCCCATCCTCTCCCTTCTCTCCTTCCTCCCCTTCCTCCTCATTCTTCTCCTCTTCCAGGGTGCAGTGGGGGAGCCATTGAAGGGCTTAGGGTGGAAGGTGACATGGTCAGATCTGCCTTCTGAAAAGGCCCTCCTACCTGCTGTGTGGAGACCCTGTTGGAACAGGGCAGAGGGAGTGGATGCAACAGGAACAGAGGTCAGCAAACTACCACCCACAGCAAAATCCGGCCTACTGCCTGTTTTTGTCTATAAATTTCTCTTTTCTTTTCCTTCCTTCCTTCCTTCCTTCCCTCCTTCCTTCCTTCCTTCCTTCCCTCCCTCCCTCCTTCCCTTCTTTTCTTTTCTTTCTTTCTTTTCTTTCTTTCTTTCTCTTTCTTTTCTTTCTTTCTTTCTTTCTTTCTTTCTTTCCTTCCTTCCTTCCTTCCTTCCTTCCTTCTTTCTTTCTTTCTTTTCTTTCTTTCTGTCTCTCTCTCTCTCCTTCCTTCCTTCCTTCCTTCCTTCCCTCCTTCCTTCTTTCCTTTCTTCTCTTCCTTTCTTTCTTCTCTTCCTTTCTTTCTTCTCTTCCTTTCTTTCCTTTCTTGGCTCACTCTGTCACCCAGGCTGAAGTGCAGTGGTGTGATCTTGGCTCACTGCAACCTCCGCCTCCCACGTTCAACCGATTCTCCTGTCTCAGCCTCCCGAATAGCTGCGATTACAGGCACACGCCACCATGTCCGGCTAATTTTTGTATTTTTAGTAGAGATGGGGTTTCACCATGTTGGCCAGGCTAGTCTTGAATGCCTGACCTCAAGTTATGCGCCCACTTCTGCCTCCCAAAGTGCTGGGATTACAGGTGTGAGCCACCGTGCCCGGCCTTGTCCATAAAGTTTCATTGGCACACAGCCTCGCCCATTAATGTGTGCATTGTCAATGGCTGCTTTGGAGACAAGGGTAGAGTGGAGGAGTTGCAGGAGAGACAATGTGACCAGAAATGCAGAACAGATTCACCTCCTGACCCTTGACAGCAAGTTGGCCGGCCCCTGGGTTGAAAAGCTGCCTTCCTTTGGGCTGTTCACAGAGCAGAGCTGTGACAAGGACGTGGGTTCTGGTGGTTTGCTTGAGAGTGATCTCAGAAGCAAGAGTGCGGGGGAGGCAGTGAGGCAGGGACGGGGAGCCCAGCCTAAAGCTTCCCTCGGGGTCCCTGCAGAAGGCTCTGGGGCCATTCTGGAAGGCCTGCAAGAAGGTAGAGAATGGCATCCAGAGGTTTAGGGGCTGAGGTAAGCAGGACTAGGGGCTGGATGGGTCAGGCGGGTCGGGCAGTGGGAAGGTCGAGAATGTCTCCCATGAGTGTGACTGGTGTGGGGCTGGGGTGAGGAGGCATTGGCTAAGTCAGGAGTATTGGTGGACACCCCATACTGAGGGATGATTTTGAGGTCAGATTTGGACATCCCTTGACCACACTGACTGTTCCAGAACCTTCTTATAGAGAGATCATGGGCCATACCTGCTTTCTACCTCATAAGAGTCTCAGTGAGTCTGGAGCTGTACTTCATTCTCACACATGGGTGTTTTGGAAGCAAAAGGCACAGCCAGTCCCTGTCAGGGTCAGTAAAGGCCACCAATGGCCTCCTGCCGGCTCAGGTCAAGTTTTGCTGCCAAATGAGTTTTACTGCCAAAATTAGAAGGTAAAACTTTAGGCTTTCAGAGCTTTTGGAATTTTTGAATTTAGGATAAAGGGTTTGGACACATAGTCACAGCTTACATTGGTTGAGGACTTTCTATTTGACAGTTACTGCAATTTTTATGCATTACTTCATTGAGTCCTATAGATGGCTCTGGGGGGTGGGAACGTGGTTATTTCCCTGGGCACACAGCCTCAAGGTCACCTGGTCAGGGAGTCCAGGAACTGAGACATGAACCTAGGGCCTGGCCACCGTCAGTGACTTCCCTGTCTCCCGCTTTTTCCCCCTGCGGACTTAGGTCAGACCTGTGCCCTCTTCGTGCTGGTCCGGGTGCAGGGCTTTTCCTGTGGCCCCAGGGACCAGTGCAGGACACAGAATAGCACTCAGCAGAGTGGACTGACCTGAGCTTCCACCCGACATTTAACTCACGGCCCGGTGTGTTCATCTACTTGGGTGCTTTCCCTTCCAACAGCCTCGTCGGGAAGCTAAGCCTCAGACTCGTGCTAATGGCATGGTCCAGTCGCTTTGGAACTCTCCTCTAGAATCCCATTCAGACTGTACAGTTTATTCTGTTTTTCCTGTCCTTCCGCGGAGTCAGATCTTAGTCCTTAGACGGTAGGCTCGCTTTGTGGAAGCAGCCAGGAGGCATTTGCATAATGTTGCTTCAGAGAGAGGGAGAGGCCCATAAAGCGATGAGACCCATTTTCTCCTTGTGGATTTTACGTTGGCTCTGAAGGCCACCTCTCAAAGTGGAATTCCCAGATGTTCCAAATGAGATAGCATTTTAAAAAAGGGGCCCTCCCCTGCAAGGTGCTAAAACGATTCTGAAGGACAAAATTCTGCTACCTGGGTAAGTCCAGTTCTTTTTGTTTGGAAATCAGGTCATTTTGTTAAAGTTAGAGCTCCTTAATAGGGACTCCTTCCCTTACACCGAGGGGCTTGTACCTGGGGGCGGTTGGTGCCCATGTCTATTTGAATTCTCCAGCTGGGCCGTAGACTTTTTGATCTGTAGAGTTTTCAATGTCTTCAGAAAAGGATCAGGAACATGGGCTGAGTCTTTTAGACATGCCCCAGCCAAGGTAACCTTTTCTAATGCTTCTTTCATTTGCTTAGGTGTGTCTGGAACTCATTTTCCAGTGTCTTCCCTTTCCCTGCTCCCTGACCTCAGTGCCAGGCCACCTGCCCTAGAAGAGTCTTCCCACTGTGAAAAAATTCTTTGGAGGGTAGTCTAGAGGGGCTCAGGGGCTGGAGAGTCCGAAAGCTGGTCAGAGACTGGCTGTGCTGGTTGTTACCCACCCATCTTGGGGTAAACACAGCCTCTCCGGTGCTCGATTTACCAGTCTGTGCAATGAATGAGTGGCTTGGACCAGAAAACTGGAAGGCCTTTGCAAGCTGTATACGTCCACAATTCCCTCTTTCTTTCATGCCCTTGTTTATCCTTTTAGCAAAACTGCTTGCTTTAGATAACCTACTTTGTGGAGATGAAAAAAAAAAGAGCAGTATTTCTTTCAAAATCATACTGTTCAGGTGACAAACCAAACAACTTGTATGAATTGGTGAGACTTTCCAGTACAGGTGCCCTAACATTTTATTTTTATGAGTTTTTAAAAAGCTGAATTAACTTTTTTTTTTTTTTTTTTTGGTGGTAGAGACAGGGTCCTGCTATGTTGCCTAGGCTGGCCTCAAACTCCTGGTCTCAAGCAAGACTTCCACCTCAGCCTCCCAAAGTGCTGGAAATCCAGCTAACTTTAAAAAAAAAACCACGACATGCAAATAGTTTTAAAATTGAAATTATGCTCCAAATTTATAATAAACACCAGCATTCTCTTTCCCCCTTCCTACTTCTGCCTATTCTTCTACTGCTAGCTGTTTCTTCCGGAATTAACCTCTGCATTTCTGAACATTGCTTATACACTCGAAGCTATCGATTCATTATTTTTACACTTCATCTTTAAGCTTTCTTTTATGGTAGATCGGGTTTTTATCTCACTTACACCTAAACAATGAAACCTCAATCTTCGTTAAATCTACATTAAGGTTTTTCTTACTATAACAATGATAACTGTAACATTTTTCTTTTTTGTTGTACAACTTTCTGTTTATCCTGGAGTTAATAATGGCTTAGGGTTTTGTACACCTTCCAACATGCCTTTTCATACAACCTTCCACGTAGTCAACACATCTTAGCCCTCTTTTCTGCCTGGGGAAGTTGTCCTGGGGCCCTCAGACCTGTGCCCTGGCACTCACAGGTTACTGTTAAGGCAGCTGCAGGGCTCTCATCCAGGACTTTTCTTTGCTCAACCCTGTGCCGACGTGCATGTTCCTGGATCTAGCAGCTTTATCTTTTTGTTTACTGCTTGGCCTTAGTGGAGCACATTCTCTTATAATATCCTAAGCCTCTTTATTCTGTTCTCATGTTCAGTTAACGAGTCTGGTTGAGTACAGAATCCTGGGTTTGAAATTATTTTTACCTAGAATTTCGAAGGCATTTTTTTTCCCACTAAATTCTGATTTCCATGCTGCTGTAGAAAATGGTGATGACATTCAGCTTTTGATCCTATTATATGGCCCCATTTTCTTCTCTCTGGAAGCTTTTATCCTTGGTGTTCTGAAATGTCATAAAGGTGTGCCTATAGTTTTCATTGTTTGGACACTTGGAATGGTCTTAAACCTGAAGACTTAATGCCTTTCAGTTCTGGGGACATTTATGGTATTATTTCTTTGATAATTTTATTCCCTTAATTTTCTCTGTTCTCTCTGGAACTTCTGTTTATCAAATGCTGGAACTCCTGGCTTCATTACCTAACTCTTCAGTTAAAACAAACAAAAACCGACTGTACATTTCTTTGCCTTTTTGTCCTGCTTCCTGGGAAATGTTCTCAATCTTTCTTTTTCCCTTTTCCCTTTCCTTTCCTTTCCTTTCCTCTCCTCTCCTCTCCTCTCCTCTCCTTTCCTTTCCTTTCCTTCCTCTCTTTCTCTCGTTCTTTTCCCCCTCCCCTCCCCTCTCCTTTCCTTTTCCTTTCCTTTCTTCTGCACCTATCCCACACTCTCTTTCTCTCTCTCTCTCTCTCTTTCTTTCCAGACAGGATCTTGCTTTGTCACCCCAGCTGGAGTGCACTGGTACAATCATAACTCACTGCAGCCTTGACCTCCTGGGCTCAAGCATCAATTTTATTTTCTAACACTTCTATTGACCCCAGCTTATGTTATTATATTTAACTTGCAAACATTCTTGTTCTCTATTTCTTCTTGTTTCATGGATGTAGTATCTTTTCTCATCTCTGTGACAATATTAATGGATTCTTTGAAGTTTTCTTCTCTTTGTAAAGCATACACTTGTACTAGTTATCTATTACTATGTCACAAATTACCCCCAAACACAATGGTTTAAAACAGCAAATGGCTTTTATCTCACAGTTTCCATGGGCGGGGGATCTGGTTGGGCTTAGCTGGGTGGTTCTGGCTTGGGGTGTGTCGTGAATTTGCAGTCAATATGTTTGCCAGGGCTGGGGGCATCTAGGGCATGACTGGGGATGAAGGATCTGCTCCCAAGCTCAGCCACTTGGTTGCTGGCAGGAGCTGCAGTTCCTCGGCACGTGAGCCTCTCCATATGGCTGCTTGACATGGCAGGTGGCTTCCCTCAAAGCCAGTGATGGGGGGTGGTGGAGGGGGGGAAAGAGAGAGAAGAGAGAGAGAGAGGAAGAAGACAGAGAGAAAGACAGAGAAGGAGAGGGAGAAGGATGGACAGGGAGAGGGAGGGGGAGACAGAGAGAAAGGCAGAGAGAGAAGGAGAGAGGGAGGGAAAGAGAGACAGGGAGGGAGGGGGGAGGGGGAGGGAAGGAGGGAGGGAGAGAGGCGGGGGAGGAGAGAGAGAGACAGAGAGAGAGAGAGAGAGAGAGGAAAGGGGGCAAGAGAGAAAAGGAGAAAGGGAGAGGACAAACCAAGATGGAAGCTGCAGCATCTTCTGTAGCTTAATCTCGGAAGTGCCATATCACCAGTCACATTGCATGCCACACTCCATCAGTCACAGAGACCAACCTGGAACAGTGGGAGGGGACGGCCCGGGGGTGTCACCACCAGAAGGCAGCCATTTTGGAGTCTGGCACCACAGAACATGATCCGCATCTTCCCCTGTCTGTTGTTTTGGTTGCTGTTGTCCACTGGAGACTTTTCTCAACTCTCTGGCGCTGTCTGTCTTTCCCCTTATGTTTAAGACCTGCAGCATCGAGCTGATGGCCAGGAGCTCACAGACCCTCTCTATCTAGGTTCCTCCAGAAGCCAACCCTGAGCCAAGGCTTGGGGGAAAGCAGTTTACTGGGGAGGTGGAGGAAGCCCTGGTAGGGGAAGTGGGCACGTGGACCCTGGAAGGGAAGGCCGCCAAGAAGGGGTGCATCACCAAACCGGCGACTTGGTGACTCAATCCTGCAGTGCGTGTGTTTGGAACTCAACCCTGCAGGGACCTCTGAGGAACAGTGCAGAACACACACCTGGAATCCCCTGCCTGGATGGCGCTGGCGGAGCTGGGGTGTTTATGCCCCACCTCAGGCGAGTCCCGGGTGCAGGGCTCTTGGAGAGGCCGAGGGTAAAGGCCAGGACCCTGTCACCCCCACGAGAGGCAGAGCCATCTTCTGAGGTTTTAGGAGAAGCTTCAGGCATGGAGATGCTGGTGCCACCCTGGAGCCTGCAGGGCGCTTGGAGATGCCGGGGACTGGTGGGCGCTGACGTCGATGGCAGTCTTCCCTCGGGGGCCATGGGTGGACAGCTGCCTTTCTACTGTGACTCCTAAGTGTCGGTGTATTTATAGGTCTGTTCTCTGGGGAGCTTTAGTCTCTCCAGAAGTGCATCCTCTGATCTGCCTGGGGTGGGTCCTGGGTTCTGGGGTGGGCAGTGGAGGGGCCGGAGACTTCTGTTTAATAGTCCTTCAGTACTGTGCTTGTCCCCTGCTCTGTGAGCCTGGCATCCCTGAGCCCCAGGTCTCTCTGGTTCACGTCCTAGTGGAAATGCGCCTCAGTGGGTGGGAGAGCGGCGTGGCTGCAATGAGGCTGGCAGGGTGCAGAATCCTTATGAGAACCCCCAGTGCCTTGGCCTCCCCTGGGCCTTTAAAGTACCCAGGGCCTCTGCTTTCCCTGAGTTTTGGAGGTTCCTTAGGGCAAATCAACTTGCTTGCCATCAGCAGCCCCGTCCCTGGCCCACCCCACAGGTCCCTAGCTCTGCCCTTCTCCCTCGGCCCGGGCATCCAGCATTACTCTCTAATTCATTCTGTTTCTGCTTCTTATCTGTTTTGGGTGATTAGAGAGAGAAAGGAGTGGAAAAATCGAATCCCCCCAGTTTAGTTGGGGATAATTCACCATCAGTTGTTGGGAACTTCCAGCAAAGCTTTCCCTAGAAACATTGTTTTTATGATGAGAGGTCCTTGCACAGGCACTGATATGGTTTGGATCTGTGTCTCTGCTCAAATCTCATGTTGAAATGTAATCCCCAATGTTGGAGGTGGGGCCTGGTGGGACGTGATTGGATCAGGGGGCCGGTTTCTCATGAATGGGTTAGCACCCACCCTTTGGTACTGTCTTCCTGATAGTGAGTGAGTTACTGTGAGATCTGATTGTTTAAAGTGGGTAGCGCCTCCCTCCCTGCTTGTTCCTGCTCCACCATGGAAGATACCTTGCTTCCCCTTCGCCTGCCTCCATGACTGTAAGTTTCCTGAGGCCTCCCCAGAAGCCAAGCAGATGCCAGCATCATGCTTCCTGTACAGCCTGCAGAACCTTGAGCCAATTAAACCTCTTAAAAAATTACCCAGTTTCAAGTATTTCTTTTTTTCTTTTTTGAGGTGGAGTGTTGCTCTGTCGGCTGAAGTGCAATGGCGCTATCTCCGCCCACTGCAACCTCCGCCTCCCAGGTTCAAGTGATTCTCCTGCGTCAGCCTCCCCAGTAGCTGGGATTACAGGCCTCCGCCATCATGCCTGGCTAGTTTTTGTATTTTTCGTAGAGACGGGGTTTCACCACATTGGCCAGGCTGGTCTTGAACTCCTGACCTCAGGTGATCCACTCGCCTCGGCCTCCCAAAGTTCTGGAATTATGGGTGTGAACCACTACACCTGGCCAAGTATTTCTTTATAGCAGTGCAAGAACAGACTAATGTAGGTGCATTCAAAGTTGTTGGGTGAGTCAGGATAAACCAGGTTCTTCTGTGCTAACAAACAAGCCCAGGCATCTCACTGGCTTGTCCCAGTAGATGTTTATTTCTCAGCTGGTCATGGTGGCTCACACCTGTAATCCCAGCACTTTGGGAAGCCAAGGTGGGAGGATCACTTGAGGCTAAGAGTTTGAGACCAGCCTGGGCAATCATCAAGACCCCATCTCCACCAAAAAATAAAAATAATTAGCCAGGCATGGTGGTGTGTGCCTGTAGTCCCAGCTACTTGGGAGGCTGAGGCAGGAGGATCACTTGAACCCATAAAGTGGAGGCTGCAGTGAGCTGCAATTGTAGCTCTGCACTCCAGCCTGGGTTACAGAGTGAGACTATGTTTCAAAAAAAAAAAAAAAAAAGACATTTTTCACTCATGCTAAGCTGATTGAGCTGTCTTCCTTATCCTGTGGCCATGGCATCTGGAATGTAACACCACAGGTGGCTGTGGTGGGGCATAGGTGTGGGTGGGAGAGGCTGGAGCAAGAGGGTTTTAAGGGCCAGGTGTGAAACGGCTTGTATCATTTCTGCCCGCAACCCACTGGCCACAGGGATCCAGCATCCTGCAAGGGAGGCTGGGAAACCTTGATGGCGTGGGGACATTTGGAGAGCAGCCCCAGCCCCTGCCGGAGTTATGTAACCGCTTCCATACCTGGCCATGGCTCTGAGGGGTGTCCTTGGACCCTAATACCAGGAAGTACTGCCATGCCCCCATCGGCCCCAACGAGGCAGAGGTGGCCAGGTCCTGTGGAGGGATGACAGAGTCACAGCCACAGCTAACATCGTGGAGTACTTGCTGTTTGCAGGGCTTGCTGGACATGCTTCAGGCACAGCCTCCTTACCAGCCTCTGCAATGGGGCCACGCCTGTCCCCACAATGCTATTGCAGGGGTCTGGAGAGCTTGGTAACTGGAGAGCAGGATGCAAACCCAGGCATCTGTTTCATACCTCAGCGGCCCAGTTCTTGGGTGACCTGCCTCTGGGGAGGACGTGCCCGTGAGTTAGGTCCTGACTGTGCAGCCTAAGCTAAGCTCTAGGTCTCCATTACCCACGTCATCTGCACCGCTCCCTGTCCTGCAGGTACTCTTGCCAGTCCCATGCTGGCCATGAGCAGAGCTCATCTTGAGTGTCCCTGACCACATTCATAGGCCCATCCAGTTCGTCTCACACTGTCTGACCATGCCTGATGCTCCCAACTCTGAGAACTGTTGCTTCGGAGGGACTAGCAGTGCCCACTACTGCACCCCCAGACCAGCTCTGCATCCACCACTGCACCCTGAGATGGGCTCCGTGTCCCCTGCTGGACCCCCAGGAGGCTCTGTGTCTCCTACTGCACCCCCAGGTGGGCTCTGTGTCCACCACTGCACCCCCAGGTGGGCTCTGTGTCCACCACTGCACCCCCAGGTGGGCTCTGTGTCCACCACTGCACCCCCAGGTGGGCTCTGTCTCTACCACTCCACCCCCAGGTGGGCTCTGTGTCCACCACAGCACTGGCCCTGGAGGTGGGAGACAGGTGTGAGTTGGGGGTGGGGCAGGGTGACCCGGGCCATTGGAGAGTGGGGTGGAAGGTTGGGGAGGAGGCAGGGGTCAGGTGGATCGAAGCCCTGAGCCACAAGGCCCTGGTCATGCGCTGTGCCATGACCTTGTGCAGTTAGGGGCAGCAGGGCCTGTGGGCTGGGGTGCTCTGTGTGGCATGTGCTTCTCTGGTGCTCCCACAGATGTGGGATGGCCCCAGGCTCCCGGGGCTGGGGGAGATGGCAGAGAGCTGACTCTGGGCCAGAGATTTCCCAGTGCCGGGAAATGGAGACAGTGTGGAAGCAGCTATGTTTAGACGTAATTACTCTGTCTTGTGCAGAGGTATTAAGGCATCCTCCCCGGCAGTTGCATGAATTAGCTGGAGGCATTGCTGACATGAGTGGCAGCTGCTGTGCTGTGGGTCTCATTGCTGCTTTCCTGTGCAGAGACCTCGCACTGCGTTGAGGCAGAGGAGGGTCAAAGGGGCAACTGGAGGCTATGGGAGAGAGGAACTCACCCATTTTCAGGGGAATGTGTTGTTCCTGGGAGCCATTCCCATGGATGTGTCAGGCTTTCTGCAGGCGACACCGGTGGAGTGATGCTGACAGCGGCTGCTCAGTTCATGGTTGTTTATGAAAGGTGCCCTGTTGCTGGGCATGGCTGGGCACGGCTCTAGGCATCAGGGCTACAGCTCAGCCATGAGCAGATGAAGTCCTCTCACTCATTCTAGTGCAAGGAGATCACACACACACACACACACACACACGGCAGTGAAAATGTCACAGAGGAAATAAAATCAAGGAGGAGAGGTGGGGTTGGCCTGTCCCCTGTCCCCTGGCTCCACTGCTGGGCTGGGGATGCTGTAGTTGTACACTGGGCCATCCTCTCTGCTAAGGCCAGGCAGTGCAAAGGCCTGAGTGAGGCCAGCAAGTGAACTGTGTGGGTATCTGGGGAAAAGCAGGTCAGGCAGATGGATCAGCACTTGCAAAGGTCATGGGGCAGAGGGTGGCTGGCAGGACAGAGGGACAGTCAGGGTGCTGGCGGCAGAGCAGAGCCAGACAGGAGAGATATTGGGGTTGGGGGTAGCAAATGGGCAGGTCAGGTTTGGTCTTTGTGATATGGGTGATATGGTTTGGCTGTGCCCCCACCCAAATCTCACCTTGAATTATAATAATCCCCACATGTCAAGGGCAGGGCCAGGTGGAGATAATCAAATCATGGGGGCAGTTTCCCCCATATTGTTCTCATGGTAGTGAATAAGTCTCACAACAGCTGATGGTTTTATAAGTGTGAGTTCCCCTGCACACACTCTCTTGCCTGCTACCACATAAGACATGCGTTTGCTTCTCCTTTGCCTTCTGCCATGACTGTGAGGCCTCCCCAGTTATGTGGAACTGTAAGTTCATTAAACCTCTTTTCTTTATCAATTACCCAGTCTGTATTAGCAGTGTGAGAACAGACTAATACAATGGGACTCATTTTTCTTTTTCAGTTTTTGGTTAAACTTCTCATGTCACGTTTTCTGACAACACCTTCCATTGTACCATCTGTTTCTGAACAATACCTGGGACATTGCAAACTTGTTCTGCAAGAATACCCTGGGTCTCAGTGTGTGTGACAAGGGATGGAAGGTGAGTTTCCTAAGAAAAAAATCAATTGTACATTTTGGGCACATGCATGACAGATCACGGTGTCTTTCTGGGGAAGGGAGTGGCTGGGGGTTGGGGGTGAGATACAAGATCCCGAAGCCCACTAACTGTGAAAGGGTGGAGGGGGAGAGGCCAGGAGACCAAGAGAAGATGTGGATCTTAGTGCAAGGGAGAGAGTGGGGAGAGAGGTGGATGTAAAGAGAGGAAACAGTTTTTGCGGGAGGTGCAGGAGCATCCATCTAAATCAAGGATGTCGAATTATTGCAGATTCCTTTTGAGTCCTGACAAACTTCACAGGTTGGTTCTGGGCCCCTCCATGGGGGTGTCTCAAGGTTCCCTCTACTTTACCCCATCTGCCTGCCAGGTGAGGGCTCCTCTTCTGTCAGGTGAGGGCTCATTGCAGGCTAACCCCGCTTCACTCCTTCTGCCCTGGCCAGGCAGCCCTGTGCCTTAAGTGAAGGAGGCCGCTGCGGTCCAGGCAGCAAGTGTTTAAGGGAAAGACGGTGAACTGGATGATGCCAGGGATGGGCTGGGCAGTTGGGTGATGCCAGGCCTGGGCTCCCTGGGCTGGACTGGGAAGTTGGCAGACCCAGTGGCAAGTGTAGGGCTGGAAGCAGGGGATGGAGAGAAGGGGCAGCTGGAAGGTATGAGGTCTTAAGAGGGTCCTCAGGCAAGCCTCGCTTAGAAGGTGACATTCAGCATCATCTTGAAGGGTGGGGAAGAGGCATGAGGATATCTGAGGAGGATTATTCCAGGTAGGGGCCACCAGAACTGCAAGGTCTCCGTGGCCAAAGTGTGCTTGGCATTTGGTGGCGCATAAAGAGGCGGTGTTTCTGGCGGGTGGCTAGTCAGGAGGAGGAGGGTGGGACTGAGGGGTGGGGCACACCACACAGGTGCACTTGCTGGACATTGCACGCAAGGTTTTGGGGTTCTGAGCAGAGGAGGGACATGAACTGACCTAAGAATGAGCGAAAGAAGAATAAGCGAAAGGCGGGGTGTGGATGTGGGGAGACCGTTCGGGGGCTTCACGATGGCCCAGGTGAGCGGTAAGGGCAGCTTGAGTCTGAGCAGTGGTGGCAGAATTGGTGAGAAGTGATTAGACTCTGAGTATATTGTGAAGGCAGAGTCAGCACAAGTTTACTGCTAGATTACACACGAAGCCTGAAAGGAAGAGAGGAGGTGAGGATAACTACAGGTGTTTTGTTTTTCTGAACAATTGGAAGAATAAAGTTGCCATTTTCTGAGCCTTCCACATTTCCATAAAAATTTTAGAACCAGCTTGTCAATTTCTACAAAGAAGCCTGTTGGGATTCTGATTACAGTTGCATTGAATTTCTATATTGAGTGGAAGAAAATGACGTCATAGCAATATGGAATTCTCTGCTTACATAATCATGATATATGTCTTCATTTGTTTAGGTCTTCTTTACTTTCGCCCAGAGATGCTTTTAATTTCTTCCTGAGATATTTAATTTCCAACGTACACTTCGTTCACATGTTATTAAACCTATTTTAAAATTTATTATTTGTGGCATCATTGCAAGTGGATTTAAAAAATGTTATTTATTATTTTTATCTCTAAACATAAAAATACAATTGATCTTTAAGTATTGATTACGTATATTATGATCTTGATAAATACACTGCTTAGTTCTAGTTATGTTATAGATTCTTTAGGATTTCTTAATATAAAAGACCTTGCATTGCTGAGATAAAATTCAACAATGTTACTGCTAATTTTATTTTGCTAGTATTTTGTAGAGAATTTTTGTTTCTATATTCATGAGTTATGTCAGTCTGTGCTTTTCTTTGTAATGTCTTTATCAGTTTTTGATATCATAGTTATGTTGGCCTCATAAAGCATACTGGGAAGATTTTACTTTATTTTCTGCAAAAGTTCCAGTAGAATTATTTCTTCTTTGAATGTTTTGATAGAATTCACCAGTAAAACCACCTGGACCTGAAATTTTTTCATGGGAAAGTTTTTGATGATGTATTCAATCTCTACTCAAATGTTCTATTTCATCTTGTGTCAATTTTGGTAAGTTGTGTTTTCAGAAATATGTCCATCTCATTTAAATAGTTGAATGTATTGGCATAAAGTTGTTCTTAATATTCCATTATTAACCTTTTAATATATGTAGGATTTCTAGAGATCTCTCTTGTGTTTTCTCTTTTTTTATTGATCTTTTCAAAGAACCATCTTTTAGCTCTGTTAATTTTCTTTTTGTCTGTTTTCCATTTACTCAATTTCTGCTATTATTTGTATTATTTCCTTTTAATTACTTTTTAAGAAAAAGTTTTGTAAGGTAGAAGCTTAGTTCATTAATTTGAGAACGTCTTTTTTAATATAAGCATATTAAAGCTACAAATTTTCTCTAAGCTTTATTTTAGCTATAGTTCACAAATTTTGATATTTGTTTCTTCATTACTGTTCAGTTTGAAATATTTTAAAATGTGCTTTGTGATTTCTACTTTGACCTATAGAATATTTAGAAATGTATTGTTTAATTTCCAAATATTTGGGGGATTTTCCCATATATCTTATTGTCATCAATTTTTAATTTAGTTCCGTGTGGTCAGAAAACATATTCAGCAAGTTTCAATCTTTTGAAATGTATGAAGACTTTTAAAAAAATGGCCCAGCACATGATCTATCTTGGTGAATATGTCATGTAAACTTGAAAAGAATGAGTATTTGGCAGTTGTTGAATTTAGTGTTCTATAAATGGCTATTAGGACAAAGTAGTTAATGATGTTATTCAGATTTTCTCTTGACTTGTTCTATCAGTTGTCAAGAGAGGGGTGTTAGAATTTCCAACTATGATTATAGATTTCTCCCTTTAATTCTTTTGGCTTTTTCCTTATGTATTGTGAAGTTCTTCTCTTAGGCCCTTTATGCTTGCGAATTATATATTTTCCTAAAAATTAAATCTTTTAATATTACGTGATGTTACTCTTTATTTCTGTTAATATCCATTGTCTTCAAGTCTAATTTATTTTCATTAATGTAACCCATCTAGCCTTCTTATGCTTATTGTTAGCATGGTATCATTTTTAAGCCTTTTGTTTTTTAGAGACAGGGTCCAACTTTGTTGCTCAGGCCAGAGTGGAGTGGTGTGATCACAGCTCACTGCAACCTTGAACTCTTGGGCTTGAGCGATCCTCCCAGCTCAGCCTCCTGAGTAGCTGAGACTATAGGAGTGCACCACTATGCCAGGCTAATTTAATTTTTTGTAGAGACGAGGTCTCTCTATGTTGCTCAGGCTCATTTTAAGCCTTTTAAAAAGTGCTCGATCTATATTTGTAGCTGATAACCTCCACCTTTTAACTGAAAGATTTAGTCCATTGGTATTTTGCGTACTTATTGATATGGCTAGAATTGATCTATCATTTTCCTATTTGTTTTCTGTTTGTGTCCTCTGTTTCTCGTGCATTTGTACCTCCTTCTCGGCCTTCTTTGTGGTTAACTTTGTTTGTTTTAGTGTTCCATTTTAATTTATATATTAGCTTTGTCTGCTGTACTTTTTACTTTATCTAGACTTTATACTTTTTTTCCCTATAATAAGCCCATATGACATTAACAATAAAAAAGTGAAGTGAGAGAGATCATTAAATTCACAAGAAAATGACAGCATGCTTTCTTAAAATACTTTCCTCTAGCTTTATGGAGGTATACTTGACAAATAAAAATTGTATATATTTAAGGTGTAAAACATGATGAATTTGTATATATATATACATTGTGAAATGGTTACTGCAATCAAGCAAATTAACATGCCTATCACTTCACATAGTTGCAGTATTTTTTGTTGTGGTGAAGATACTTAAAAATCTACCCTCTTGGCAAATTTCAACTATTATTAACTATAGTCACCATAATGTACATTAGATTTCTGGAACTTATTTATCCCACATAACCGGACCTTTATGTCCTTTGGCCAACACCTCCTCATTTCCTCCCACCCTTCAGCAATGGCAGCCATCATTCTATTATTTGTTTTTATGAGTTTGACATTTTTAGATTCCACATATAAGTGAGATAATGCGGTATTTGTCATTCTGTGTCTGGCTTATTTCACTTAACATAATGTCCTTGTACTAGTCCATTCTTACTTTGCCATAAAGAAATTCCTGAGACTGGGTAACTCATTAAAAAAAGAGGTTTAATTGGTTCACAGTTCTGCAGGTTGTACAGGAAGCATGGTGGCATCTGCTTCTGGGGAGGCCTCAGGAAACTTATAATCATGGTGGAAGGTGCAGGGGGAGCTAGCACTTTACATGGCCAGAGCAAGAGGAAGAGAGAGGGGAAGGTGCCACACATTTTTAAACAACCAGGTCTCATGAGAACTCATTATCAGCACAACAGCACCAAGGGAGATGGTGTTAAAACATGAGAAACCTCCCCCATAATCCAATCACTTCCCACCAGGCCCCTCCTCCAACATTGGGGATTAGAATTAGACATGAGATTTGGGTGGGGACACAGATCCAAATCATATCAGTCCTCCAGGTTCATTTGTGTTGTTGCAAATGGCAGGATTTTCTTCTTTTTAAAGGCTGAATAGTTTTCTATTATGTATGTAACGTCTTCTTTAACCATTCATTTACTGATGGACACTTAAGTTGTTTCCCATTTCCATATCTTGGCAATTGTGAATAATGCTGCAATAAACATGGGGGTGCAGTTGTCTCTTTGAGAAACTGATTTCATTTTCTTTGAATATATACCTAGAAGTAGTCTTGCTGGATCATATGGTAGTTCTATTTTTAATTTTTAAGGACTCCATACTGTTTTCCCTAATGGCTGTACCAACATACATTTCTACCAACAATGTACAAGGTTTCCCTTTTCTTCGCATCCTTGCCCATACTTGTTATCTTTTGTCTTTTTGATAATAGCCATCCTAACAAGTGTGAGGGAATATCTAACTGTGGTTTTGCTTTGCATTTCTCTGATAGTTAATAATGACCACCTTTTCATATACCTATTGGCCATTTGTATGACTTCTTTTGAGAAATGTCATTCAAGTACTTAGCCCATTTTAAACTTGGGTTATTTGTTTCTTTGCTATTAAGTTGTTTGAGTTCCTTATATATTTTGGATATTAACTTCTTGTTAGATATATGATTTGCAAATATTCCTCCCATTCTATAGCTTTCCTTTTCACCCTGGCTTTATTGTTTCCTTTGTTATGCAGAAGCTTTTTAGTTTGATGCAATCTCACTTATTTTTAGAATTATTGCCTATGCTTTTGGTGTCATATCCAAAAAAATCATTGGCCAGACCAATGTTAAGAAGTTTTTTTCCCTATGTTTTCTTCTAGTAGTTTTATGGCTTTGGGTCTTACATGTATGTCTTTAATCCATTTTAAGTTGATTTTTGTGTATGGAGTGAGGTGAGAGTCCAGTTTTATTCTCCTGTATGTGAATCTTCAGTTTTTTTAAACACCAGTTATTAAAGAGATTAGCCTTTCTCCATTGTGTGTTTTTGGCACCCTTGTTGAAGATCTGTTGATTATAAATGAATGAATTTATTTCTGGGCTCTCTATTTTGTTCGATTGGTCTATATATCTGTTTTATATCAGTACCATAATATTTTGATTACTGTAGCTTTGTGATATTTGAAATCAAGAAGTGTAATGCCTCCCGCTTTGTTCTTGTTCAAAATTGCTTGGCTATTCAGGATCTTTTGTGATTCCATACAAATTTTGGGATTATTTTTTCGTTTTTGTAAAGAATGCCATCGGGATTTTGATAGGGATTGCACTGAATTTGTGGATCACTTTGCGTGGTAGGTGGTATGCACATTTTAACTATATTAATTATTCCAATCCATGAACACAGGATGTCCTTTCATTTATGTCTATTTTCTTTAATTTCCTGCATCAGTGTTTTATAATTTTCACTGTACAAGCCCTCAACCTCTTTAAGTTTATTCCTAAGTCTTTTTTTGTTGCTATTGTGAATGGGATTACTTTCTTAATTTCCTTTTCACATACTTAATTGTTGTGTATAGAAACACAATTGATCTTTGTATGTTGACTTTGTATTCTGTAATTTTACAGAATTTTTTAAAGCAGTTTTTTGGTTGTTGAGTTTTTAGGGTTTTCTACGTATATCATCTTGCCATCTGCAAATAGAAAAAAATTTACTTCTTTCTGATTTGGATGCTTTTATTTCTTTTTCTTGTCTAATAGCACTGGCTAGAACTTCCTGTACTACGTTGAATAGAAATGATGGGAGTGGGCATCCTTTACTCGCACCAGATCTTATAGTAAGGCTTTCAGTTTTTTTCCCATTGATTATGATATTAGTTATGGGCTTTTACTGTGTTGAGGTAAGTTTCTTCTATAGCTATTTTGTTGAGAGTTTTAATCATGAATGGATGTTAAACTTTGTCAGATGCTTTTTCTATGTCTATTTAGATGATTATATAGATTTTCCCTTTCATTCTGTTAATGTAGTATATAACATTGATTTATGTATGTTGAACCATTCTTGC